>NC_000004.12:47480378-47789803 GCF_000001405.40 Homo sapiens | reverse complement strand
CATGATGCGCCTGCCTCAGCCTCCCAAAGTGCTGGGATTACAGGCGTGAGCCACCGCGCCCGGCCTCTTAGCATTTTTATAGCTCATCATGATACAGGTTGAAAGCATTTAGTTTTATTGAGTTCTAATTCTTGTGCTTAAAAGAAAATGCATAGTAGACAACCGTGTTGGGAGTTGGTCAGCTTCCAGAGATACTTGAAAACAAGTTGTCCAGTGAGTTCAGGCTTTTAAAGACATGTCCTTTAAGTTTATTCTGTTTCTCTTCCCCCAAAATATACTTTAAAAACATTAACTACAGTACCTCTCAAATATTATCTTTCTTTTTATTCTGCCAAATTGCTTTCAATACATAAAGCTTAAGAGCAATGAAGCTGCCTTTTTAAAAGAAAGTTGTTATCCAAGTCAGTGTTTTCTTAAAAATGTCAATGTTTCAGAGGACTTCTTAGGATAAACAGATGTTATGAAGACTTTATTTTTATTTATTTATTTATTTATTTTTGAGACAGAATTTCACTCTTGTTGCCCTGGCTGGAGTGCAATGGTGCAAACTCGGCTCACTGCAACCTCTGCCTGCCGGGTTCAAACAATTCTCCTGCCACAGCCTCCCTAGTAGCTGAGATTACAGGTGCCCGCCACCATGCCCAGCTAATTTTATTTTGTATTTTTAGTAGAGACGGGGTTTCACGCGGGTCAGGGTGGTCTAGAACTCCTGACCTCAGGTGATCCACCTGCCTCGGCCTCCCAAAGTGCTGGGATTACAGGCATGAGTCTCTGTGCCCAGCCAGATGTTATGAACACTTTAAACACTGTTTGGTTAAAATGATAAAGGAAATATTAAAATGACAAAGGAAAGATTATTAATAAGGCTAATTATTACCAAAAAGTTAGGAACAAGTGTTCAAATATTTTATATGAGAAGGAACTAATTTTAAGGGAATTACTCCAGGGTACAACCGTGAACAATTGGCATTTGCTAAAAGTATGTTGACAGAACTGGATGCCTACTCATAGATTCAGCAAGATAAGTAAATCAACTTAATGGGCCTATATATTCATTACAACCACATTAGCATAAATATCACCTTATGGAAAAAATCTCTTTATGCCAAAAATAAGCAAGGAAGAGAGCAATTAACAAATGGATGTAAGGAAAACTATAGGTAATTGATTAATTACTAATTATTCTGTATGTGTGAAATACATTTCCTATAGTAATTAAACCTATCACATTTATTTTGATTAGGATAAAGTCTAAATCATTTTGAAAATCAATAACAATTAAATGAATTCCTTCATTTTACCTACTGCATTTGACTTTTACTCATGATCACACAGATGGTTTGGAGAGCATGTTACCCGCATTACATGATCATGATTTAGCTTTTATGCTTCAATGTTTTATTTACAATCTTTTGGCAGAGGAAACTGTTGATCTCAGTTAGCTAGAAACAGCTGCTTTTCTATTTTTATTTGTAGTTAATGTTTTCCAAGTGTCAAGCATATGTAGAGAAATTGTTTCCATAGACTGATATTAAACATTTTATTTATGTTTCTTTTATTTTTAATGGTCCTTGGGACTATTTAGAAAAGTGAGAGCCAATTAGAGCATTCACTGTAAATGCTTTTAGAAAAGAAAATCTCCCTTGGCTCTTTCTATCGATGGGTCAATATCACATTCATTTATTTTCGTGGCATGCTCAAGTACAGTGCGATATTCTGGAAACACAATCTGCTGTCTATTTTGACTGAGTTAAAAATACACGATCTCTTTCAAAGTTTTCAAATGTTTCTTCCTAAAGACAAAGCAAGGTGGTTTTCAATAATCTTAGGTTTGGTTCTTTGTTTTGTCAATGAATGGATACCTTGAGAAAGTGGCCAGTTGATAATCTTAGTTTAATGAGTATGGAAAACCAAACATCGTATGTTCTCACTCATAAGTGGGAGCTAAGCTATGAGGATGCAAAGGCATAAGAATGACACAATGAACTTTGGGGACTCGGGGAAAGTGTGGAAAGAGAGTTGGGGTAAAAGTCTACAAGTTAGGTGCAGTGTATACTGCTCATGGCATGTGCCAAACTTTGCATGGTGCATGGGTGCACCAAAATCTCACAAATCACCACTAAGGAACTTACTCGTTACCAAACACCACCTGTTCCCCAATAACCTATGGAAATAAATTTTTTAAATGAGTATTTCTTATTTCATATAATTACATTTTTATTTTCTGGTCGAAGATGAAGATAATTTAGTTTCTTCTTTTAGTTTGTGCTTTAGAGGTTTTTTTTTTTTTGGTTCCTATGATACAAGTTTTGATAAATGTATGAGCCCTCTTATTTTTTATTTGTGTGTGATGCATAGTTTACTGAACATTAGTGCAAAATGTGGGAAATATAAAGCTGATGGCAAGCACCATTGTGTCCTTTGATGACAGATACAGAGAGAGGTAGAGCACATGTCCTGGGTCCTGAGTAGCAAACAATGACCGGTGAGATTAAGAAACTAAGGAAGTGAAAGAGAATGCTGTAAGATTCACCACATTTTATTGTGTGGTGAGTCTCAGGTGAGGTAGAATTACCCTACATTTTTGAAGCACCAGGAAACCTTGATAGGAGACCCAGTTTCTAAACCGTAAGCTCTTGAGAAAGCCATGTTTCATCACAGGGCTGTGTGATTTGTGGTAGAAGAGAAACTCTTGGTTTTGTGGTTGTTGACCCCAAGAAGGAGGTCACTATTACGGCTTTCATCTTCGTCTTTGTGTTTACCTGGTTAGAATGACATAGGGAAAGTAGCTCTAGAGTTTTCTTAATGTTTTTTAAAATAAACACTTCTAGTAATGTTTCAAAGATAGGTTTTTTTTGTGTTTGTTTTTGTCTTTCAGGAACATTACAAAAGGTCTATTTTAAATCAAATGGGAGTGAACCTTTGGTCACTGATGGTGAAATCCAAGGGTCCGATGTTATTCTTACAAATACAATTTATAACCAGAGCACTGTGGTGTCTACTGCACATCCCGACCAACACGTTCCAGCCTGGACTACGGATGCTTCTCTCCCAGGGGACCAAAGTCACAGGAATACAAGTAAGTCCAAAGGTGATACATGCTAGAGGCTTTTAATGTCCCACAGGTAGGTTTTTAAGTTTGGCAACCAATGCTTTTAGTTCACAATCACTTGCCGGTCACACAGGAAAATCTCCACTCAGTTTCCTGGTAAGCGTAGCTGAGTGCCCTATTTTGTTTGTTGTTGTTGTTGTTGTTGTTTTTCAGGCGGAGTTTTGCTCTTGTCACCCAGGCTGAAGTGCAGTGGTGCAATCTGACCTCACTGCAACCTCCGCCTCCCAGGTTTAAGCAATTCTCCTGCCTCAGCCTCTTGAGTGGCTGGGATTACAGGCGCCCGCCACCACGCCCAGCTAATTTTTTTTTCTGTAGTTTTGGTAGAGATGGGGTTTCACCATATTGGCCAGGCTGGTCTCGAACTCCTGACCTCAAGTGATCCGCCCGCCTCGGCCTCCCAAAGTGCCAGGATTACAGGCGTGAGCCACCGCGCCCTGCTGAGTGCCCTATTCTTAAACATGAAATGCCATTAGCCCAGATGTTCAGGTAGGACTGAGTAAGAAATGAAAACGTATCAATGCCATTCAATATTTCTGAGGTCTGAAAATTTATGCTGCTTGCCCCAGTATAGTGGCATTGATTTTGTAGTGGTTCATCTGTGAAAGTTTGCGCTTCAGCTTTGAAGTTTTTGAAGTTTTAAGTTACTTATTTTGAGTTAATAAGTAAGTTAAGTCACTGACTTTGTGGTTGGTCCCTTGCAGGAGGACCAATTCAATAACAGGATGCTGAGTGATTTAATGGGAGCTATCCCCCTATTTACCTTTTTTTTTTTTTTTTTTTTTGAGATGGAGTCTCTCTGTCTCCTAGTCTGGAATGCAGTAGCACAATCTCAGCTCACTGCAATCTCTGCCTCCTGGGTTCAAGTGATTCTCCTGCCTCAGCCGCCTGAGTAGCTGGGATTACAGGCATGCGCCACCATGCCTGGCTAATTTTTGTATTTTTAGTAGAGACAGGGTTTCACCATGTTAGTCAGGCTGGTCTTGAACTCCTAACCTCATGATCCACCCGCCTCGGCCTCCCAAAGTGCTGGGATTACAGGCATGAGCCACTGCACCCAGCCCCCTATTTCCTTTTGAGACATTCATGTGTCCTTTTTTCATCTTGCTTCCCTTTTCACCTGCTATTATTGGCTGTAAAATTTATTTTACATGTTGGTGAATGACAAAAAAAAAAATCACACCTTGAGAAAAATGGCATGTGCCAAACTCTTCTGCATGAGGGCAAAGGGAAGGATTTGTTAGTTATTCCAGAAGAGCTGGGAGAGAGAAAAGACAGAAAGTGTGGACATGGGGCGTGGTGAGTTGGTGAGAGGTGACAGATGATATGCTCTGGAATGTGACTCTACCTTTTGATAAAGTTACTGCCCTTCCGGAATACAGAATACTCGGTGGGAGTGGATTTGTATGGAAAATGCCAAGAAGCTTTGGGTGTGATACAACCAATGCTAATAAAAAATAATCAGAGCACAGTACAGCCACTGCCAGAATTTTCTCCATAGTTGTCTTGGCTCTTCATTTCTACTTTCTAAAACAAGGTTATGTGATTGAAAATTACACAAAGCCCATCCAACCATGATCATTTTCTTGTGTGTTTCTCTCTCTTTCATGAAAACCCACAAAGGGATATCACATCTTAAGTCTGAGATGGCGTATTTATTTTTATTTTGAGCCAGGAAAGGAAGGATTAAGTTGACTTTTAGCTATCATAGTATATGTTTGCCAGTGTTTGAGGAAAAGCAGGATTATTCTATTTCTCCAACCCAAAAGAGACAGACAGTTTGGATTCCACTGTTTCACAGAGCACCTATAGGTATTAACTGTTTGTTGTGCATAGTGTTTACCAGTGATTCATATGGATTTGGGTTCATTACCTGACAGTATTTTTGCAAACCAGAATTATGCCAAGTTAAATTTATTTTCCTCATGGGTTTAATTGTGAGGTTTTATTTTTCAGTCATGTCTTAAGCACTTCATTATTCTTAAGAACAGTGTTTTTCATAGAAGTACAGAAGTAATTTAAACAAAAACTCAGTCAAGTTAATGTGGTTGCAATTACAGTAATTGTTATTTTCTTCTACTAAGTGCATTTGTCTTTATTTTGAAAGTTCCATTATTTGTTAAGATTCAAACAGGATTGACAAATACATGTCCTGAAGAGTAAAGAAACATGTGGCTGTTGTTGCTCAGATTGGAAGTTTGATAGAAGTCTGTCTGACTCATTTGCTCTTCCTATGATTGGAACATTGCTTGTGAATATGAGCATAAATTGACATGTAGAGGAAATCCAGGTCAAATTAGAATGGCTAAATGGAGAAAGGCCAAAACCCTAGCATATGTGTCATTTTATATTGTTAATGTACTTGACAGTTAGCATTAGTCTTTCCTGTCTGGCCACATAGACTCTCAGTATACTGTTAATATCAACTAAAATTATTTATTGCAAGAAATTGGATAGCTTTCCATACATTTCAGTAATAATGCAAGCCTGTGATTATAGAACTTTTAGAGTTTTTAGGGAATGTTTGAATATTTTCTCTGTGATCCTTATAATTAACTGATGAAATACACCAGACAGGTAGTAGCATACCCCATTTTTCACGGTGTGAATTTGAGGCTTAGAGAAATTAGTTGATGTATCCAGTATCACTTGCCTAGTAATTAGTAGACATGAAATTTTGATTCAGATCTTAGGACTCCAAGATCAGTGCTCTTTCAAGTTTTTCATCATCATTTAATCTTATTGTTTTCTTTGCCGTAACATTATTAAACAAATTTTAAGTTCTGGGAGAGAAGAAAGAGTAGATTATTTTGTTGTTGTTTTTATTGCTGTATAGTCAATGTGTAATAAAATATTAGCTGAATGAATAAATAAATGAACTATAGTCATTTTAAATTTTAATATATGATTTATCACTTTTGCTAGAAGTGCCTGATCACACTTCTATGACTTGATGTTTATTTCACCAGTTTTACTTAAAATATCATTTAATGTCTTAGATCTGTATTAACACTGAGCAGAGAGTTTATTTTTATCCTCCTCTTTTATTATGCTCAAATTAAGATGTTATTTTCAATTCCTGGCATATGTAAAAGCTATTTAAATATACTTCAGTCCAAAAATACAATGGCCAGACATTCATTCTATTCTACCCAAATATCCTGGGTAGGAAAATACCAAGAAATAGTCTTTCCCTAAGACATTTTTCTTGGGGGTTCTTCATGTCATGCCAAGACATAGAATCCTGCATTTTGTAAAGCTTTAACCAGAATACCCCCATATTACACTATGTAGTACAGTTAGGTTTTGTGAAAGTGAAATAAGCTTTATGTGACATCTGGTACTTCTGGAGTTAACATTAGTTACATTTTGAAAACAAATTATAATGTGAAAAAGGAAAAGGCCCATAGTTAATGTTCATACTATGTTTCAGCAAGGACTTTTTTTAGGTTGTATTCTATATCTGGGTTTTTATTTTCACCATTTTTTCCTTATGTATTTTATAACTATTTAAATATATATTTAACTTTAAGGAAAGGGGAAACTTTTGCCAACCAAGATCTTTTGGGTAAAAGATAATATGGAACACAATAAAATAACCTAGTAACTCTGATGAGGAGTTAAAGTGACAAGAGAGTAAATTGATGTGCTGAAAGCTTAAAGTGTTCTGTTCTCTTATCACATCTTTGATAACCGGATCCTGAATCTTCTATTTCAGACCATCACCACTATCTAATTTTAGAATATTCTCATCATTGCAAAAAAAAAAGGCATATTCCCTGTCCCTTATTTCCCCTTTCCCTCAGCTCCTGGCCAAAACTAATCTAGTTTCAATCTCTATGGATTTTCTTATTCTGAAACTTTTATATAAAAAGCAACAGACAATATGTGGTCCTTTGTATCTGCCTTCTTTTATTTTGCATGATGTTTTCAGAATGCATCCGTGATATAGCATGTGTCAGTATTTCATTTCTTTTTAGTGCTGAGTAATATTCCTTCATATGGCTCTATCACATTTTCTTTATCCAGTCATCCATTGTTGGAAATTAGGATTGCATATACATTTTTTAAAACTATTATCAATAATGCTTCTGTGAATATTCACGTGCAAGTTTTTGTGTGAAAACGTTTCTGGTTCTCTTGGGTTTATACCTAGAAGTGGAATTGTGTTATTTCTCTGTTTCCTTACTTGTCTTCAGTCTAGTTGTTCTATCCATTATTGAGAGTGGGGTATTCAAGTCTCCAACTATTATTGTAGATTTGTCTGTTTCTTGTCTTTTTTTCTTTCTTTCTTTTTTTTTTTTTTTCTTGAGATGGAGTCTTGCTCTGTTGCCCAGGCTGGAGTGCAGTGGCACGATCTCAGTTCACTGCAACCTTCGCCTCCTGGGTTCAGGCGATTCTCCTGACTCAGTCTCCTGAGTAGCTGGGATTACAAGCACACGCCACTATGCCTGGCTAATTTTTGTATTTTTAGTAGAGACAGGGTTTTGCCACGTTGGCCAGGCTGGTCTTGAACTCCTGACCTCAAGTGATCTGCCCACCTTGGCCTCCCGAAGTGCTGAGATTACAGTCATGAGCCACTGCGCCTGGCCTTCTTTCAGTTCTATCAATTTTTTGCGTCAGACATTTTGACGGTCTGTCATTAGGTGTGTAAATATTTACAATTGTTGTATCTTCTTTTTATATTGAACCTTTTATTAATATAAAATGTCCTTCTTTATTTCTTCTAACCATTTTTGATTTATTTTTCTTTTTTTGAGATGGAGTCTTGCTCTGTTGCCCAGGCTGGAGTGCAGTGGCATGATCTCGGCTCACTGCAACCTCTGCCTTCCAGGTTCACGCGATTCTCCTGCCTCAGCCTCCTGAGTAGCTGGGACTACAGGCGCATGCCACCATGCCTGGCTAATTTTTGTATTTTTACTAGAGACACGGTTTCACCATGTTGGCTAGGATGGTCTTGATCTCCTGACCTTGGCCTCCCAAAGTGCTGGGATCACAGGAGTTAGCCACTGCGCCCAGCCACCGTTGTTGATTTAAAGCCTATTTTGTGGATACTGATTCTCCTCAACTTATTATGGAGTTATATCCTTATAAACCCATTGTAAGTTGAAACTATTGTAAGTCAAAAATACATTTAATACATCGAACCTATAGAACATTGTAGCTTAGCTTAGCCTTCACCTTAAATGTGCTCAGAACATTTACATTAGCCTACAGTTGGACAAACCATCTAATACAAACCCTATTTTATAATAACATATTGGACAGCTCGTGTATTTTATTGTACACCTTACTGAAAGTGAAAAACAGAATGGTTATATGAGTACTCAAAATACAGTTTCTATTAAATGTGTGTCACTTTTGCACAATTGTAAAGTTGAAAAATTATAAAAGTCAAACCATCATAAGTGAGTCATCCCACTCTCTTCTTTTGGTTATTATTTGCAGGGAATATTTTTATGTATCCTTTCACTTACAACCTATTTGTGTCTTTGAATCTAAAGTGAGTCTGTGGTAGACAGCATATAGTTGGATTATGGTTTTTTTAACCCATTCTGCCAATCTCTGTCTTTTGATTGAAAAAATTTAATCCATTAATATTTAAAGTAATTACTGATGAAGACCTACTTCTGTCATTTTGCTATTTGTTTTTTATATACCTTGTAGCTTTTTTTCATCCCTCATTTCCTGGATTACTGCCTTCTTTTGTGTTTAGTTTTTTTTTTAATATTGAAACGTTTAAATTCCTTTTTCATTTCCTTTGTCATATATATATATATAAAATCTCAAAGGATATATATATATTCGATAGCTATTTTATTTATGGTTACCATTGGCATCATATTTAACATCTTAAAGTTACAGCACTCTAACTTGAATTTATACCAGTTTAACTTCAATAACAAACAAAAACTCTGTTCCTTTAACTGCTCTGTCCCACCTCTGAAACTTTCAAACATTCAATAGAATCCAGAGTTCCAAAATAGTTATATCAGACAGATTCTGCCAGTGCAATTGTTGTCTAGGTGGGGAGACAGATTGCTGGTGTTTCCTATCCCACCATCTTTCCAGATGCTCTCTAGTAAAAAAAAATTAACTTTGACAGTTTTTTTTCCCAGTGTTTTCACTGCTTTTGTGGAGGAGTAGATTTTTGGAGGATCTTACTTTGCTGTTCTGGGATTATTTCCTACTCCTCAATTGTTTTTACCTTATTTATTCACTCTGATTTCTTCTTTTTCATTTCCTTCAATATGGGGAATTGATTTTTCTCTTTTATATAATGTATGAATGTGATTATGATATATATGTTATTTGTAATTGAAGTTTTTATTTCCCATTTTTGCATAAATTCCTTCATTTCTTCTCCTTTCCTCTGCCTAAGAAGAACCTAATAGCCAAATATGTATGATTTTATAGTTTTCTCCATCCTCTTACAATCTTATATGAACATATACACATACATGTACACAGGATAATATTCACATAGAGGATTTGGGTCATTGTTTTTATTACTTTTTTTTTTTTACAAAATATCTTTCCCATCCAAGAATACTTCAAGTTAGTATCTTCAAGGCAATAGCTTAATTCTAATCTATTGTTATAATGACTAAATAGTATTCCATGTTGTCATTATACCATAATTTATTTCAACCATTTCCCCAATAATGGGAATTCACTTTATATCTAGCTTTTTCCCCCTCAGTGAACTACATAGTCTTCTTTCTGAAGAAAAAATGATTTGGATGATGACCATGATGCTGTCTAAATTGCAGTGATTTATTTACATTGATAACTAGACATGGACCGAAATGCCCTAAACTCATACCCAAAAGTTACTGGGTGTAGAAAGCTTACGCACCAATTCAAAACCCTTAGGTTGTTCTTTCTTCTTAGTTTTATGTTTTTAACATGAGATGTTTTCATTAGCTTTAACATGAGCTCTACAAGAATATACAGCTGGCCAGGCACGGTGGCTCACACCTGTAATCCTAGCACTTTGGGAGGCCGAGGCAGGTGGATCACCTGAGGTCAAGAGTTCGGGACCAGCCTGACCAACATGGTGAAACCTTGTCTCTACTAAAAATACAAAAATTATCCAGGCATGGTGGCAAACACATGTAATCCCAGCTACTCGGGAGGCTGAGGCAGGAGAATCACTTGAACCTGGGGGCGGAGGTTGCAGTGAGCCGAGATCGCACCACTTCACTCCAGCCTGGGTGAAACAGCAAAACTCCATCTAAAAAAGAAAAAAAAAAAAGAAAAAAAAAAGAATATGCAGCTAAGAGGATCAGAGCAGGCCTTGGAGTTTTACCTGGATTACTACTCATCAGGCAACTATCTTAGAGGAGAGTTTGAGAAAGGGAGTCTAATTAGATATCTGAAATCTGGTAAATCTCTTACCCGTTAAGGATGTTGGCCAGGCTGGTCTCAAACTCCTGACCTTGAGTGATCCGCCTGCCTCAGCCTCCCAAAGTGCTGGGAATACAGGCGTGAGCCTCTGTGCTCGACCTATAACCATTATTTTATAATAGGGATGAGCATAAATAATATCTTGAAATGTTTGTAACAACTCTATATTGATGGAAATATCTGATTTCTAATTTTTTCTATAGTTGTTGCCTACATTGGCAATTTAATTATACTAAATTTCAGTTGGGTGTTATTGGAAATGGAGATGTTATTTTTTCCCCATACAAGTTCATAGACAGCCTAAATTTTATGTAGGGGCCATTGGTTCTTTGGATTCTGATTATGGGCACCTGCTGTAGAGGAAAAAAATATTTTGTTGGTACCTTGGAGGGTCTGAAGTCTGCCTAAGCTGCTTCTCAAGGTCTTAGTGATATTCCAAAAGTCACTGTAGTCATGACCTCTAGACGCCATTCCCATGTGCTCTGGTGGACACTAGTGTTAGACCCCCATTGTTCAGGTCCAGTTGGTTTCTCTCCTCTATATATTAAATCATATCCTTTATTCTGAAAGAACAATTATGAGATTCAGACATGGGCTTCTGGCTAACAGCAACATCTAAGCAAGAATGAGTGCAACATTTAAGTAATCGTTGCATGCTTGTTTGGTTGTCAGCATTCTAGTAAAGACTTGCACAATTCTAGAGAGAGAAAAGTAGCTCGAATATAAGAATGGATTCTCTTCTTCTCTTTTCCCTGATTTCCTTCCCTTCCTCCTCATTCCATCTTTAGATGATTCTTTCCCTAGGATGTATTGGGTTCCTCCCAGAAAGAGCAAACTCAGTCATCTGCAGAACTAGGCTTCTGAAAGCAGTAATGGAACAGTGACTGTTTCACTCTCCTTTGGGTACAGTCCTAGATTTCCTTTTTCAAAGATGTCTTGGCAAGACTCCTGACCCTCTCTCCTAAATGAATCCTGCAATATCCCCCAGGTGACAAATGCCCCCAAAACTTATATGTTTATGCCATATTAATACATACAGCAAGTGAGAGTCAAACAGTCACATCAAAAGGGCTTGTGGCTCAAATTTTTTCTCTCCAGCTTCATTATCACAATTTCCTCTTTAGGAAGAACAGCCTAATAATACCTTTGATTCACAGAGAGAAAAAAAGGAAAACAAGCAAAACAGTAGCATGTTAACAGCATTGTAAAAATAATACTGGTCAAAATGATCTTTTAAAAGTCAAAGGCTCAGATGAAAGTCAAAACAAAAATCAAAAAACCAAAAAAACCCAAACTATGTAATTTACTTTTTCCTCTGGTTCTGAAAGAAAATTGGCACTGTATGTAATCTTTTGCCTGAATTATTCAATTTGTTGACTGTCTCAGGTTTTAAGTATTTGTATAATTTTGTGTTGAGAGCAAAAAACCCATCAGTGGGAATCTGTTTGCTGTTACTTGTGCCTTTGGAAAATATGCCTTTTCACTTGTAGCTGAAATGAGTAAGGTAATGAGTTTTCCAAACCAAAAGCTTTACATCTTTTCAATTTGACGCAATCCACTTCTTGTGTTTCAGTGTTAACACATTTTATTCTCTATTTTGCTGCTCCAGATCATTAATCTAATATTCACATGTGGTGTTTGAATTTCTGTTTTTGAGACGGAGTCTTGCTCTGTCACCCAGGCTGGAGTGCAATGGCGCGATCTTGGCACACTGCAACCTCCACCTCCTGAGTTCAAGTGATTCTCCTGCCTCAGCCTCCCGAGTAGCTGGGATAACAGGTGTGTGCCACCACGCTTAGCTAATTTTTGTATTTTTAGTAGAGATGGGGTTTCACCATATTGGCTAGGCTGGTCTTGAACTCCTGACGTCTTGATCTGCCTGCCTCGGCCTCCCAAAGTGCTGGGATTACAGACGTGAGCCACCGCGCCTGGCCAGTGTTTGAATTAATAAGACTTATGGTATAGTACTTGTTTGTAATTATATTAAGCTGTGTAAACCCATTCTCATGCCTGTGTACTTTTCTAAATTGTATGAGATGTCTCAAATTTTGGAGAATCTAGGTTAATATTCTGTGAAGCACCATTTGTTAATCAGTAGCTATTTATTGGATGTCATACTCCAGGTTTTGGCTCTATGGACTATAAAGATGGATAAGACAGAAGTCCTGTCCCCAAGCAGCCAGTTGTCTACTAACTGCCTTGCAACATGAACATATTCTTACAACTTGAGAAATAAAGTGAGAAATTCTATAAGACAGGCTCAGAAACAAACATGATCGATTTCAATTCTTTTTATTTTTCTAAAATATAATATTGCTAATTCATACCATTTTAATTCTATAATAAATACAACTTTTTTTGTAAAGTTTTCTTTACAAGGACAAAAATATATTTTAATTTAAAGGTCTATCCTGGAGCTTCTATTTTTAAACAGATTAAACTGCTTCATTTTAAAATTTAATAATTATCTTGAATCAATTGAACAGAGACTTTAGTTTTCAATTTTGTCTGTAGAGTATGGGAAGGCCAACATTGCTGTTGCAGGTATTAATGGGAATGTTATCACCTCAGGAAGTGGGAGATATAAAATTTTGTAATTTTCTCATTGGAATGGCCTCCAAATTCCTCCATTGTGTTTTAAGTACTCAAGCTCAGAGAGTCTGTTTTGTTGTGGCTATGTGTTTATAGATATGCACTCAATATAATCCTCTAGAATGTGCATTTCAGGAGACTGATTTATGATGTCCTGATGGCTGTTAAGCCACAGTAACTATGTTACCATATAATATGTCCTTTAAAGTTAATGAGAAATTTTTTTAAATGAATAATATGGGAGGTTGCTGTGGGAAAGAAATGGAGACCTGGTTGGGTGTGGTGGCTCATACCACACGCAGCAACTTGAGCCTGGGAGGCTGAAGTTCAAGTGAGCCGAGATCTCACCATTGCACTCCAGTCTGGGCAACAGAGTGAGACCTTGACTCAAAAAAACCCCCCAAAATCCTAGCACTTTGGGAGGCTGAGGTGGGTGGATTGCTTGAATTCAGGAGTTTGAGACCAGCCTGGGCAACATGGCAAAACTATCTCTACAAAAAATACAAATAGCTGGGCATGGTGAGGAGTGCCTGTAGTCCCAGCTACTCGGGAGGCTGAGGTGGGAGAAGCACTTGAGCCTGGGAGGTTGAAGTTGAAGTGAGCCGAGATCTTGCCATTGCACTCCAGCCTGGGCAACAGAGTGAAACCTTGACTCAAAAAAACCCCCAGCTACTTGGGAGGCTGAGATGGGAGAAGCACTTGAGCCTGGGAGGTTGAAGTTGAAGCGAGCTGAGATCTCGCCATTGCACTCCAGCCTGGGCAACAGAGTGAAACCTTGACTCAAAAAAACCCCAAAAAACAAAAGACAAAGCCCCAAATCCATAGAAATGGAAACCTTAAATCTAAAGTTTTTTCCTAGAGTTTCTCTAGCTTATTCTAGAGTTTGGGTACTGGCCAGTCATATCACAGCCAATCATGAGAAGCAGTGAAGCAGAAAATGCCTGGGGACACATCAAACGCTGTCAACCTCCCAGTAGAGTTGGCCCTACAGGTGCCAACTTTCTCCCTCTTCAGCTGAGCTTCTGTGTCTTCCCTCCATCCACCCTCAGCACCTTCCCTCTGAAGATCTGTTTAAAGCATGCCAGTCATTAAGAAAATGTGGCATATATACACCATGGAACACTATGCAGCCATAAAAAAGGATGAGTTCATGACTTTGTAGGGACATGGATGAAGCTGGAAACCATTATTCTCAGCAAACTATCGCAAGGACAGAAAACCAAACACCCCATGTTCTCACTCATAGGTGGGAATTGAACAATGAGAACACTTGGACACAGGATGGGGAACATCACACACGGGGGCCCGTCGTGGGGTGGGAGGAGGGGGGAGAGATAGCATTAGGAGATATACCTAATGTAAATGAAGAATTAATGGGTGCAGCACACCAACATGGCACATGTATACATAGGTAAAAAACCTGTACGTTGTGCACATGTACCCTAGAACTTAAAGTATATATGAAAAAAAAAGAAAGATAATAAATGAGACAATTATTAAAAAAACAACAACAAAAAAGCATGCCAGTCATCTCAGTCCCTCCAGGGGAGCTGTTCCACTTGTATGCGTCTAGTCAGCCATCTTGTCCTATCTCTAATTTCTTTATTGTTAAAAAGAAAACATGAAATCTAACTTCTTAACAAAGTTTTGAGTATACATTACACTTGTTAATGTGCCCATTCATCTTGCACGCCTGAAACTCTATACCCATTGGTTAGCAACTCCTCATTTCCCCTTCTGCCCAACCTCTGGCAACCATCATTCCGCTTTTCTGCTTCTATGAGTTTGACTATGTTTGATACTTTAGGTAAGTGGAATCATGCAGTATTTGCCCTTTTGTGACTGGCTTATTTTACTTAGCATAATGTCCTCAAGTTTCATGCATACCATATCATATGGCAGGATTTCCTTCTTTGTTGAGGTTGCTGCTGCTTTTATAGAAGAAGCCACTGCAAGACTTGTCAATGGGGCTAGTCTTACAGTCTGGCACATGATAAGAACTCAGAAAATACTAGCCAGAAAGGTCAGGAAGAGTCTACTTGCTCCCTTTTCCTCTTTGCTTTGACCCATGTACTACAATTTCCCTTTCGTGCTGACTCCCACATCCCTCACCAAAAACAAGCCAGACTTATGGCGGAGAAGATGGTCATATTTTTAAGTTTATTTTAAAAGCTCTTTTAAAAATAATAATTTTATTATTTATCAGAATTATATATCTACTATTTAATTTAAGCAATATAGAAAACTGGAAGCATAAAGCAAGAAGGAAAAAATCATACCAAATTCCCCTACCCAGAAAGAAACCATGTTTAATAATATGAACTAAACATACTTTCACACCCGGGAGTGCAGGGCTCCTGCCCTGCCAGCTGAGAAGGGGGTGGGGCTCCCACCTGTTCCCGGCTCCCACCGACTTCGGCCAGTGGAGCATGCAGCCCTGGCCATGCCTCCCGCACTGCAGCTGGCATCTTCTCAGCATCTCCAGATGGGCCACCGCTGCCATCATAATCAGTAGTTTTAAAACTACCTATAAAAATCATTCTTACTTTTAAAAATTTATTTTAAAATCCCAGATAATTTTATAGACAAGTTTTATCACACTTTTAAGGAACAATTAATCACCATTAAATGCAAAATATTCTAGAGAAAATAGAAAATGCCGATAGGTAGTTTTGAATCAAGTAGAAACTAGATATTTAAAGCAAAGACAATATGAAAATGAAAATTATAGATCAATCTTATGGACAGAATGTTTGTCTCCCCAAAAGGTATATAATAAATATACCTTTTATCTTTTAGTAATTAATAATAAATATAAAAGATAAATATACCTTTTATCTTTCAAATCAATGAACCTGGTTTTAATAAATATATATACCTAGGTATACATTTATATACTAAATATACCTAGAAGGTATATTTATTAGAATATAAAAGGTATATTTATTAAAAGAAAGAAATGACATGTTTTATGTGTATTTTAAGGAGACTAGAAGTTCATTTTAAATGTTTCCTTTTGAGTATGTAGAACATGCCTTTCCTTACGATCTTATTCTCCATAAAATCTTCCTTTGCAGAGTCAGAGAGTAAAAAGGTAAACAATTGCTCAACTTGATTCTGACTTATGATAGATTTTAAGTTTAGAGGATTCTGAATTAGAGAGCGTTATTTAAATGAGCCTTTTACAAATACATTAAGGACCACAATACCCAGCTGGTGTAATCCAGGCTTTGGTATGCAGACCTGCCCTGTTAGTCCTAGAATTCATTACTCCCGTACTCAAATCTTAACTATTACTAAATGAGATTCCCAATAAACTACATAGGGCTGAAAGTCTACTGAGATCTCATCACCTTCATGAGTGGTGAAATTTAAAACAAACTACTAGTGAGGTAGTGGATTTTACAATAAATCCTTTCCTTATTGAACATGTTGCTCCAGTAAGTAATTTTTTATACTCTCATCATTATAGAATTTATTTTTACCACTGTTGGCATGAAAAACAAATAATTTCTATATGTGTTAAATTTTGGCTAAATATGTGAAATGTGGTCTAATTCCAAATTCTTTTTTTAAAAACATTCTATAGCACTAAGTGCCTTTGTATAGTAGAGACTCAATACGTATTTTTAAATGACTAATGTTTTAAAATGCTTACTTTTTTAAAAAAAAATTATAACTCCCAGCATTGTTTTATTGTACAAGTAAGCAAAACTAAGTAGTTCAATTTTGAATTTTGTTCCTATATAAATGAATAATTATTCCCTTTATAAATGGATACATTATAGAATCCAGAAGAAAAAAGCAGAATGAAAGCTTTCTGCCTCAATTTTCTTACCTATGTAACATGGATACAAATCTCTCCCCTGTCTAGTTCACAGAGTTTTTGTGAGTCACAAATGAGATAATAATAATAGCAAAAACTTCTTATCACATACTATGTGCTGGACATTGTGTAAGCATTGTTTTATCCTTATAATAAACCTATTACACAGTTATTATTATTTCCATTTTACAGATGAGGAAACTGATAAACAGAGGAGTTCAATAACTTGCCAAAGGCCACAGAAATATAAAATAGTAGCCAGGATTTTGAATCAGACTGTGGAACCACCATATTATGTATAGAAAACTGTTTAACAAACTTGAAGACACTATATACATTTTAATTATTGTTATCATTCATTCATAACTCTAGGATGGATGATTTTATGGGGCAAGGTGTAGTTCTTTCAAAATTTATAAAAAATGCCTGACAGATGCTGCTACAGCTGCAATGTTAAGTCTCACTTAATTCTATGGAATGTGAATAATTGATTTACAAAGAAATCCGCTACCTTCACGCCAATGGCGCCTCAATATTCTTCATCTGCCTCTTCCTACACATCGGCCGAGGCCTATATTACGGCTCATTTCTCTACCTTGACCCCTCACTGTGTTAAAGCATTGTCACAGTAAGTAGTTTCTTGAATGAATGAATTGCAACAGGTTATGAGCCTTTACTTATGATTTAAACATCTTAAAACCAAGTATGAAGGTGCGTTTAGGAATAAGATAGAGACAATTATCTATCTACCTATCTATCTATCTATCTATCTATCTATCTATCTATCTATGTAATGTGAAAGCTTGAAGCTTGGCAAAATACATCACCAAGAGAATCGGGGTGCATTAAAAAGCGTTTAGTCTAGAATATATACAATTATATAGAAAATAAACTCCCAAACCTCGTATTTCTCTTGACAAGAATAGCTAGCTTTTACTTAACTCTGATAATTTACGTGGCATTGCACAAAATACTTACATATTTTTGTATAACTTAGCAAGACATTGGCTTAACTGTGCCTTCACTATGTCTGTAAAGACTTTTTACAAATGTTGTAAATCACTCATTAAGAAAATGCATCTTTTGTTTCCTGATTTTCTCTTATGAGAAGTAGAATAGTTACTGTGTTTAGGTTTGGTTTACAGTTAGTTAAGACCTGAATAGAAAACCAAATACCACATGTTTTCACTTATAAGTGGGAGCTAAATGATGAGAACACATGGACACATAGAGGGAAACAATTCACACTGGGGTCTATCAGAGGGTGGAGGGTGGGAGGAGGGAAAGAATCAGGAAAAATAACTAATGGGTACTAGGCTTAATACTTGGGTGACGAAATAATCTGTATGACAGCCCCCCATGACACAAGTTTATCTATGTAATATACCTGCACATGTACCCCTGAACTTAAAATAAAAGTTAAAAACGAAAGCTTAAATCTTCATGGAGAGACCCTGTCTTCAGTTTTATGTTTTCTCTTAGCTTACTGTAACCCTCTTACAGATCTTCCTAAGTACACGATATCCTTTCAAATTGATTTTTCCCAGAAATCATTCTGGCAAAATGTTTCTTCTTAGGTGAATTATCTAGAATAGAGAATGACCTTCATTATTCCACTCTGCTGATGTAGTCCTGACCTGAGTTGACTTCCTGGTACAGCCAGGAACAGGCACCAAAAATTTCCAGTCTAGTTGGTCCCTCTGTGAGGGCTCATAACCCATTTTTTCCCAATGCAAAATGCTGCCTTTATTTACATGAAATATGAAAAAAGTTGTTGTAACATCACTTGGATCTGTTTTTATTTTTTAACCTCAAATAATTTTGGGGGGTGAGTATACTTAAAATCTACTTTCTTAGCAATTTTCAAAGTGTACAGGGCATTATTATTAACTATAGTCACCATGCTGTACAATAGGTCGCTTGATCTTACTTCTCCTGTCTAACTGAAATTTTGGATCCTTTGACCAACATATTGCAATCCTCACCCTTATACCCCTAGTCCCTGGTAGCCATCATTTTACTCTCTGCTTCTATGAGTTCAACTTTTTAAGATTCCACATATAAGTGAAATCATGTGGTTTTTGTCTTTTTGTGCTTAGTTGATTTCACTTAACATAATGTTCTCTAGGTTCATCCATCTTGTCATAAATGACAAGATTTCCTTCTTTTTAAAGGCCAAATCATATTTCATTGTGTGTATATACTACATGTTCTTTATCCATTCATCCATTGATGGACATTTTTATTGAGTCCATATCTTCGCTATTGTGAATAATGCTGCAGTGAACATGGGAGTGTAGATTTCTCTTCAAAACACTGATTTTACATCCTTGGAATATACAGCTAGTATTGGGGTTGTTGGATCGTTTTGTAATTCTATTTTTAATTTTTGGGAGGAATGTCCATACTGTCTTCCATAATGGCTACACTAATTTACAACCCTATCAACAGTGTGCAAATGCTCCCTTTTCTCCACATCCTCACCAGCACTTGTTATTTTCTGTTTTTTCATTTTTTAATTTTTGTTTTAGTAATAGCCATCCTAACAGGTATGAGGTAATAGCTCATTATGGTTTTAATTTGCATTTCTCTGATGGCTAGAGATGTTGAACTTTTTTTCATATACCTGTTGGCCATTCGTATGTATTTTTTTGTGAAATGTCTATTTAGGGCCTTTTCCCACTTTTAAATTTAGTTATTGTTTCCTAACTACTAAATAAAATTCCTTTTGTATTTTGGATATTAACCCCTTATCAGGTGTATGGTTTGCAAATATTTTCTCCCATTTTGTAAGTTATTTCTTTGCTGTGCTGACTGTTTCCTGGGAAGAAGCTTTTTAGTTTGATGTAATCCCATTTGTGTATTTATACTTTTGTTGCCCTTGCCTTTGGGATCATATTCAAAAAATTATTAACCAGACCAATGTCACTGAGCTTTCCCCCTATGTATTCTTCTAGTAGTGTTATAGTTTTAGGTTTTACATGTAAGTTTTTAATTCATTTTGAGTTAATTTTGTATATGGTGTAAAATAAGACTAATCTCATTCTTCTAAATCTTTATATCCAGTTTTTTCAACACTATTTATTGAAGAGACTGTTGTTTCCCCATTGTGTATTCTTGGCATCTTTGTTGAAAATCAATTGGTCATCAATGTGTGGATTTATTTCTGGATTCTTCATTCAGTTACATTGGTTTTATGCTTATACCCCAATATCATGCTTTTTTGATTACTATAGCTTTATAGTGTATTTGGAAATCAAGTAGTGTGAAACCTTCAGTTTTCTTTTCGCTCAATTTTTTTTTGGTTCTTTGTTTTTTGTGTGTTTCCATATGAATTCTAGGATTTTTTGTATTTCTTTGAAAAATGTTATTAGAATTATAATAGGGATTGCACTGAATCTGTAGATCACTTTGGGTAGTATGAATATTTTAATGAGATTAATCCTTCCAAACCATGAATACAGGATATTTTTCTATTTATTTGTGTTTCCTTTCACTTCTTTCATCAATGCTTCATCATTTTCAGTGTAAGATCTTTCACCTCCTTGGTTAAATTTATTCCTAAGTATTTTTTTTGTAGCTATTGTAAATGTGATTGTTTTCTCGATTTCTTTTTTGTACAGTTTGTTGTTAATGTATAAAAGCAGAACTGGTTTATTTTTATTTTTAATTTAAGTTTATTTTTCTCTCCATTTCTGATTGAAACAACTGATTTTTTATGTTGATTTTGAACATACTACTTTTACTACTTTTCTGAATGTGCTTATTCTAACAGGTTTCCTTGTGGAATCTTTAGGTTTTTCTAAATATAAGATCATGTTGTTACAAACAGAGACCGTTTAACTTCTTTCTTTCTGATTTGATTGCCTTTTATTTCTTTCTCTTGCCTAATTGCTCTGGTTAGGACTTCCAGTGCTATGTTGATTATTAGTGGCAAGAGCAGGCATCCTTGTTCTCTTCCTGATCTTAGAGGATGGCTTTTCTCTTTTCCCATTGCATATGTTGTTAGCTGTGGGTTTGTCGTAGATGGCCTTTATTGTGTTGAAGTACATTTCTTCTATACCTAATTTGTTGAAGGTCTTATCATGAAAGGATGTTTAATTTTCTCAAGTGTTTTTTCTGTCTTTTGAGATGGTCGTATGGCTTTTGTCTTTCATTCTATTAAGGTGATGTATCACATTTATTAATTTGTGTATGTTGAAACATCCTTGCATCCCAGGTATAAATTCCACTTGATCATGGTAAATGATCTTTTTAATGTGCTGTTGAATTTGGTTTGCCAGCATTTTGTTGAGGATTTTTGTATCTATATTCATCAAAGTTATTAAGGTGTAATTTTCTTCTCTTGTAGTGTCCTTGTCTGGCTTTGGTATCAGGGCAATGCTGGCTTTGTAAAATGTGTTTACAAATGTTCACTTTTCTTCAGTTTTTTGGAAGAGTTTGAGAGGAATTGATATTAGTTCTTTAAATGTTTTGTGGAATTAATAGTGAAGACGTCAGGTCCTGGGCTTTTCTGTGATGGAAGACTTTTTGTTACTGGTTCTTTCACTTGAGTCCGTGAGAAGAGACCACCGAACAGGCTTTGTGTGAGCAACAAGGCTGTTTCCTTCACCTGGGTGCAGGCGGGCTGAGTCCGAAAAGAGAGTTAGCGAAGGGAGACAGGGGTGGGGCCGTTTTATAAGATTTGGGTGGATAGTGGAAAATTACAGTCAAAGGGGTTGTTCTCCAGAGGGCAGGGATGGGGGTCACAAGGTGCTCAGTGGGGGAGCTTTTGAGCCGGGGTGAGCCAGGAGAAGGAATTTCAAAGGTAATGTCATCAGTTAAGGCAAGAACAGGCCATTTTCACTTCTTTTGTGATTCTTCAGTTACTTCAGGCCATCTGGATGTATACTTGCAGGTCACAGGGGATATGATGGCTTAGCTTGGGCTCAGAGGCCTGACAGGTTCAATATCCTTTCTCATTATTGGGCTGTTCAGATTTTCTGATTTTTCATGAGTCAGTCTTGTTAAGTTGTATGTGCCCAGGAATTTATCCATTTCTTCTAGGTTATCTAATTTGTTGGTGTATAATTATTTATAGTAATCTCTTATGATCCTTTGCATTTATGTGGTGTCGATTGTAAGGTTTTCTCTTCTGAGTTTTCTTTTTCTTAGCATCCTATTCTCATTTATGGATGCAATACCTATTTAAATCTATATATCTTGGCTCATAGGAGACAGTCATGGTTTATATTTATTTTCCTGGCATAGCTATTAATAGCTCATTGTTATCATTCTTTAAATTTTCTCAGGTAGGATGATAAATTACATGGGCACTTTACTCTGAAGTTATTGATGATTTTTTTAAAGTTCTCTTCTGTCTTGAACTATTTCTATTTTTTCAGAGCGACATTTTCAGTTATTGTTAACCTTATCTGTGGTACCAATAGCCATACCAGCTTTCTCAGTTTTCAGACCATTGTGTAATTTCTTTAGAGATAGATGAATATTTTTCTTTTTTTTTCTTTTTAATGGTGGTAATTTTGTGGCTGTCTTGTATTCTGTGCGTGTGGGTGGAGTGAGGAGCAATTGTTTCATATACAGATCTTTAATATCTCCCTTTTTTAGTTCCAGTTTTTGTTCTTCTCTGCCTTATCTGACAACTCAAGCCCAGAACCTCTCCTAGGTTCTGCTGGGCAGATTGACTTCATCCTCTTCCACAAACTTCAAAATTTCTTGCATGCTCTTTTTGGCTGGCAGAAATTTGCTAAAAATATTTATCTTCTGATGGAAGCCCCTCTCCATGCTCTTTGCTGTTATGAGTTTATGCCTTTTTCCCCTTTACTATTCTTTTTTTGGTGAAATGTCAGGAGGGAGGATATGTGCTTAATCAAACATCTTGAATAGGAAAATAGTTGTACCTTTTTTTTTTTTTTTTTTTGAGACAGAGTCTTGCTCTTTTGCTCAGACTGGAGTGCAGTGACATGATCTCAGCTCACTGCCAACCTCCGCCTCCCGAGTTTAAGCAATTCTTCTGCCTCAGCCTCCCGAGTAGCTGGGATTACAGGCGCCCACCATCACACCCGGCTAATTTTTGTATTTTTACTAGAGATGGGGTTTCACCATGTTGGCCAGGGTGGTCTCGAACTCCTGACCTCAGGTGATCCGCCCACCTCAGCCTCCCAAAGTGCTGGGATTACAGGTGTGAGCCACTGCGCCCGGCCTTTGTTTTCTTTTATAATGAGTATAATGATGCCTTCTCTATTTGTTTTTCTGGCAAAGGTTTCTGGTTGAACACCAGTATTCATTCTCCTTCGTTTGTAGTTGATCCCACTCCCCATTTTTATCTGGGCACATGTCAAACTGGAATAATCCTAGCCTCTCATGCAACTAGATGTGGCCATGTGACGACATTCTGGATAATGGGATATATGTGGAAGGGTCTTGTAGCAGCTGAAACTGTTCTTAAGAAATAGTAAGAGTGTGTGTCTTTGTCCTCTTTACTACTTCTCCACCCTTCTGTCTGGACTGTAGATTTCACTATCTTGGGCCATGAAGTTAGGGCTACATAAAGAGCCTATGTTTCTGGCACCACGGGATCCAATTCCTGTCCTAGACCACTCATCTAGACTTTTATGGGGCAGAGAAATTTTGTTCTGCTTAAAGCAATGTTATATTCCATTTTCCTTCACTACAGCCAAACCAAACCTAACTAATACAACCTTAAAAGATAAGGGTAGAAGTGGTTCGTAAACTACAAAGGGGTACTGAAATGTCAGATATTATCATACCTTACTCCAGATTCGATTTTGAGCTCTGCCTCTGAACCGGCTACTTTTCAAAGAAAGCCCCCTTTAAATATTTCAACGGCTGGATTAAAGTAGAATAAAATATATTCATCTGTTAAATGATTATATAGTTGTTAGTTCTTTAAAATGATTTCAAAACCACAAAACTATAGAAAAAGTGTTAGAATATTTTCAGTACATTAATCTCCCTAATAAGGAGTTTGTAAAAGTAGAAAAAACACCCCTAAAAGTCAGTAGGAAAAATCTTCCAAGCATATGAAACTGAAGACAAAATGCAAATGGTCCTTAAATATATGAAAAGGTGCTCAACTTCACTGGCAACAAGTTAAATGCAAATGAAAAATCACCCTACAATATAATTTCTCACCTATCAGATTAGCAAAAATCCAAAAGTTTGACACTGTTCTCTGTTGGTGAGACTGAGAAAGCAGACATCCTCATACATTGTTGGCGAGAATTCAAAATGGTACTTCTCGATGATGGGGGAATTTGACAATAGCTACCAAAATTCTGAAAGCATTTATCCGTTTACCCAGCAATCCTACTTCTGGGAATCTATTGTACATCTCAGGCATATGTACAGGTTACTTATTACAGCAATATAATAGCAAAAAGTTGAAAACAGTCCAAATATTTATTAAAGGGAGATTGCTTAAATAAATCCCAGTACAACATATAGTGGAATGTTATGCAGCAGTAAAGGAAACAGTGAAGCTCTCCAAATGCTAATATGGGAAAATTCCTAGGATTCTTTTTTTTTTTTTTTGGGGGACGGAGTCTCGCTCTGTCGCCCAGGCTGGGGTGCAGTGGCGCGATCTCAGCTCACTACAAGCTCCGCCTCCCGGGTTCACACCATTCTCCTGCCTCAGCCTCCCGCCACCACGCCCCCCACAACGCCCGCCACCACGCCCGGCTAATTTTTTGTATTTTTAGTAGAGATGGGGTTTCACCGTGTTAACCAGGATGGTCTCAGTCTCCTGACCTCGTGATCTGCCTGCCTCGGCCTCCCAAAGTGCTGGGATTACAGGAGTGAGCCACCGCACCCGGCCCCTAGGATGTTTTCTATCTTGCATTTTTAAAATGATCTCTTAATATTCAGTGGTTTCTTTGGCTGGGTGGAGGGAATGAGCCTTTTAGTATTCTAATTGCTTCAAATATGGGCTTCCATCAAAAGCATAAGCCCAAAAGCTGATAACCCCTAAATAAAATAATGTAATTAAAACTGATAAAAAGGTGTGGTCAAAATATACAGGTGTATTACATATTACTATACATACAGACCTTGAGATATGTCATTATATGCTTTTTAGCCTCTTCCTTTCATGAGCCATTAAGAATTATCTCAAGAACTATTTTTAACATAACCCTCTACATTAGCTCTAAGTAATGGAAATTACTCAGAAGACATAGGTTTCAGATCTGAAATTTCTACATAATGGCTATGCACCTCTAGGCAAATTTCTTAGCCTTCTAAAAATTGAGTTTTCTCATGTATAATATAGATATGATTTCATGTAACTGGGTCTTGAAACTGAGGCGATTGTGAATAAGAGAATCTTGTTTAAGCAGCAACAATAAAAGCAATGAATCTTTATACAGACAAGAGAATAAGGAATAAAAAAGAAAATGTGGTCGATTCCTAAAATCCCATCATATGAATGCATGTCAACATTTTTGTTTATATCGGGTCAACCAGGCAAATTTCTGGCATGAAGGCAATGGAAAAGCCATGGATATGGTGGCGCCCAAAAGAGCCAACTATGGGAGAAGATAATGTCAGAGGCTCTGAGCTGCTCCTGAACTGTTGACATAGGCGGGATTACAAATCTTTGCATAATTGTGTGTTTTAAAAACAAGATCATTGTATACAAATTGTTTTGTGACTTCCTACTTTTACTTATTATATTATGAGCATCATCCGTTGTGATTAAATAGTCTTCTGAAGCATCTTTCATGTACCTAAATTAAATATTCTATTGTTTGTTCCATATTCTAAAGAACAATTCTTTTTGCTGAATATTTAGATGATTTCTATCTTTTAAAAATTGTAAACTATGCAAAGATCAAGATCCCCGTAGATAAATCCACATTCACAAATATGATTATTTCCTTAGGATAAGTTTCTAGAAATGACTTGATAATGTCAAAGAATATGCATGGTGAAAAGATTTTTTTGGATACATATTGCCCTGCCCAGCTGTGATCCAAAAGAAAAGGTGATTGCCAGTTTATATGCCTACTAGATATGTATGAGGAGTATGTATTTTCCACACATTTTCCCAGGACACGAATGCTTTTCCTCTGTAAATATTTGTAGCTTGATTTCATTATCATACACATACACATACTTACATGCACCTATGTGTATGATTGCATATCTAAATTTTTTCTTGTGATAAGTATACTTTATCTTATAAACAAATATTAAATGAGTTTGCAAACATATACTTCTGATGTGTCCACTCTTAAATGTGCATGTCTTTACTTCCCAGGTGCCTGTATGAACATCACCCACAGCCAGTGTCAGATGCTGCCCTACCACGCCACGCTGACACCTCTCCTCTCAGTTGTCAGAAACATGGAAATGGAAAAGTTCCTCAAGTTTTTCACATATCTCCATCGCCTCAGTTGCTATCAACATATCATGCTGTTTGGCTGTACCCTCGCCTTCCCTGAGTGCATCATTGATGGCGATGACAGGTATTTCGGAACCCAGATTATTCAGTGATAAGAGTTGGTTATAGCAGAAGTGTCCTAGGAGAAAAAAAATTATCCAAATGACTCCCTTTTATTTTGGTTGTTATTAGCCACATTAGTCATGGCTAGTTCTAATTCTTTGAAAATAGAAATGTTTTGAAAATCTGGAATAATTTTATTTATGGGAAAAAATTATTCACAATGTTAGATTGATGCTATCAGAGGAATTCCATAATAGCTGTTCTAGTGAGGATCCAGCATAAGACAGACAACACACTCAAAGGGGTGATAAGAGAGTTTCTTGAAGAGACTATTTATGGAGCTGTGGGCAGGGTTAAGAGAACAAATAAGTGATGGGAGGCACCAGGGTCTCATGATACGGGGATACAGTTCCACCACCCAAGATTGAAGGGGAATAATGGCCAGTAGCACCTAGAGAGAGTTAGAGAGAGTTGTATCTATGGGTAAAGGGTCTTGGACAGGCCAGGTGCTATGACCCTAGGCAGAGGAGCACGGCCACTGCCAACCCTTCAGTCTTGCAGTGAGAGAGAAGGAAGGATAAATACCCTGACCTCACTCACCTCCCACCCTCCCATCTGCCAGTGCCTCTCATCAAATGAACTCATCCACAACCAGAGGACAAGGGTGCATAATTCATGTGAGCATGGTGGATGAGATCCAGAATCTCAACTAAATCTCATCAGTTCAAAAGTCCCAAATCTTATACTTTAAAGCAAGTGTGAACCATACATAGATGTTGGGTGGTTCTTCCACTCAACACTGGGAGGCAGAGCAGGGCAAGAAGGCCAAAGTGTAGACACAGAGAGATAGACAGAGGCTATCCAGCACAATATCAAACAGGATCAGGGATAATTTCAATAAGTACATCAATCAAAAGTATATCATGGAATTTTTGAAATATTAAGTATACACTTAAAAAAATTTCAAAGCATGTATTACTTATTCACATATAACATCAATTATTTTCTGAATTAAAATGTTACAAAGTTTTAGAATAGTAATACAAGAATAAGTTGCATTTTTTCTGTGTGTTTGAATTCCTATTTATGTTAAATTGGCAGATAAAATTGCATGCATTTACTGTGTCAACATGATGTTTTGAAGTATACATACATGATGGAATGGCTAAATCTAGCTGATTAACAAATACATCACATCACATTGTACCATTTTTGTGGTGAGAACACTTTACATCCATCATTTTAGCATTTTTTAAGAATACTACACATACACATATACATACAAATATACACATATGTGTGTACATATATATACAGACACATACATATATGTATGTGTGCATATATGTGTGTATACATGTGTATATATACATTAATATGTGTATATATATGTGTGTATATATGTATATATTTGTGTGTATATATATACACACTTAGAGATGGGGTGTCGCTATATTGTCCAGGCTGGCCTCAAGCTCCTAGGCTCAAGCAGTCCTCCTGCTTCAGCCCCTCAGCTAGCTGGGAGTACTGTAGGCACACACCACCATGACCAGCTAAGAATACAATATGTTATCAATAACTGTAGTCACCATGCTATACAAAAGATCTCTTTAACTTATTCCCCCTAGCTAACTGTAATTTTGTGTCATTTGACCAACATTTCCCCAATCTTCACCCTTGAACTTCCCCAGTCTCTTTTCACCTTTATTCTATTCTCTATTTCAATGAGATCAAATTTTAAATACTCTATATATGAATGAGATCCTGTGGTATTTGTCTTTCTGTGCCTGACTTACGCCACTTAACGAAGTGTCCTCCAGGTTGATCCATGTTGTGGCAAATAACAGGATTTTTTTCTTTTTTATGGCTGAATAGTATTCCATTGTGTATATGTGTGTGTGTGTGTGTGTGTGTGTGTGTATCACATTTTCTTTATGCATTCATTGGTTAGTGGATACTTAGGTTGATTCCATATATTGACTATTGTTCCATTGTCTCTCTCCCTCGCCTGGGGCCTTCCTATTCTGCGAGACACAGTAATATTCAAATTAGGCTAATTAACAACCCTACAATGGCCTCTAAGTATTCAGGTGAAGGGAAGAGTGGCATATCTCTCACTTTAAATGAAAAGCTAGAGATGATTAAGTTTAGTGAGGAAGGCGTGTTGAAAGCCAAGATATGCTGAAAGCTAGGCCTCTTGCACCCAACAGTTAGCCAATTGTGAATGCAAAGCAAAAGTTCTTATAGGCAACAAACAGTGCTACATCCGTGAACACACAAATGATTAGAAGGCAAAACAGCCTTATTGCTGATATGGAGAAAGTTTTTGTGGTCTGGATGGAAGATCAAAACAGCCACAACATTCTCTTAAGCCAAAGCCTAATCTAGAGCAAGATTGTAACTCTTCAATTTTGTGAAGGCTGGAAGAGGTGAGGAAGCTGGAGAAGAAAAGTTTGATGCTAGCAGAGATTGGTTCATGAGATTTAAGGAAAGAAACCATCTCCATGACATAAATGTGCAAGATGACGTAACAAGTGCTCATTTAGAAGCTGCAGCAAGTCATCTAGAAGATTTAGCTAAGATCATTGATAAAGATGGCTACACTAAACAGCAGATTTTCAGTTTAGGCAAAACAGCTTTGTACTGGAAGAAGATGCCATCTAGGACTTTGCTAGCTAGAGAAGAGAAGTCAGTGCCTGGCTTTAAAACTTCAAAGGACAGACTGACTCTGTTGTTAAGGTCTAATTCAGCTGATGACTGTAAGTTGAAGCCAATGATCTTTTACCATTCCCAAAATCCTAAGGCCGTTAACAAGTATGCTAAATCTACTCTACTCATACTCTATAAGTGTAACAGAAAAGCCTGGATGACAGCACACCTGTTTACTGATAGACCAATGGAATGGAATCGAGATCCAATAAATAAATCCATGCCTTTACATCAAACTGGTTTTTGACAAAAGCACCAAGAACACTCAATGGAGAAAGGACAGTCATTTCATGCAATGGAGAAAAGACAGTCAATAAATGGCATTAGAGAAACTGCTTACTGATTATTTTGAAGCCCATTTTTGACACCTACTGCTCAGAAAAAAACAGATTTCTTTTAAAATATTACTACTCACTGACAATGCACCTGGTCACCCAAGAGCTCTACGGAGATGTAAGAGGAGATGAATGTTGTTTTCTTGCCTGTTAACAAAATATCTATTCTGCAGCCCATTAATCAGGGAATAATTTTGACTTTCAAGTCTTATTATTTCAGAAATACATTTCATAAGGCTGTAGCTGCTATAGATAGATTGTGATTTCTCTAATGGATCTGGGCAAAGAAAATTGAAAACCTTTAGGAAATGATTTACCATTCTAGATTCCATTAAGAATGCTTGTGATTCATGACAGGAGGTGAAAACATTAACATTAACAGGAATTTGGAAGAACTTGATTCCAACACTCGTGGATGACTTTGAGAAGTTCAAGACTTTAGTGGAGAAAGTAATTGCAGAGGTTGTGAAAATAGCAAGAGAACTATAATTAAAAGTGGAGCCTAAAGATGTGACTGAATTGCTACAATCTCATGATCAAACTTGAATGGATGAGGAGTAGCTTTTTTATGGATGAACAAAGAAAGTGGTTTCTTGAGATGAAGTCTATTCCTGGTGAAGCTGCTGTGAACATTGCTGAAATGACAACAAAAGATTTTGAATATTACCTTAACTTATTTGATAAAGCAGTGGTGGGATTTGAGGTTTTGATTTGCATTGCCCTGATAATTAGTGATGTTTAACATTTTTTCATATACCTGTTGGCCATTTATATGTCTTCTTTTGAGAAATGTCTATTCAGGTTTTTTTGATCATTTTGTCATCAGGTGATTTGTTTTCTTGCTACTGAGGTGTTTGAGTTCCTTATGTATTTTGGATATTAACCCTTTATTAGATGTATAGCTTGCAAATATTTTCTCCCATTCCATAGGTTGTCTCTTCACTCTGTTATTTCCTTTGCTGTGCAGAAGCTTTTAGTTTGATGAAATCTCATTTGTCTACTTTTGCTTTTGATGTTTGAGCTTTTGGGATCATTTCCCAAAAATCATTAACCAGGCTATAGGTTCCCCCTATGTTTTCTTTTAGTAGTTTCATAGTTTGGGCCCTTACATTTAAGTCTTTAACCCATTTTGAGTTCATTTTTGCATATCCTATGCGATAAGAGTCTAATTTCATTCTTCTGCATGTTGATAGGCAGTTTCCCTAATGCCATTTATTGAGTGTCTTTTCTCCATTGCATGAAATGACTGTCTTTTCTCCATTGTGTGTTCTTGGCACCTTGTCAAAAACCAGTTTACTGTAAAGGCATGGATTTATTTATTGGATCTTGGTTCCATTCCATTGGTCTATGTGACTGTTTTTATACCAATACCATACTGTTTCAGTTACTATGTGTTATTATTCCAGTCTCACACTGCTATAAAGGACTGCATGAGACTGGGTAATTTACAAACGAAGGAGATTTAATTGACTCACAGTTCTGCATGGCTGGGAAGACCTCAGGAAACTTATAATGGTGGAAAGGGAAGCAAACACATCCTTCTTCACATGATGGCAGGAAGGAGAAGTGCGGAGCAAAATGGGGAAAGCCCCTTATAAAACCATCAGATCTCATGAGAACTCACTCACTATCACAAGAACAGCAACATGGGGGTAACTGCCCCTATGATTCAATTACCTTCCACTGAGTACTTCCTATGACAAATGAGGATTATGGAAACTACAATTTAAGATGAGATTTGGGTGGGGACACAGCTAAACCATATCATTATGCTTTGTAGTATATTTTGAAGTTAGGTAGTGTGATGCCTCCAGCTTTGTTTTTTTAATAGGCTTGGTTTGGCTGTTTTGTCTTTTGTGTTTCCATGCAAACTTGGGGATTATTTTTTCTGTTTCTGTGAAAAATGTCATTGGTATTTTGATAGGAATTGCATTGACTCTAGATCACTTTGGGTAGTACGGACACATTGAAAATATGAATTCTTCCAACCATGAACATCCATTTCTTTCCACTTATTTGTGCCTTCTTCAATTTTTTTCAATGTTTATAGTTATTTGTGTAGAGATCTTTCACTTCCTTGTTTATTCCAAAGTGTTTTTTGTAGCTATTGTAAGCAGGATTGGGTTTTTAAAATATATTTTTCAGGCTGGGCGTGGTGGCTCACACCTGTAATCCCAGCACTTTGGGAGGCCAGGCGAGCAGATCACGAGGTCAGGAGATTGAGACCATTCTGGCTAACATGGTGAAACCCCGTCTCTACTAAAAATACAAAAAAATTAGCCAGGCATAGTGGCAGGCGCCTGTAGTCCCAGCTACTCGGGAGGCTGAGGCAGGAGGATGGCATGAATCCGGGAGGTGGAGCTTGCAGTGAGCTGAGATCGTGCCACTGCACTTCAGCCTGGACGATGGAGTGAGACTCTGTCTCAAATATATATATGTGTATATTTGTGTATATATATATATATATATATATATATACATATATATATGTATATATATGTGTAAACTCATTTCAATCATTCTCCTGATTATAATTCAATCTCTACTTGAATGTTAGCTGTAAATTTTTAGTTAAGCTGCTTACAGTTTTCAGGGCACTTTTAGGTACAATTTCCTTTTCCCCTGACCTGATAAGTGTGCTAATATGGTAATTTTTTACTTCTATTTTCATGGATAATGATATCCATTATTATATTAGTTTTCAAGTATCCTTTGGGGCCTTATTTTATTTTTTATTGTGGCATTTATTATTATTATTTTTTGAGGCAGGGTCTCGCTCTGCTGCTAAGGCTGGAGTGTAGTAGTGTGATCTCGGCTCACTGCAACCTCTGCCTCTTAGGTTCAAGCAATTCTCCCTGCTTCAGCCTCCTGAGTAGCTGGGATTACAGGCGCCCACCACCGCGCCTGGCTAATTTTTGTATTTTTAGTGGAGATGGGGTTTCACCATATTGGCCAGGCTGGTCTCGAACTTCTGACCTCAAGTGATCCACCCACCTCAGCCTCCCAAAGTACTGGGATTACAGGTGTGAGCCACCACTCCTGGCCCTGCATTTATTATTATATTTAATTTTATAATTGCACTTTCAGACCAATGCTTCTTGCTGTCACTTAGTGTATGTGTGGGATCTGCAAGCTAAATTTAATAAGCAAAGTGAGTTCAGAGAAGTAAAATGTATTATAAAAAAAAATTCTAAAGTCAAATATATTTTTCTTTTATATTTCATTATTTTGGATCATTCATCATACTAATTTCCCCTGCTAACCAAATAATGAAGATTTGCTTGTATTTCATCCTAGAGACAATACCTACATAATACTATTTAAAACTTAATTTAAAAATATTATAATGGTATGTGTAAATGTTATAGTTTTTAACTTGATTCCTTTGAGACCTCAGATCCTGATCAACTATATCATATGTTATAACAATGAGCTTTCACAGTTTCTCTTTTAGACTGTGTCTGCTTTTAATAAATGTACACATCATGTACTGCAAAACAGGCTAATTGAAATGGAGGAGACCCAGCAGATTATCTCCAGCTTGCTTATATGTTCCAGTACATTGCAGAGATATTCCATGCTCCTGAAGTGAGATTTTAACTTTAAGAATTTGATGTGTTGGTTATTTGTTTTTCCCTCTGACATATTGATTTGCCATTAGGTCCTAAACAACTATTCTTAATATCTAGAGCAATTTTATAAAAAAAATTACTTAGCCACATGACTAAGATTAAAAATTACACCTGAAGCATGGAAACTACATGTTTTCTGTCATGTACTCAATTTTCCATAGTATACTACAGTTTTCTTTAGTGTACTTAATCCTTGTAGGTTTGCAGTGAGAACCAAATGAGTTTCCTCAAATGAGCTTCTTGAAAAACACCATACTGTTACCCAAATTTTATATTATGTGTGTTCACTGAAGATTAAAGAATTTCATCTGGCAACTGCAGAGAATGCGCTTGAAAGTTTGGGGGCAGATTACATTTGATTCAAAGCATAGCTCTGCCCATAGCCAGTTGTAAGTCCCTACCATAGTTTCTGAAGCCCTTTTTGCTTCTCTAGTGTTGTTGACCTGGCTCCAGTTGCACTGACCTTCCTTTCTACCTCTCAAAAATGCCAATCTCTTTCTAGCTTCCTTTGTGTATAATGTTCCTTTTACCTGGTAGTATCTTTCTCCTCACACTAAGCCCTCTTCTCAGAAGACATCTCTGCAGACAAATCTCTGATCACCCTCAATAGGGCCTGTTATCTTTCACCATGGCACAGTTATAACCCCTTTTGCCTGTCTGTTTATTGCCTCTCTTACTTTACAAGCTCCACAGTGGCAGAGAACTTGTTGACTTTGTACATCATTGTATACCCATTGTTCAGAACACTGCCCAACACATAGCAGGTGCTCATTAAATAGCTGAGTAAAGGAATAAATGAACTCTTCAATCAGGGAACCCTCCTAAATGTCTAGGTTAATGAGAGTTCAAAATATGTTGACTATAGTTGTACTACACTTTTTGTATAATTTATATGTTCCTAAAATTTTTGCATAAATCAAATTTTGTGTGTATATTAAGGGAATTGAAACTTTAAGGCGACTTGGATAATATTTCCAGAGATAATTTAGCTTCCTTCTGAAGCTCCTGAGCTTCCCTTTTTAAAATCAGGCAACACTGATGATCTGGTTGGCAGAATAACCAGCTAACAGATACTAAATTAACTCTCACTTCTCCATCACTGTTAAAATCCTGGACCTAATGGATGAGGAATTACTAGATTGTGCCTGAAGACTGGCTTAGCAGCTCTGTGCTTCTTCTTAATATTAACTCATATGCACTCAGTTAAAAAGACTTTCTAATTGAAAATTTTAGCATTAAAGTTTATATAAAGAACAGAAAGAAAACAACAATAAAATATGTAGAGGATACTGATGAGAATAGCGATTGAGAATCTGTTCATGTGAAGAATACTTGAGGGAACTGGGGGTGTGAAACTTTGAGGGCATACCATGGCCGTTCTTAGATGTTTCTGGGCCATGAGATGGAAGGGGGAGCATACTTTTTCTGTGTTCTTCCACAGGGCAAACATATTAATAGAACTAGTAATTGAAAGTCATTGAGAAGTAAATTCCTACTTAGCTAAAGGAAGAATTTTATGGATAATAAACTTGTGTAAATATAGAATTGTTGTCTCAGGAAATGGTGAGTTTGCTATTACTGGAGGTATTTAAACTGACTGATGAGAACTTACTGGAGACACTAGGGTAAGGAATCCAGCATCCTAAGGTTACTTGGTTTTTCACTGGGTTGAGAGGCAGGTCCGTTTACAGTGGCCCATGGCACTGATGAATAAGGAGCTCCAAAAACTCATGAAACAAGATGAAGAAAATTAAATTTAGCATAGGTTTTCTCAAAAACTCTTTTATGTTTGCTTTGGAATACTAATCAGAGAATCTACTTGAAGGTTTTGGGGGGCATTGTGTTGACATATGATGGATCATATCCAGTAGCAACAACTGGCCACCTAACTGCCTTCAGAAAGAATGGGCTGAGTTAACTGCAGGACTTCTGGTTTACTAAGTTGAGTTTGCAAATTGGGTCCCTGCTACCTGAAGTCCTGTTTCTCTTCAGTGCAAATCTCAGTTTCTCAGCTAAATAAATATTAAACAAATATTTAAAGAGTATCACCCTGGGGAGGAGCCAGGTCATCTGCTTGGACCCCTCTGTGTATTGGATGGATTGGTCTTTGCTTAAACAGTTCATGGTAGAAAATAGAATTTCAGGCTCTAGGTGTTAAGTTACATATGTCCCAAATTGTATCTCATTTGGGAATAAATGGAAACATTAAGGAATTAAATACTTTCATATTTATAATTTTTTAAAATATATATAGATCAGTAGTCAAACAAAAAAGATGAGCACTGTTGCTGTTACCAAAGAAATATTCTGAAGTCATTTGCTGCTTACTTTCCTGAATTTATCTGCTAACCTGGAAACAGCAGTCAGCCACATGAGTTCTGGCAACCTGGCTGTTTAGGCAGCTGGTTGTAGCAAAGTTCCCTTTTCAACATCAGGCAACACTGGTGACTTAGTTGCTTTTTTGGCATTATGCATAAAATATGAAGTGATAGATGAGGTTTCATTTTATGAGCCAAAATAGCTCAAAGCATAGGTAAGATACTGTCATATAATTCCAATTACTTTCATTTTACAAAGATGTAAAGCTAGAGAATCAGGCCATGACAGATCAAATATTTCTAAAAATGCCTTGTCATGTTACTGACAGTGTCACAAGCACACACATTTCATCAAGCTCTGTGCAGTACTTTTCTCCTCAATAATTCATCGGTATTATGTGTTGAGGAAAGTGAGGGACCCTGAATGGAGGGACCAGCTGGAGCCGTGGCAGAGAAACATAAATTGTGAAGATTTCATGGACATTTATCAGTTCCCAAATAATACTCTTATAATTTCTTATGCCTGTTTTTACTTTAATCTCTTAATCCTGTTATCTTCTTAAACTGAGAATGTACATCACCTCAGGACCACTATTGTACAAATTGATTGTAAAACGTGTGTTTGAACAATATGAAATCAGTGCACCTTGAAAAAAAACAGAGTAACAGCGATTTTCAGGGAACAAGGGAAGATAACCATAAGGTCTGACTGCCTGCGGGGTCGGGCAGAATACAGCCATATTTTTCTTCTTGCAGAGAGCCTATAAACGGATGTGCAAGTAGGAAAGATATCACTGAATTCTTTTCCCAGCAAGGAATATTAATAATTAATACTCTGGGGAAGGAGTGCATTCCTGGGGGGAGGTCTATAAACGGCCACTCTGGGGTTGTCTGTCTGATGCGGTTGAGATAAGGACTGAAATACGCCCTGGTCTCCTGCAGTACCCTCAGGCTTATTAAGGTCTGGAAAAGATCGCGTCCTGGTAAAGTTGAGGTCAGACTAGTTCTCTGCTCTCGAACCCTGTTTTCTGTTGCTTAAGATGTTTAACAAGACAATATGTGCACAGCTGAAAACAGACCCTCATCAGTAATTCTAATTTTGCCCTTTACCTTGTGATCTTTGCTTTGCCCTTTGCCTTGTGATCTTTATTGCCCTTTAAAGCATGTGATCTTTGTGACCTATTCCTTGTTCGTACACCCCCACCCCTTTTAAAGTCCTTAATAAAAACCTGCTGGTTTTGCGGCTCAAGGGGACATCACGGATCTACCAATATGTGATGTCACCCCTGGAGGCCCAACAGTAAAATTCCTCTCTTTGTACTCTCTTTATTTCTTAGACTGGCCAACTCTTAGGGAAAATAGAAAGAACCTACATTGAAATATTGGGGGCTGGTTCCCCCGATAATTATGTGGCTCTGACTAGAATGTATAAATAATACTTGTGATTCAATTCATTTGAATATCCGTATTCATGGCATCCTTTTATAATGTGTAAAAATCAAAACAACTGCAAAATAATTCAACAATTGCACATTTCTTTTGTGATCTGTTAATCTCTCATCCCCTGGGCCCTGGTAAGTATGCCAAATATTAATGAGAATCAGGAATGTGTTGGTTAAAAGAGTATGGACTTTTATATTCTCTTTCAGAGTGGCTGTGTCATTTTTACATTATTTATGCCCATCTTAATTCAAACTGTGTTTATCTGTTAGTATTTTCTAAGTTTCTGTATTTTAAGAGGGACACACTGCTATTGGCATAGCAAACAAGACCCTCAGTCTGTAGGCTTTTCATTTATGACAGTTTTACTGACATTTAACTCTTACGTGGGCATTACTTAAATGTTGAATAGTGCATGTAGAACCTGCTGACCTGAAGTGGAGGGCACCTCTTGGGCAGGGTAGTGTGAGCTTTTGTATTCCCAATTAAGTTGGGAGTTAGGTTCTCCTCCCAACTTTGCTACTGACAGCTTTATCTCAGGCAGGAGTCACCTCTGCGTGTGATTCATTTACTTATTCAACAGATAATTATGGAGTGCTGACTGTGCACAGGAGGGATAGAGCTGCAGATGAAATAAACAAATATCCCTGGCTTCACAGAGCTTATGTTATGCCGGTGAGAGATAGGCAGTAAGCAAATAAATAGACAGATAATAAATACTCGTTTAGCGGATAGTGATAAGTGCAATGAAAATAGCAAAGCAGGGGAATGGAGAGCTTTGGGAGGGTGGGAGTATGGTGAAAAGAGGTGCAATTTTAGGCAGTGTTGTTCAGGAAAACTCACTGCGAAGCTTACATTTGATCCATGAGGATCTGGAAGTCCGGGAGGTGAGGGAGAGCCGGATATACTGAGCATCCTGTCATAATTGATTGAAGTGGGAAAAGAGGTCATGATGGGATCAGTCCTGCAAGCAGTTACTGTTGCCAAGGTTGGGAGTGTGGGTGGGGGGGCCTGACGTAAGGGAGGAATAGAGGGTCTTACTAGGAACTAGCTCTATCTCAGCTCCTGGCATCAGTTTATTCAACAAAGATACCTGGAAAATTATCAATTTATTCCTTTAGCAAACACTTATTGGTGCCTATAATGTGCCAGGCACACTGCTAGATGCTGGGTTACGCAAATGAATAAAACATACTACTGTCTTCAAGGGACTTAGCGTAATAGAGGACCAGACATAAACACAATTAAATTGCTGTAAAATGTGATCAGTTTACAAGGCATGGAGGTAACACAGAGAAAGGGGAGGAATTCATTTTATCTGGCATTATTAGGGAAGGCTACTAGCAGGGAGGAGGTAACTGCTGAAATTAATTTTGGAGGAAGAAGAAAAATTTGCCATGTAAACAAGGTGGGGTAAAAAGGCAATTCAGATGAAGTAACAGCCAGATCTACCATATATTAGAGAGAGTACAGCTGGCTTAATTTTTCTAGAAAATAAAATGGGAGAGAAGGGAAAATGGATTTGACGGATTTTTAGGAAGTAATATTGGCAGTATTTAGTGATTATTTGCATATGAATGTCTAAGTTGACTGGAAGGCAAAGGCTTTTGGACTTGGAGACTTAGGTAGATGGTATTACCACCAAAAACATAATGTATATGCAGTCAAATGCTCTACCCCTGAGCTATACTCCCCGAAAAAATAATGTATGTGAAGGAGGAGTGGTAGAAGTGGTGGAGAAGGAGTTAATATTGAGATCATTTCTTATGTGGATTCAAGAAGTTCATGGCTGTAATTTTCTTTTGAGTGGAAATGAAAACAGCTTTCCTTCTGTAGTAGATGACATGATTTAGACTTTTATTCAGTGGTGTGCTGGTAAATTGGATCCCTGAGGAAGAAAAAACAAACCAACAACAAAACCATTATTTGCATAATTTGCTGATTCTTGTGGTGTAAACAGTCCCACCAGATGTCAAGCTAATCATAGTTTAACCGTCTGCTCACACATCACTGTGTTTCATCCCTTGACAAGTATTTGCTGAACTTTCACTAGGTGCAAGGCATGCAGCTTTGTGCTGGCTGTTTCTCATTTACTTCTCCATATCTACTTTCCACTCTCCTCCATCCTAACTCTTCCCAGGGGAGGCCGCTTCAACAGTGGCTACTTTCTAGCTTCCTGTTGGGTTCAGCCAATGGAAGCCACCAGCATGAGATCATAGTGTGGGAGAATAGACAGTTTGGGTAGTGATCCCCTGGTTTCCTTTCTGCCAGGTTACATGGGTTGACTGCAACCCACTCACTGTAAGAGGCCACGACCCCTATCAAGCAGCCTTCCCCATACAACTCTCTCCAAGTTCCAGAAAATTCTTTTTCCCCTTGTCTCTTAAACCTAGGGTGCTAACAGCTCCCTGCAGCAGCCTACTGTACTATGCCTTGTTGGTTTATCTAAACCCTGCCTGTACCTTTTCCTTCTGTAGGTGATCAGAGCCCTTCATTAAACATTCTGCAGTGAACCTGCTTTAGTGGCTCACCTCTTTCCTGGTAGGATCATGACTATTACAAATGAAGAAAAAGAAAGACACAGTCCTGGATTTTAGAGTCAGACCAATGTGACCAAAAAATACCACAAATGCTTCCATTATTTATCTTCTGATGGGAGACAATGACACATGTAAAAATTCCCTTGCACCGCTGTCCATCCCCACGTTTAGTGGAGTAGAAACCAAAGAAGCCTCTTTTCTGCTTCTCATACCCCGCTAAGCCTAACCTCTTATATGGTCTCTTGAGGTCGCAGAAGATGCTGACATAGGAAACCAATGCTGTTCGCTTATCATAGGGAGAACAAGCCATCTATTGTTATTTGGGTTTTCCAGTAGTGTTGTCATCTGTTGATTTATGTTCCTGTGTTATCTGTTGCTCATAGATTGTGCAAGGAGGTCAGATAGGCAAGATATTTGGGAGCACTGGACTGGAGTCACAGTATTTGGCTATGAAAATCTGTTTAGGCTTCAATTTCCTCATAATGCAAAAGGAGAAAATGGGAGTAGATTATCTTGGAAGATCCTTCCAGCATTAACATTCTCTTCACGACTAAGTAAGTTCTGCAGCTCTGGGAGGTGCCTGTGACTATGATTTTGTGAGCATTTTTCACTGAACAGCTCAGCCTAACAAAGACAAACTTAGGAATGTATTTTTAAAAAGATGATTGTGTGAGTCTTGTCAATGAATAGAACATCAAACTCAGTAGCATGCCTCTGACAATGTGATGTGTCAAGAAAAGTGTATTAGTTATATATTGCAAACTACCATAAACCTATCAGCTTAAAGCAACACACATATATTATTATACAGTTGCTATGGGCCGGATATCTGGGAGTGGCCCAGCCAGGTCCTCTGCTTTAGGGTCTGTCACATAGGTGAATTAAAGATGTTGGCAGGGTTGGGGTCTTATCTGAAGGCTTGACCTGGGAAGGATCAACTTCCAAGCTCATGTGATTCTTGGAAAAACTTCAGTTCCTTAAAGGCTTTGGTTGGAGGGTCTTAGTTCCTAGCTGTCTATTAGCCAGTGGCAACCTTCAGATCCTTGCCATGTGGGTCTCCTCAATATGACAAGTTGCTTCATCAAAGCCAGTAAGGGAGAGAGTCTGTTAGCAATGCAGAAGTCACAATCTTATGTAGACTAATGATGAAGTTGACATTCCATTACCTTCTGTTGGTTGGGAGCAAATCACTCAGGCAACCTACACTCCAGAGGAGGGGATTAAACAGGGCATGAATACCAGGAAGCAGAGATCATTGCGGGCCATCTTAAAGTCCACCTGTCACAAAGATTCTGTTTTTTTTTTTCTCATGAAAAAAGAGTTTTAAATTCTGAGTTCTCCTAATAATATTTAAAGATTAGTTTATTTGCCAAAAGTAAAAAGTGACAATTGAATGCAATGTGGGATCCTAAATGGAGATCCTGGCAAAATTCAAATAGGGTCCTTAGTTTTGTTAAAGATATTGTATCAATGCTAATGTCCTGGTTCTAATAATTATGCTACAGTTATGTAAGATGTTTACCTTAGTGGAGTCTGGATGAAGGATATATGGAAATTTTCTGTACTATTTTTATAACTTTTCTGTAAGTTTAACAGTAGTTCAAAATCAAAAGTTAAGAGAAAAATGATTTATAAAACTTAAAAATCCATTAACCATATAAGCCTGCTTTGTGGCTATGACTTATTTCATAATTTAAACTTTATGTCCTTATCAGAACTTGTTTTTTGCAGATAAAATCTATATATTAATTTGTATATATACTATAACAAAATTATTTGAAGATAAATTCTCTAACATTTTTATAGATAAACTGTACAAGTTTTGGTAGATAAATAATTTTATAACAGCCTTCCTAGTGAGAACACCATAAAAACTTCACTATCACTATATTGTAGTATTATTTATATAGCTATCAAATGTTTGAACAAATAATTATAGAGGAGGTATAAAAGCTTTCTGCTTTAACTTTAGTTGAAATGTACTAGGTACTTTTGCACAACACCAAATGCACTTCAGACATCAATTTAAAATAATCACCCTTTCTAAAATAGTTTTTAGATAGCTAAAGTGGTCTCCTTCCCTGTGCAGAGCTGTTTTAAAGTCATCAATCTGTTTGTTGCTTGGATATAGACACATATTCCAAAATAGTGTGGCCTATCTCACCACGCTGTTCCATGTGATGAAAAGCAAAATGCTTCAACCTTCCCTAGGCAGTTGAATTTTATGCAAAGTAAGAAAAAATGACTACACATTTTGCTCACTGTTGGAAAGTGTTGCTAGTTATTAATACCCCATCACTATTTCACATATCCTGGTCCAGCAGTTTAAAGCTTATGGGTCTCAGTTGGTTACACCTCTTAAGAGAACTATTTGGAAACACAGTAGACATTTTTCTTAGGCCCTATTTTTAGAATGGAGGGCCTAATGGTATTTTAATGTCTCTATATATTCCCAGAACAAATCTTGAGGAAAATGCCTGTTACCTTTTGAAATTTAGCAAATCTGGTGGGATTATCAGTGCTCCTCTGAGAAACATTGCCTTAAAGAATGAATTTTGACTTACAGAATGTTAGTAGTAAAAGGACTATGAAAAATGGTCCAAACTCCAGCTCTTCCAAAACCTTCACTTTTCAAATGAGGAAACTGAGTTTTGACATGAGTGAGCTATTGCCCAAGATTCAACAGTGGAGGAGTGGCCATGTGAAAGTTGCAGGGTGATAGACTGAGGCTTTCCTGTAGAAAAATGACCACCGTAAGAGTCAATGACAATGATTCCATTTCTGAATTAAAGACTTAACTTTAGAACTTGAAAACAGTCTGCTGGCCTCCTGTATGAAACTTCATTTTTGTTACCCTAGAAGGTTCTAAGAAAAGATGTAGAATGATAAATAAAATGAAATGAAATGAAATGAAATAAAATAAAATAAAATAACTCAGTTCAGAAATGAGGAAAGGTCCAGGAACTGCTTGGGAGAGTTGGGCTCCAGAGTGTTGTTCAGTTTGCAGACATCTTTCTCATCTTCAAAAAATGTTGAATGTTTTTTTTTCCCTTTAAATGGTATCTGGAATTTCATCAGTTAGAGATTCCATTGCCCCAGTGAGCAGTCTTCTTTTAAAGATGCAAAAATCTCTGGGAGGGTTAAGTGTTCATCTATTATTATGCATTATTCTGTGTTTTTTTCATCTATTTTCTTATTTAAAAGCTTAATTGAGATCAGCTGCAATTGGGAGTACTGTTTTGATTGTAGGAAGGGAATAATATGTTTCAAGCACTCTGGTAGAGGTGGCCATCTAGGTGGGGTGCTGGCATCGGGGTGATCACAAGGGCATTGGGACCCTGGGACCTTGGTCAAGAACTAGAAGGCAAAGGAGGAACACCAACGACAAGCCTAGCTTGTTTTATAGCTTTACTGTGGGCTGGCTCACACCTAGAGAAGAAAGCACAAATGTATTTACCCTTTCCTTGTGTTTCTTAGCCCCTTTGACAAATACTGATTCAATGCACATTTGTAGGCTTTTGTAGAATGGAGATCTCACCCATCACGTATATGATGGTGCCACTCACAAAGTGCATATCAAGATTTGCACTCTTGGCTGGGTGCGGTGGCTCAGGCCTGTAATCCCTGCACTTTGGGAGGCTAAGGTGGGCAGATCACCTGAGGTCAGGAGTTTGAGACCAGCCTGGCCAACATGTTGAAACCCTGTCTCTACTAAAAATACAAAATTAGCCGGGCGAGGTGGCGCATGCCTGTAATCCCAGCTACTCGGGAAGCTGTGGCAGGAGAATCGCTTGAAACCAGGAGGCAGAGCCTGCAGTGAGCCTATGGCGCCACTGCAGTCTAGCCAGGGCAACAAAGCCAGACTCCATTTGAAAAAAAAAAAAAGATTTGCGTTGTGCTTTCAAGACATGCATTCATGAAATTAGGACTTACTCGTAGTACAGTAGTAAATAGAATAGGTCCTGGGTCAATCTGCCCGAGTTCTAATCCCGGCTCTGACTCTCATTGCCTCAGTGAACTTGGACAAATGTCTTATTTGTCTGTGCTTCTTTCCTTATTTGTATATTGGGGATTAGTAATAACACCTATTACTCATCCTGTTCTGAGAAATCAGTGAGGTGATGCATGTGTGGTACTAAGAACAGTGCCTGGCAAACATAAGTAACTGCATATAGTAATTTTATGTTCTCCACCTTCCTTTACTGTGTATCCTAGTTTTATTTGAGAAAGTATATTCGCTAACTTCTCTGGGATAAGAGTCAGGACAGGCAGGAAATAATGAAAAACAGTGTTATTTAAGTGATCCTTTCTTAGTCCCAGAAATATCTAATATATTTCGGGTGTCTTCTTTATACCAAGAAACTTGCCTGAACCAATTCATATTTTATATGCTGAAGCTAATTCTTTCAAATACAAAACCTCTTCTTCAACATCCTCACTGTTGAATTTGGTTACATATTAATGTATGTAGACAATTATATGAAGATCAGTATTCCAAAAGATACTCAGTTTTAAGGTGACTTTCTGAGAGGAAGGTAAGATATTTTTATCTGAATGTAATTGTTGAATTCCCTTTTTCCATTTTTATGTACAAAGATCTCTGCCCTAAGATTATTTTACAGACCCTATTAGTTTCATTTGATCTCAACGGCTGGCCTATCCCCTTATGTTTTTGTAATCTGTAGAAGTATGAATGGGGTATTGTAAATGTGCTTGTTGGATCAAGGAGTTTTAAAAGCCCAACTATTAGGTCCTTAGAAGAGAAGAGACAGGGAGAGTAGGTAGAATGTGTCCTGAAACTTGAAACACCAGGATTCTATTCCTGCTTCTGCCATTAGGAGCTATTTGACCTCAAGTCTGTCCTAGAATCTCCCTGGAACTATCTCATTTGAAGGATTTGAATAAGGTATTGTTTAAGGTTTGTTACATATCTAATATTGTACGATTCTGTGATATCTTATTGGCTCCACATTTGTGAAGTGTATGCTTTGATTTAACTGACATGTCTATTTTCTTTCCCAGTTTCCTTAAAACTATTTGAAATGCTTTTAGCAATTGACCAGCCAGGGTGAGAGATGCAGCCTTCAGCTGTAAAGTAGAAACAATTACCTGGGTCTGCAAGGAAGCAAGTCCGTGGCCTTGACTTTGTTAGTATCCCATCTCCATCCACAGAGCTATGGATCTAGGACTGTTTCATGGCATGTTAAGTGAATAAAGATAAGCTCTGGGGGCATCATTACTCATACTATTAACAGACAATTGTGTGCATTTTTTTTTATTTTGCAGATGACAGACTAGAAATCTGAAAAGATAAATAACTGTACAAGGTCTTCCAAGTTGCCACTCATCTGTATAATGTTCATTTTCCAGGGAGGCTGGGGAAGTTAATAATGGAACAGCTTACTCTCTGCTGCCACTCAGAGATACTTGAATTTCTCAAAGGGAAGATAAAAATACAAGAATAACATATTTTTGACCTACTTCTTCCTTTGCAATCTGAGGGCCTTCGTTTCCATGTTAATTTTCCCCTTTTGATATTAAATAGAGCTCTTTTAGGCTGACAACTATATATTTTAGCCCAGTAAATATTAAACAAATTATTGATAAATGTTCCTACAAGAAATAGTTAGATGATGTGGAACTAGCTATTTCTTCTAGAATCAAGACCATAGAATAGCTAAAATCACTGTCATAGGACTGAATGTAAAAATTTAAGTTGCTGACTATAGTAAGTATAAATTAAGATAATATCACAACACAGGGGCTAACTTTAATTTCACTATTATTTCAAAACCTATTCTGTAAAGACACTAATTTTCACCTTTCTCTTTTTTTTTTTTTAGTCATGGACTCCTGCCCTGTAGGTCCTTCTGTGAGGCTGCAAAAGAAGGCTGTGAATCAGTCCTGGGGATGGTGAATTACTCCTGGCCGGATTTCCTCAGATGCTCCCAGTTTAGAAACCAAACTGAAAGCAGCAATGTCAGCAGAATTTGCTTCTCACCTCAGCAGGAAAACGGAAAGCAATGTAGGTGTCTGTGTTTCATTTCATTTTTAGAAGATTTTATTTGAGTATGCCATTTATACAGGAATGGATATAAATAATAAGTGTACAGTCTGATAAATTTTAACCAAGTGACAAGATCCATGTAACCAGAACCCAGATCAAGGAATAGAATATTAACAACATCCCCAGAAATGCCTTCAAGCCCGCTGCCTGTCATATCTCACCCTTCCAAAAGAAACCTCTATCCTTACTTCTATCACCTTAGTTTTGCTTACTTCTGAACTTCATATAAATGGAATCATACAATATGTAACTTTTTAAAACCTGTCTTCTTTTGCTCAGCATTATGTTCAAGAAATTAATTACATCTTCATATTGTGGTTCATTCATTCTCATTGTTATACAGCATTCTAATATATGATTGAACCAAAATATATTTTTCCATTTCACTGTTGATGGACATTTGCATTGTATCCAATTTTCAGCTATTACAGTGATGCTATTACTATTCTTGTGCATGTCTTTTTTTTTTTTTCTGGAGACAGAGACTTGCTCTGCCACCCAGGCTGGAGTGCAGTGGCATGATCTCAGCTCACTGCAACCTCTGCCTTTCGGGTTCGAGCAATTCTCCTGCCTCAGCCTCCCGAGTAGCTGGGATTATAGGTGCACGCCATCATGCCTGGCTAACTTTTGTATTTTTAGTAGAGACATGGTTTCGCCATGTTGGCCAGGCTGGTCTTGAACTCCTTATGTCGTGATCCACCCACCTTGGCCTCCCAAAGTGTTTGGATTACAGACATGAGTCACCGTTCCCAGCCTCTTGTGCCTGTCTTTAATTGAATATGGTTATATTTATTCAACAAAAAAGTTTTCTAAAGTGGTTGTACCAATTTATGCTCTTACCAGCTCCTTATAAAAGTTGTAGTTGCTCCAAATCCTTCCCAATCTTTAGCATTGTCAGTCTTTTTCATTTTAACAATTTTGATGGGAGTATTGTGAAATGTCTGTCCAAATATTTTGCCTATTTTTTGATGGTCTGTCTTTTTGTCTTCAGTTTATAGTTTTGTATGAATTCTGGATACAAGTCATCTGTTGGATATATGTATTGCAAAGATCTCATGCCCTATGGCTTGCCTTTCTACTCTTATTAGCATCTATGATGGAATAGAAGGTCTTAATTTTAATGGGTCCATAATATCAATCTTTTCTTTTGTGTTTTTTTTTTCTGTGTCTTAAGAAATCTTTGCTCACCCCCAAACATAGAAGTTTTTCTCCTATGTTTCTTCTAGAATCTTTATTGTTTTGACATTCAGTTTTACATCTACTATAATTCTGGAATTATTTTTTGTGCATGGTGAAAGGTAAAAGATAGGAATTAATTTTTTTCTATGTGTATATTCAATTGACCCACCACCATTTAATTATTTAGAAGACAATTTTTCCCTCTGCACTGTAATATCACTGCTGCTATCAATCAAGTGAATGATTACATGTATATCTATTTTTGAACCCTCTAATTGACAGAATAGAATTAAGACAATACCACACTATCTGGATTACTATAGTTTTATAGCATCTTTATATTGAATATTATATGTCCTCTATCTTTGTTCTTCTTAAAGATTGACTATTTTTGGCCCTTTGCGTTTAATGTAAATTTTAAAATCACTATGTAATTTCCACAAATGCTGTTTTTGTTTTTGTTTTGTTTTTAAATTGGGACTGCATTAAATATATAGATCAAATTCAGGAAAATTTCTTTACAACAGTCAGTCTTCCAACCATAACAATTATATACTATGGTAATATTTAAGTAGGTATTTTCAATGAGGCATTTTAAAATTTCTCTCAATTATGTGTTATAGGTTTAACCATAGAGATCTTGCACATCTTTAGATTTATTTGTGGTATCTGGTATTTTTGATGTTATTGTAAATTATATATTTTTAAAACATTTCCTTTATTTTCTGTTTTTATGTATCCAAGAAATTTGATAAATCACTCAACAATTTTTATAATTTGTCTGTAAATTCATTTGAATTTTCTAAGTACACAATCATGTCATCTAAAATAATGACAATTTATTTCCTCCTTTTCAGTCATTCTGCTTTCTGTTTCTTCTATGTCAGGAAGAAGGTTTTCAATATTTCACCTTTAATTCTGATGTTTGGTGAAGGGTTTTTAGGATACTCTTGGTCAGATTAAGGAAGCTCTTTCTATTTGTAGTTTGCTAAGACTTTTTAAAAAATCCTGAATGGGTTTTGAATTTTATTATTTTTTTCTATATCTATTAAGATGATGTATTATTTTTTCATATTATGCTAGTTACCTTTTAGAAATGCCAGCTTTACTGAGATCATTCACATACTATAAAATTCATCTCTTTAAAGTATATTATTAAGTGGTTTAGTATACACACAGAATTGTACAACCATCATAATCATCTATAATAATTTCAGAATGTTTTTATCACCCTAGAAAGAAACCTACACGCATTAGCAGTAAATTGCTATCCCTCTCCTCAGCCCCTGGTAAACACTAATTAACTTTCTGTTTCTATAAACATGACTATTTTGGACATTTAATATGAATTAAATCATACAGTATGGGACTCTTGTGACTGACTTCTTTCACATAGCAAAATATTTTCAGGGTTCATATATGCTGTAGCATGTATTATTAGTACTTCATTCATTTTTATTGTCAATTGATACTCCATTGTAGGAATATACCACATTAAAAATCCATACATTAATTGAGGAATATTTGGACTGTTTTCACTTTTGGACTGTTATGAATAATGCTGTCTGTATAATATTTGCGTATAAGATTTTGTGTTTTTGTGTGGACATACTGTTTTAATTCTCTCAGCTATATACCTAGGAGTAGAATTGCTGTGACTAGTATTAACTCTATGTTTAACATTTTGAGGAAATGCCATTCCTACAAACAATGTATGAGGGCTCCAGTGTTTCCACATTTTCACCACACTTGTCTCTTTTGTTTATAGCTGTCCTAGTTGATGTGAAGTGGTATCCCATTGTGGTTTTGATTTGCAGTTTGCTAATGACTAATTATGTTGAGCAACATGTCATGTGCTTGTTAGTGTTAGCCATTTGTATGCCTTATATTGAGAAATATCTATTCAAATACTTTGCCCATTTTAAAATTAGGTTGCCTCTTTAAATTGTTGAATTGTCAGGTTCTTTATATATTCTGGATGCAAGTGTGCCTTTTAAGCTATATAATCTTCAAATATCTTCCTACATTCTTCGGGGGCTGTTTTCATTTTAACAACAGTTTTTAACTTTGAGGAAGTCCAGTTTATCTGTCTTTTCTTTTGTTGTGTATGCTTCTAGTGTATGTATTTTAAAAATTGGCTAATACAAGGTGACTAATTATTTATTCCTTTGTTTTCTTTTAAGATTTTAATAGATTTAGCTCTTATATTTAAGTCATTGATCCATTTTAAATTAACTTTTCTGTATGTTGTGAAGTAGGAGTCCAACTTCTTTCATTTGCGTATGGAAATTCAGTTGTCCTAGTATGTATTGTTGAAGAGCTATTCTTTCCCACTGAATGGACTTGGAGCCCCTTGTTAAAAAACAATTGGCCATAGATGTATGGGTTTATTTCTGGACTTTCAATTATTTTTTATTGATCTATCTATCTTTCTTGATTACCACAGTTTGCAATACATTTTGAAATTATGAAGTGTGCATACTTTAACTTTTTAAGGATTACTTTAGCTATCCTGGGTCCCTTGCCTTTCTGTATAAATTTTAGGATTAACTTGTCAATTTCTGAAAAAAATTCAGCTATAATTTTGATAAAGATTACATATGTAAATATACCATTCAATCTTTGCTAAAAGAGCTGGAATGGCTATACTAATATTTGATCAAATAGATTTTAAAACAAAATTGTTATCAGAAAAGAGGAGGGATTTTTTAATGATAAAGGGTCAATTCGTCAGGAAAACATAACACAGAGCCAGAAATACTTAAATCTGACAGAACTGAAGGAAAAATAGACAATTCAACCATAATATTCCACTGTCAATAATGAGTAGAACTAGGTAGAAGATTAAAAGGGAAATACAAGACTTACAAAGCACGATAAACCAATGAGATCTAATAGACATCTGTAGTACACTCCACCCAGCAATAGAAAATATGTGTAAACACATAGGCACCTAAAAATTTCCATTTTTGAGCTTACAACCTATTTGTGTTTCTGAATATAAAGTATGCCTTTTACACACAGTATATAATTGAATCTCATATTTTTATCTATGAGACAAATCTCTGCCTTTTGATTGTAGTGTTTAATTCATTTACACTTAATGTAATTATAAGTATTTGCATATGCTGTTTTGAAATTTGTTTTCTCTATGACTTTTGTATTTCTTGATCCTTCATTACTGACTTTTTTTGTGTTAGATATATTGGGGTGTGCCATTTTAAATTTCTTGTTGCTTGGCTATTTTTTTTAGTTATTCTTATTGGTTGTGCTGGAACTTAAAATTAACGTCTTAAGTTATAACAGTCTAGTTCAGATGAATCCTAACCGAATTTCAACAATATCTACACTTTGCTTCTGTATAGCTTTGTTTCTTTTTCCTTCTTTGTACCATTATGTATACAAATTACATCTTTATATAATATAATCTCAACATAGGTTTATTGATTATGATTATAAATTATTTATGCAGTTGTTTTTAAGAATCAGATAGGATAATAAAAGATTTATAGAAAAAATACATTTCTTTTATCTTACTTTTACCTATTTAATTACCTCTACCAATACCTTTTATTTCTTCATATGGATTCAAGTTGCTGTATACTGTCCTTTTATTTTATCCCAAAGGACTTCCTTTAGTACTTCTTACAGGGTGGTTCTGTTAATAGCAAATTCTCTCCACTTTTGTTTATCTGGGAATATCATAATTTGTCTTTCATTTTGAAAGGATATTTTGCTGTACATAGAATTTCTGTTTGACAGTCTTTTATTTTCAGCACTTTGAATATGTTATCCCACTTCCTTTTGGACTCCTCAGTTTGGATGAGAAGTCAGATGTTAACCTTTCTGAAGCTCCATTTTATCTGATGAGTTGCTTATCTCCCAGTGTTTTCAAAATTTTCTGTGTCTGATTTTTGATAGATTAATTACAATGTGTCTAAGTGTAGATCCTTTAGAGTTTATTTGAATTTTTGTACTTCTTTGTTATGCAGATGTATGTTTTTCTCCAAATTTGAGAAGTTTTCAGCTATTATATCTTCAAACATTCTTTCTGACTCATTCTTTTATCTCTTTCTGGGACTCCCATTATGAGTATGTTGGTACATCCTCCAAGTCATTAAGGACCTTTTAATTTTTCTTCTTTTTTTTCTTTCTGTTCCTTAGACTAGATAATCTCAGCTTACTTATCTTAAAGTTTGCGGATTTTCTCTTCTGCCTGATCAAGTCTGCTGTTAAGTCTTTCTAGTAAATTTTTAATTTCAGTTATTATATATTTTACTGCATAATTTCTAATATTTTAAAATAATCTATATATCTTTATTAATATTTTGTATTTTTTGAGCCATTGCTCTTATACTTCCCTTTAGTTCTCTAGAAATGTGTTCCTTAGTTCTTTGAATGAGTTAAAATAACTGATTTAAAAGTCTGTCCAGTAAATTCAATGTCTGAGCTTCCTCAGGAACAGTTTTTGTTGACTGTTTTTTCCCCCTCTATATGGGCATATGTTCCAGTCTCTTTGGACATCTTGTAATTTTTTGTTGAAAGTTGGACATTTAAAATAATATAATGTTCAACTCTGCAAGTTGAATTCTTCCCCCCAACATTAGTTGCTGTTTCTGTTTCTTGTTGCTTTAATTATTGTTATTTATTTGTTCAGTGAGTTCCCTGAAACAAATTATGTTAAGTTTGTTCTTTGTCATGTCTGGCCACTGAAGTTTTTGCCCAGATAGCAGCCTAGTGGTCAACTAATGGTTGGACAGAATTTCCTTAAATGCCTTTAACAGGTATATATCCTAGTCTTTGCCAAGGGATTCTGTGCATGTTAGGGTGCATAGTCAGTACTGTAGCAGAGTCGACACTATAGCAGAGTCAATGCTATAGCAGTCAATACTATAGCAGAGTTTACAGCTCTGCCTTATCCTTAAATTTCTGCTTGTACAGGGTCTCAATGTCTGCCACAGGTGAGATATTTGGGCCTTTCTGGGTCCTTCTTAGGTATATGCATAGTCCTGCACATTCATGGGATCTTCTAGATTCTCAGCAATGTATTAGAGCTTTTCAAATTTTCCTACAGGAATTCCCCACATTTTTCTTTTAATTTTTCTGGTTAGCTTCTTGTTTGCCCCAAGTGATATCCCCACCTCAGACAGTTACAGTGTTAATCGATTATTAATTTTTTTTTTTAGAAACACCCCGGGGAAAAGGCTTTTGCACTGAGTAAGCTCTTATTCAGGTCAAATAATCACATTTGCTCTGAGTTTCCAGGGAGCTAACAGACAAGAAAAATAATGACAATTCTTTGGTAATGGGGCATTGTGGAGAGCTCCAAGCATGTTTTGCCCCTTCTAGTGGCTGCTTGGCTGCTAGTTTTCACAGCTGATGTAGTTGTGAGGTTATCTAGATCAATAACCATATCTTATCACCTGCTTTCTTAGACCATGTCTGACACTAGGTGCTAAAAGTTGAGTTTTCTGCAAATAGTAACTGAGATGGAGTTTGGTGTACAGAGTATTTATTAAGCTTCAGCCTTTGTGTTAAGGGAGGGAGAGAAAGCAGAATTGGGCAGAAGGAGTTGAAATATGATCCAGGCCCACCAAAGCCTCAGCTAAATCCTTGGGGAGTTCTGGAATGTATTAAGCCTACAAGAGTTATCTCATGTTGATCCAAAATAGTTGAGTCTATGTGTCTCCACCTCAATCAGTCATTGGATGTGGTCCTTCCTGGGAAGAGTGTGCCACTGAGTGAGGCAGATCTCTTCAGTGTTCCACAGCTGAGGCAAAACCCGAAGGATCTGACAGCTAAAGGCAGTGGGCCAGCAAATGTAGCAATAGATTCTTGAAGGGTAGACATATATGGCCAGATCGTATATGTGATATGGGCCAGACACATATATGATCACACGTATGTGCCACATATATGATCACTAGGCACATATGGGGCCAGATAGCCTTAATTTAATCAGAGACTAAGCTGATTTTGCCTCATTGTTATAAGGCTCCGTCTACCTCTGGTTTTTCTCCATTCTGAGAGTGTGGTTCTCCAGTAGTCTCAACTGAGAAACTGGTAGGCTTACTATATTCCCTTCCTCCTTGAGTAGTTCCAAATTTTATTTTATTTTCTGCTCAGAGCAGTATAATTTCTGTAATTTCCATTCTACTTTTCTGAAGTTTTCTGCTTAGTTCTTTAGGCTCCTGCCCTCTGTGGCAAATGCCTTGCAAGGCAACCCTCCCAAGTGATAGATCTGCTTCTCTATGTCTCCCCTTTCACTGCTCACCTGGCCCCTTAGTATCTGGCTGCTTCAGCAACACCAAACTCTAATTTTTGTCTCTTCGCCTTTGTGGAATTGCCAAAAGTTCTGCTGGCTTATCTTGTCTTTGCAGTGGTCACATGTGTAGCACCATGCCAAGAACTGGCAAGTTCCATGAAGGACAAGGCATACACAGATTGTAGACTCTTAGGGCATGTTCTCACTTAGCTAAATGATAAGAATACATAGACACATAGAGGGGAACGACTGATACTGGGGTCTACCAGAAGGTGGAGGGTAGGAGGAGAAAAAGGATCAGGAAAAATAATTAATGGGTACTAGGCTTAATAAGTGAGTGATCTGTACAACAAACCCCCATGACACAAGTTTACCTATATAACAAACTTGCATATGTACTTTTGAACTTAAAATAAAACTTTAAAAAAGAATGTAGACTCTTTGTTCTATAGTTATCTTCTCTCTGGGACCTTGGCCACTCACATCTTAATTATCTCATCAGCTCTCAGATGCCTTCCAACAGATGTTTCTTGTGTTTTATCTGGCTTTTCTAGTTGTACTTGACAGGGGCATTGATCTGCTGCAAGTTACTACCTCATGGCCAGAAATGGAAGTTTGTTTTCTTTTTCACACGTTGTTTAGTAGAGGTCTGCTGCTAAATTAGGATTCCCTCCAAAAGATAGTATATAGCTAAAAGCCACTAGAAGGCTGAGTGAGTAAAACTGAAAGAGAAGTCCTTTAAGTCTTTTCTGTTTTAACTACATTTTCTCCTGTTTTATAAGAATGCTTACAGTCTTCATTAGTGGTAATTTGGAAAATGTAACCCATTGATACGGGATTTAAGAATTCATAGAGAAAACTTGAAAATAAAAAAATCATCAGTGTTATGTAACACTGTTGCTCAAAACATATCAGTTCTTGAAAATCAAAATAACATTATTAGTATCCTCTTTTTTTTTTTTTTTTTTTTTTTAAGATGGAGTCTCTGTCGCCCAGGCTGGAGTCTCTGTCGCCCAGGCTGGAGTGCAGTGACGCGATCTCTGCTCACTGCAAGCTTCGCCTCCCGGGTTCACGTCATTCTCAGGAGAATGTCTCAGCCTCCGGAGTAGCTGGGACTACAGGTGCCCACCACCACTTCCGGCTAATTTTTTGTATTTTTAGTAGAGACGTGGTTTCACCGTGTTAGCCAGGGTGGTCTTGATCTCCTGACCTCGTGATCCGCCCGCCTCGGCCTTCCAAAGTGCTGGGATTACAGGCATGAGCCACCATGCCCAGCCCATTATTAGTATTTTTTAATAACAAACTAAAATGCCACTTAAAACATTGGCTCTCTAATATCAGAGGATATTGCAAATATTCTAATCTTGGAAGAGATTGATGATCTTGGAAAAAATCTTAGAAAGATTGATGAAACATTTATATTTAAAAATGTATGTTTAAATAGAACAGAAATTTCCGAAGTACACTCATCTGAGATCCTCTACTTGTCAGATAATCTTTTTTAGAATTCTTGGTTGTAATATTTTTTTCATGTAGAGATAATTCTCCAAAAATGCATCTGACAATTGGTGTTTGATGTAATATTTACCTAGAATTTAAAATAAGTATTCTGTCTCTTGCTTTATGGGTAAACAGGATGCTAGACACTATTCATAGTTTGTGTGCTATAGAGAAAGTCACTGCCAGCTACAATCTTTGTATATGCATAAGAATGTAATTTCTTGTATACACAGACATAGTTACTAAAAAGTGTAAGAATATATTGTATGCCAACCAGCAAAGTGTTTATTATATAATACAGTCTTAATCATATAAGGGATTATGCTATAGAGCCACTTTATAAATACAACTAATGTAGTTTTTCTTTCATTTTTTCATTCAATATTGATTGAGCACTTTTTCTTTTCTGCGTATCATTCCAGGTACTCTGAAAAAGTAAAAGTAATTATGATGACCATAATTTTAATCTGTATCTGTTTAACGCATTGGTTCTTCACTAGGGGTGATTTTGCAGCCCCCATTTGGGAACATTTGGCAATGTCTGTAGACATTTTTGGTTGTCACAACTGTGAGAACAGGGGGAGTTGCTACTAACACCTAGTAGGTAGAGGCAAGATATGCTGCCAAACATCCTACAATGTACATGCAGGACAGCCTCCCACAACAAAAAATTACATGGCCTAAAATGTTAGGAGTGCTGCTTTTGAGAAACCGTGGTCCAGGGCTATATGTTTTGCAAAGTACTTTCTAACAGTAATAATTATAATAATAGTTTAACATACTTCCTACCTTTAAGGAGTGTTAAACCTAATCTGTGATACCCACGTGTAAGAAACAGAATGTTAAAAGAGCATTAATAACTACATGTAAATATGCTGTGATACAGAAAGTATAAAAGGACACAGGTTAAATGTCAATGGAATAGAGTGAAGTCAATTACATAAATGAATCCTGAATATTTTAAAAGAGAAAGGCTCCTACTTAGCAAAGGGGACGGAAGAAGGTGTTCTGGTGAAGATATTCGGCACTGTGGACTTGCGTTGGGTGTCAGGTTCCTAATTAGCCGATGAAATGAATGGTGACTAAAAGTTGACTCTTGTCTCAATCGTCTTCTTCCAACTTGTGAAATCATTTGCCCAAGGAAATAGTAATTCCCTCCCTTTACATTATGTACCCCATTCTCCTTTCTGAAGTGCTTTCACAGCTGTTAGTTCAATTTGCTTTCAGAGTAAATCTCCAAGGTATTATCATCTTTATTTTATAAATTAAGAAACTGAGGTTCAGGAGGTCATTCCCAGCTTATTTTAAATCCAGTCCCCCAGGCTCCATCCTCCCCCAAATAGTCCACCATCCTGGGACCATCTTGAGATTTGATTATTAATCCTTATTAATACCCGCCGCTACAGCCCCCTTCTCACAAGAGCTCTCACGTGTCTTTCCAGAGTGAATCGAGCCAAAACCCACAACTTGTAACAGCTGCTTTTCCCAATGCTTAGCTCTGTAAATTCGATTCATCTTCTCTTAATATCCTTTAAGTCAGTCATAACTCCTAAGGTATTTTGTTCCCATATAGAAGGACACACAGTTGTCTTATCCTTTCTATCTTATGTTGATGCTAGGTCTTGTAAAGTAAATAATGTGCTAAAGTGATAATGCTGTGGGAACTGTTCGTCAGAGGTTTTAAAATAAACATTTGTGTGTTTCCATAGTTGAGATGTGAGAACTCAGGGGGCTAAAGTTCAGGACCTATCAATCATGCTGAGCTTTCTGACTAATCCTTTACCTAGTCTGTAATCATATATGGAAAGTTGATTTTAAATCGTATTTCTGTGGGCCTGAAGAGATCTCTCTGCCATGAAAGAACTTCAGTTATTTATTCATTCATTTTCCTCTTCCTTTTCATAGCACCTTATTTGCTCTGCCTAGCTCCGGTTGCTGCTAGCAACCATTTCAGTGCACAAGCAGCAAAATGATAGTTTCAGGATCCTGGTAAAACACATAGTCCGAATTTCTCCTATTGAATTGTGGGTTTATTTGGAAGAAATAATTTAATACTATTTCTTTGAGGTACTTACATCAATATTTTGCTAGAGATAGATGAGGTACTTATATGGATATTTTGCAAATAGCATCGTGAAGGCGCTGAGCATGTCTCTCAAGCCCTTTAAACCTCTATTGCTCCAACTTTACAATAGAAATAATAATACCTAAGTGGTAGAATTGTGTTATGGGCTAAATGGGATAATGTATTTCAGATAACTTCTTTATTTGAGAGAAGCCACATGCCCTGTGCAAATGTAAATCCTTCAATTCAACAGACATGTAGTAAGTATATTCTATGTACCAGGCAGTTTACCAGGAACTGGAGAAGGCATGAAGACAGGCATATTTTTAAAGAGTTCATAGGCCAGTGGAGAGATGGACATGGGACGCACAGACACAGACCTGAGACAAGGAGTTGAGCCATGGTACATTTGGGAGAGACGCGAGACAGTGGTGGGGTGGGGGTCACGGGAGTGGGAAGGGAAACAGGCCAATAAAGAGTAGATTACTGGCCAGGCGCGGTGGCTCACACCTGTAATCCCAGCACTTTGGGAGGCCAAGGATGGTGGATCACTTGAGGTTAAGAGTTCAGAGACCAGCCTGGCCAACATAGTGAAACCGCGTCTCTACTAAAAATATAAAAAAGCCGGGCGTGGTGGCGTGTGCCTGTAATCCCAGGCCCTCAAGAGGCTGAGGCAGGAGAATTGCTTGAGCCTGGGAGGCGGAGGTTGCAGTGAGCTGAGGTCGTGCCACTGCACTCCAGCCTGGGAGATGGAGCAAAACTCCATCTCAAAAAAAAAAAAAAAAGAGTAGATTACTAAACCAGCTACCATAGTGGGCAACTGGAGCAATCCCATGGGAAAATCTGGGAACTAGTGTACAACATATGGTTTAGAATTAGTCTACTAGAGGGGTGAGGGAGCTGGGGTATGCACTTCCTTTAGTCTTTGAAACTGACAGTATCTGTTACAGCCCATAAGGACAATGTCCTATAGGAGAAGAGATGTGGGGTTGTGAAGGAGGGAGTATAAACTTGGCTGCCCCCTGCAATGGAAGACTTTTGTCTCTGTTGGTTTCTTCTTCATTCGTAGCACTCTTTGCCTTTGGTTTCTAGCACATTTCTATTCTGATCTGCCTGTCACTGCCCTGGCCACCCTCTAGTCTCCTTCCTTTGTCTACTGGCCCCTTAAATGTTGATATTCCACAGGATACTATTTTCAACCTTCTTTTCTCAACATCTTATATATTTTCTCTGGGAAATCTCATATTTGCTTATAGCCACATATGCACTGATGATTCTTAAATCTATCTATCATCCCCAATTTTATTCCACTTCCCTAAGCTTCAAACCTCCATTCCACTGTCCTTGCTTACACCTCTCAAGAAAAACTCCTTTGTCCCCACATCTCCAAGGGTCTCTACCTGTGTGGCTATATCCCATAGTAGTTCTCAGTAGTTTTTGACCTCCAACAACATTTGCTAATTTTTTTTCTTTTTTTTTTTTGAGATGGAGTCTTGCTCTGTCACCCAGGCTGGAGTGCAGTGGTGCAATCTTGGCTCACTGCAACCTCCGCCTCCTGGGTTCAAGCAATTCTTCTGCCTCAGCCTCCCAAGTAGCTGAGACTACAGGTGTGCGCCACCACACCCAGCTAATTTTTGTATTATTGGTAGAGATGGGGTTTCACCATGTTGGCCAGGCTAGTCTCGAACTCCTGACCTTGTGATCCACCTGTCTCAGCCTCCCAAAGTACTGGGTTTACAGGCGTGAGCCACCGTGCCCGGCCAGCATTTGCTACATTTAATCACTCCCTCCTACCTGATAAACTCTTCACCTGACTTCCAATTGGGTTTTCCTCTTTCTTTGGCCACTTAGTCTAGTCTCCTTTGTGTTTTCGCCTCATTTCACCTGTAGACACTGGAGTGCCTCAGGCCTTGGATCTCTCTCCTTTTGGTGATCTAATTCAGGCTCATGGCTTTAAATACCACTGGTACACTGACAACTACAAATGCGGATCTCTAGCCCACATCCCTCCTCTGACCTCTGGACCTGCATGCATATGTATGCTTGCAGCATGCAGACACACACACACACAAATTTGCCTTCTATTTGTTTCTATTTGAGTTTCTAAAAGGCATGTCAAACGAAACAGATACAAAACCAATCTGATATTGCCCATGCACTTTCTCTTCTCCCAGCTTTTCCCTCCTTAGTCAATAACAATGTAGTTCTTTCAGTTGTTCTAGTTAAAAACTTGGGGTCATCCTTGACTCTTCTTTTTCTCTTTCACTCCATACCTGATTTGTCTGTAAATTTTAGTGGTTCAACTGTCAAAATGTATGCGTGATCCAACCAGTGCTCACTATCTCCACAACCACCGGGCCCAGCTCACTTGGATTTGTGCCTGGATTATCCTTCCAGCCTCATTATTGGCTTCCTTGCTGCCTCCCTCTGCCCCTTTGGGCTATTACTGCCTCTTCCTTGATACCTCCCTATGCACACAGCAGAGAAAGGGATCTTTTAAACTTTCACATCTATTCTCTCTAAGTTTCCTAAGGCTTTCCCTCTCACTCAGTATAAAAGCCCTTGGTCTTTACAACTGTCAGGACTTCATCAGTATTGCTGCATTGCACAACTGCGGGAGAATACCAGTCATATAGAAAGCAATGTGAATAGTAAAACGGGAGAGTTCCCTGATTCCCCTCTCAGCACATGCAACAGGGGTGTCTCCTGTGTGGTCACCCTGCAGCTCAAACCCCTAGGGGGAGCATGCAGATGGGCAGGTGCAGAGGCCTGCAAGAGTGCTTTTGGGCTCCAGCCCCACCGCAGGGTCTGGGGGTGGGTGTCTGTGGCTCCTGAAGCCCAAGTGGGCAAGCTCTTTTTTTTTTTTTTTTTTTTTTTTGAGATGGAGTCTCGCTCTGTCGCCCAGGCTGGAGTGCAGTGGCACAATCTCAGTTCACTGCAACCTCTGCCTTCCGGGTTCATGCGATTCTCCTGCCTCAGCCTCCCGAGTAGCTAGGACTACAGGCAGCCGCCACCACGCCTGGCTAATTTTTGTATTTTTAGTAGAGATGGGGTTTCACCATATTGGCCAGGCTGGTCTCGAACTCCTGACCTCGTGATCCGCCTGCCTCAGCCTCCCAAAGTGCTGGGATTACAGGCGTGAGCCACCGCGCCCGGCCTGCAAGCTCTTTTAAATTTGCCTTCTGCAGACAGCTTGTGTGTTAATCAACTCAATGGACCCTCTGCCCTATCGCAAGGGCAGGGAGCCAGTGTGACAGCCTTCTGTACCCCAAGTTCTTGCCCAGTGTGTACTGGAAGAATTAGATCACACGTGAGCTCCAAGGATGAGTGCAAGGTTTTATTGAGTGGTGGAGGTGGCTCTCAGCGAGGTGGATGGGGAGCCGGAAGCAGGGGAATGGAGTGGGAAGGTGGTCTTTCCCTGGAGCCGGAGCACCCAGCGGCCAGACTTCTCCGCTGAACTCCCCTCTGTGGCCGAACCTCTCTCTTCTCTCTTTCTCTGCCAAGTTATTCCGTTTTCACTGATCTGCTGGTTCCGATATTCAGCCGCTCCGTGTGTGTGCGCGCTAAGGTCTTGGGTTTATATGAGGGCAGGATGAGGGGTGTGGTGGGCCAAAAGGCAACTTTTTGGGTGTGAAAACAGAAATGCCTGTCCTCACTTAGAGCTGTGGGTCTTCCAGCTTAAGGGTGGGGCCTTTGTTGGGGAACCGCCCTCTTCTACCCAGCATTTCCACCTCCCGTCTGTATCATTTGTGCCTCCTAGAGTTGTGCAACATAGACATCCCACTCTACATTATCTGGCCCTGATTGCGTCTCTGACTTTTCTCCTAATGTTTTTGTTTTTGCTCTCTAGGCTGTAGCTACTCTGTTCCATCTGCTGCGACGTTCTTGCCCCAGATATCTCCCCTCAGTTCTTTTAATCAGCTGTCAGAAACTGTCTGTAGGGCTGTTACATAGAACATGCTAGGGAGAGTGGTCAAAAATGAGATGAAGAAGAGAAGCTATGTAAGAAACAGCTGTCATTATTGGGTAGTGATAGAGCTAAGGATATGCCAGAATTCTTATGAAGAAACTTCATGATCAACTTTTCTGGTATTTAACATTTCATTTTGCTGTAACTTGAAGCTTTAAAAATACTTTTAAGTCCCTAACAACTTCTTTTGATCTGTGACCACGAGAAATGCTCATCCTGTGAGTTTCCACTGTTTTTCTGGGAGAATTACAGGCTTGTTTTGACTTTGCTATGCCACATACCCAGGATAAAGAAGCAGTGCCAGATAAAATCGTTTTCTTGTTGAGCCTAAATACTACCTGTTCTCTGCGGGCTCCGTAATTCTTGTTTATAGATCATTTGAGATTAAGTTTCTATTCTCTGCCAAATATTGCTTTGCTTGAAGTGGCACAGTGGTTCCTAAAACAGAAATATAGAGGTTTTCTTTCCTCATCTGCATTCATTCTTCTCACTCTCTTGCCAAGCTAGCTGCTTGGCTTACAGGTTGATAGCTCAGAAGCTCAAGATCATAGGTTGATCCTTGGGCTTCTTACAGAATATTATTTTGTTCAGTGGCTGGAGACCAAGACCATCTTCATTTTGTCAATATTATGCCTCTGAATCAGAAATCAGAATCACATTTCAGAATCACAATCAGAAATCCACATTTGTGGTCTTACAGATTACAGTAGAATATGGAAATTTTTAGCAACAAGTCAAAAGTCTGATATTATTTAATATGTATGATCATAAGTGCACATCCCTGAGTCTATTTTGGTCAATAATCAGTTCTGATTACTCTAACAAGAATGCTGCTCATTTGCTATTCAAAACATCATCTATTTTAGTTCTGTATTCAGCTTTGTACGCCCCATCATGGTCAATTTAATCATAGCTGATAGATCTTTACAGAACCAGGTAAATGAAAAACAAAATGCTGGTTTTTTTTCTTTCACATAGCAGAAATATTAGCTTAGTTCTAAGTTTCGTATTTGTTTCCCAAAATTCCTGGGAAAGGATACTATCTATGTCTTTTAGGTGAACATTATTCTTTAAGCTTAATCAGTTCTTTTTGATATTCTCAACAGTAATGTGGCAGTTATCTAGTAATTCAGACATCCTAGAGTTTGAACTCTAAACTCTGGGCCACCCACTGAAAATAATGCATGATTCAGAATCATCACATGAAAATCTATGAATCTCTTTTGAAATTGTGACTTCATTCTGCTAAATAGCATTGTGAGCTTCATAACTGCAATTCCATTGAGCTCAGCAATTGGGAAGCAATTTGAAGTCTCCATTCTCACCTGCTCTATCCATATGTTTATTTTGTGTCTGAAACCCTGCACACATTTAAACAAAAAGTTAAGCTCTTATCGAGGAGGCAGTGCAACATAGTGTTTTAGATATGTGGTCTTCCAAATATTTTTGCTGTGTACCCTCAAAGGATTTTGACAAAGTACACAGCCCTTGTACAATTTTAAATTAATATCTACAAAATTTTAACTGTGAATGTAAATAGTGTCAGATAATAGAATTTAAAGACTATTATAATAATTGACATATAACTATTTTAAATGTGTCTAGTGAAACCTAAATCCCATAGTGCCTTGACATTCACCAAACATTAAAAAATTATAAGCTCCTCTTGTAACATTCAGCAAATTTTACTTTGCTCCTTTTTCTCTCTGAAGTCATTTCTATTTCCTTTCACCTACAGAATTTCATTACAGTGTAATATCTTTTTAATGCTTAGATTATTTTTATCCCCCTACCATGCATCTCTAGAACAAAACTGTGCATAAAATGGAAATTATTACTTTAAAAAACTTTCCTTCAGTCATAAGACTCTGTCAACAGTTTATTTTCTGATTAATTTATCAAAAAGTTGTACTTTCAATCTATTATAAATGTTTATAAATAATTACTAACCTTAAATGTGACACATATTAGAATTCCATATCTTGATGTATTAGATGCAGTTTATTTTCTTTGAACACTGGTTTGTGTAGACTATATCAGAGTTTGGCATCAATTGTGTTCCTACTTTTTTCTTCTAGATGGTAGTGCTTTGAAAACTTACTCATATGATTAAACACATGGGCATAGAAAGAGTTTTATTGAATAATGGCATTCAATTATTTGAGAAGCTTCCCACTGTACTGTCAAAAAGCAAATAGTAATGATTTATCATTAAAATTATTTTTAATGATTAGATGACAACTTGATTAGATTCTCCTTCCATTTTTGAAAGCACAGACTTGGAAAGCACCTTACTTGCAAATGAATTTGTTACCCAGTCAGTAAAGCCATGCATGGTCTCTACTTCTGAGAATATTGCCAGGATTTATCAAATATCTGTTTATTACTCTTTCACTTTGAGGCACTTTGTTTAGCTCTATATATTCAGAAAAATTTATAAAAAATGGAAATATTGGTTAATTTCAATTAATTTTTTCTAATACAATATTTTAATAAAATGCTTTTTATATTATTACATGCTTTAAATATATATTTATCAAAACTTGGAGCTGTCAGTTTTGTTCATCCAGTTTATGTAAAATTTATCTAACTAGTAATGCCAGTCTTCAATGTCAAAACTTATTCATCAAATCAGAGTTACTTTCTGAAAGAAATAGGCTGACTTTAGTTTTTATGTTTAAATTTCCATACAATGAAATTCACTGTATGTGTGTGTATATATAGTTCTGAGTTTTAACACATGCATAGATATTTGTAACCACCACAAAATTAGATTACTGAACAGTTCTATCATCCTACATATATCATCTTCGTCTTGTCCTTTATGGCCAAAACCACACTCCAAACCTCTGGAAACTGCTGATCTGTTCTCCACATCTCTGGTTTGGCTTTTCTAGAATGTCACACATGGAATCATACAGTATATTCCCTTTTGAAACCTGTTTCTTTCACTTACGATAATGCCTTTAATATTCATCCATGTTGTTACATGTATCAGTGGTTATTTTTAATGCTTACTAGTATTCCATTGTATGGCTGTACCTCAATTTGTTTATTTGCTCATTGAAAGGAATTTGATTGTTTCCAGTTTTTTGGTAATTGTGAAAATTACTGCTATAAACATTCACTTACAGTTTTTATAGGCAAATTTCTCTAAGATGAATACCTAGATTGGTATCTGTCAACAGTTTTTCCAGAGTGGCTGTATCATTTTGCATACCCATCAATAACAATGTATGCAACTTCCAGTTGCTTCACATCTTCACCAGTACTTGGTATTGTCAGATTGACTTTTGTTGTTTCTGTTTTGACCACTCTAATAGGTGTGTAGAAGCATCTCACTGTGGTTAAATTTGCCTAATGATGAATATCTTTTAATATGCTTACTTGCCATCGGAATATCACCTTTATGAAGTGTCTGTTCGTATCTTTTGCTCATTTTATGGCAGGAGTGGGGGGTTGTTTGATGTTGTTTGATTTCTTACTGTTGGGTTTTGAGAGTTCTTTATATATTCTGGGTACAAGTCTTTTGTTCAATATATGATTTGGGAATATTTTCCCACTCTCTGTACCTTGTCTTTTCATTCTCTTCACAGTGTCTTTCACAGAACAAATGATTTTATTTACCAATTTTTTAATGCAACATACTTTTGTATCATATAAGAACTATTTACTTATCTCAACTGCATAAAGATTTTCCTTCATAATTTCTCCCAAGACTTTTTCAGTTTTCATTTTATATGACCTGCATTGAGTTACTTTTTGCCTAAGGTATAAGGTATAGGTCAAGTGGTATTTTTTTCCTTTTCCAAATGGATGTCCATTTGTTCCAGACACATTTGTTAAAAGGCCTATATTTCTCCTATTAAATTGCTTTTGCACCTCCATCAAAAATTAATTGACCTTATTCTCGTGGGTCTATTTCTGGACTGTTCATTCTGTTTCATTAATTTATGTGCTCATTCCTTAACCAAACCACATTGTTTTGATTAGTATGGCTTGATATTAAGACTTAACAAAGAATAGTATGAGTTTTTCCACTGTGTTATGTCTCAACATTTATTTTTCAGTTGTAGTTCTTTGCCTTTCTATGTAAGTGTTAGAATTAGCTTGTCTATGTCTACAAAAAAAAAAGTGTTCCAAAAATCTTGATTGGATTTGTATTAAAGCTGTGGATCAATTTGGGGAGACTTGGCATCTTAAACATATTAAGTCTTTCAAACCATGAACTTGGTTTATCATTTATTTAGGTCTTTCTTGATTCTTCTATTGGCATTTATAATTTGCTCATATAGGTCTTGCACGTATTTTGTTAGATACTTTGAGAGCTATTGTAAAAGGTACTAATTTTAAAACATTGAGTTCCCATTGTTCATTGCTAGTTATGGTAAACATTGTTCTAAGATGGTTCCTAGGGTTCCAGTTCTGTGGTTCACTCACCCTGTATAATCCCCTCACCTCTGAATGTGGGGATGAACTGAATATGATGTTGCAGTCACTCCTATAATTAGATTATGTTATTTGGCACAGCTGACTTTAAGAAAGGTAGAATATCCTCAGTAGACCTAATCAGGTAATCCCATAAACTAAATCTCATTTTCTAGGAGTTTTTATTATGAAAGATGTTGAATTTTATCAAATGCTTTTTCTGTATGAGTTGGCATGATCACGTAGTTTTTCTTTAGCTTATTAATGTAGAGATTACATTTATTACTTTTTGACTGTTACATTAGCCTTGCATTCCTGAATAAATTCCAGTCATTTGATTATTTTGATTTTATTTTCTTAGTTTATCTTATCTGGGTTCTGTTGAGATTCTTGAGTTCCAAAAAAATTCCAAAGATTTAGGTTCTTGAGTCTAAATTTATATCTTTCTTTTGATTTAGAAAACTTCAGCCATTAAATTTTCAAACTTTTCTTCTGTACAAATCTCATTCTCCTTCCTTTCCTTCCTATATTTTTAATGACATCAATATTGGACCTTTTGATAATATACAGCAGGTACCTGAAGTTATGTTCGTTTTTTGAAAACTTTTCTCTTTTGTTCATATTAGATAATATCTATTAATTTAGCTATAAGTTCACTTACTCTGTCTTGTCATCTTCACTCTGCAATTTCAGTGTCTTTTAAAAATATTTTAGTTATTTTATTTTTCAGTTCTGAGCTTCCATAGCTGCTATTTCTTTACTGATAACTTCTATCCTTCATTCACTTCAAATTTGTTGACCCTTACTTCATGGAGTATGGTTATTACAGCTGCTTTAAAGTAAGTCTTTGTTCAATAATTTCAACATCTAGGTCACTTCAGGGGTGGTGCCTATTAATTATCTTTTCACTTAGGGGTTGCTGAGAATGCCCTGCTTCTTTTTTTTTTTTTTTTTTTTGAGATGGAGTCTCACTCTGTCGTCCAGGCTGGAGTGCTGTGGCGCGATCTCAGCTCATTGCAAGCTCCCTCTTCCAGGTTCACGCCGTTCTCCTGCCTCAGCCTCCCTAGTAGGTGGGACTACAGGCGCCCACCACCATGCCTGGCTAATTTTTTGTATTTTTAGTAGAGACAGGGTTTCACCGTGTTAGCCAGGATGGTCTCGATTTCCTGACCTTGTGATCCTGACCTCGGCCTCCCAAAGTGCTGGGATTACAGGCATGAGCCACCGTGCCTGGCCTTGCCCTGCTTCTTTGTATGTTAATTAATTTTAACTTATATCCTGGGCATTTTGAAAATATTATGATATTCTGGGTCCTGTTAGAATTCTCTGGAAAATGCTAATTTTGTTTGTGTGTTTGTTTCTTTTCATAGTCAGTTGACCCAGTTAAGTTCCGGTCACAAGTCACATTATGCCTTCTAAGGGCTTTGTTTCCAATGTCAGTTCAGTTTTCAAAGCCTTTGTAGTGCTCTCTGGATCCTCCCCATGAGTGTATTTCCCAGGGATCAGTCTGATATCTGGGCCATGGATTACATTGTTGCTTACTTCTCAAAGCTTTTGGTATTCTATTTCAAATCATTTTCATGCATGGAGACCTGAGGGATAAACCCAGGCAGGACTTTATACATAGCTCTGTGGGATCTTTCATCTCAAGCTCCCTCTTCTCTGTGATCTCCCTGAAACTCTCTGACTTCCAGGGACCATTTGCCCTGGTCCTCTGTCAAAAAAGCTCTAGTTTTAGCCTTTTGCACTGTTGCAGCCAACTCTGGGGCAAATAGGCAACCTTGGCTGCTGCTGCCACTGTTGCATGAGTACAGCTTCCATGAGCACAGCTTCTAGGGCCCCCTCCAAGGGACGGTCAGGAGAAGAGATGTCTCAGGGGACTCCCCGTCCTTTGGTTTTGCAGGGCCCCTCCTGCTTATTCGTCTGACCAAGGAGAGAGTTTCTCTTGGTCAAGACTGCTGCACAGTTCCATGATTTTGTTGCATTCATTCTATGTTGGGAAATATGAGTAGAAAAAGAAAAACACCAGAAAGCTCACCTCCTTATTACTCTTTCTTTAAGTTTTTATTTCCCTTCCTAGTCCGCTTACTGGTCTTTACTGTTTGGATACCACAGACAATTGCTTTGTGTATTCTGTCCACAACATTTAGTTACAATCACAGGGGGAGGTAAGGTGGGACATTTTTACTCCATTTTAACTGGACCTAGAATCTTAGAATCCCACGTTTCACTTCAAATTTTAAGATACGTATTTCGGTAGACAGATGGACAGACAAAATAAAATAAGTTTGTTGCCTGAAATGAGCCTCTGGTCCTCTGCTTTCGGGGTTTATTTGTGCTCTTTTAACTTTGTCCTTCAAATATTTTCCTTCAGGAACAATATCTTCTCTGACAACATTTGGAGAATGAGGAGGCAGGATAGCAAGATGGAAGATATTTTAAATTGTCTATGTGTTTGGAACTCCAGATGTTTTATACCCAGGAGCATGTGCCATAGCAGGTTTGAAATGTTTAAAAAGTGCCTTTCTTTTGTCAGATGAAAAAAAGGAACATTGCGAAAAGGGCGGTAAGAAAGGACGTTATCCTGCATGTGCCCTCAGATAGGCAATGATAGAAAAGAGGAAATTTAAGGGTGTGGAAATTGATTCCTTTAAAACTATCTCTGCCTGTAATATACCCTTGGAAAGCCCTTGTATATCTCTAAGGAAACACCTTCCACAGTTAGAAGATGGCTGTTGTAGGATTAAGCAGACCTGGCTATTATCCTGGTTCCACTTCTCCAGTGATAACTTATGTGTGAAAACAGGCAAACATTGGATGAAAATGGAACGTGAGTGATGGGAATACATGTACTCATATGCAAGTGATTGCATCAGTATGTGTGATGAATACTAAGCTCAGAAAAATGCTGAAATTGTGAAGACGGAATAGCTAAATGTTAGAAGCTGGTGGGGTCTGTGGAAATAGTGTTTGGATTAAAGATTTGTAGAATAAAAAATCAATTAATTTTAAGCCATGCTGCACTCTGGTGAATATGGTTAAGGTAGTAACAGAATAAAACAAACAAAATGAAGAAACGATGGCCAGACTTTGCAATTCAAATAATGGTGTTTTCCTAATAGTGTTTAATAATAACAGTGTTATCATAATAGTATGTATCTTGCTGAGCATTTATTATGTACTAAGTGCTGTGCTAAGCCCTTTAGATACATGTTCTTATTTACTCCTCCCAGCAGCACTGTGAGGATTATGGTTATTCTTCCTGTGATGAACTGCGTGTTTGCATCCCCCACCCACAAATTTACATGCTGAAACCGTAACCCCAAGAGGATGGTATTAGAAGGTGGAGACTTTGGGAGATAATTAGGTTTAGATGAGGTTATGGGCTGGGTGCAGTGGCTCACGCCTGTAATCCCAGCATTTTGGGAGGCCAAGGCGGGCAGATCACCTGAGGTCAGGAGTTCGAGACCAGCCTGGCCAACATGGCAAAACCCCATCTCTTCTAAAAATACAAAAATTAACTGGTGTGGTGACACACACCTGTAATCACAGCTACTTGGGTGTCTGAGGCAGGAGAATCACTTGAACCCAGGAGGTGGAGGTTGCAGTGAGCTGAGATCGCACCATTGCACTCTAGCCTGGGTGACAGAGCAAGACTCCGTCTCAAAAAAAAAAAAAGAAAAAATGAGGTTATGGGGGTGGAGCCCCCATGATGGGATTAGAAGTGCTCCTAGAAGAAGAGTAAGAGATAGAGCGCTCTTGTGTGCTCTCTCTCTCTCTCTCTCTGTCTGTACATGCATCAAGAGAGGCCACGTGAGGACTAAACCGGGAAGAGGGCCCTCACTAAGAATGCCACTGTGCACCCTGATCCTGGACTTCCACCTTCCAGAACTATGAAAAATAAATGTTTCTTGTTTAAGCCACCCCATCTGTGGTAGTCTGTTTTAGCAGCCTGAATGGACTGAGGCACTTCCCATTTTATAGATGACAGAACTGATAGGGAGATTAAGTGATTTGCTCAAGATCATAGAGGTGGAACTTGACTGAGCTGTGATCTGAACCCCTTTGAATCTGGGCCTGTTAGTGTTTCAAAGACCTAGGACTTCACTGTCATAAACATAGTGTACACATCTTAAAAGGAGTAAAAAGGATTTCTGTGTACATTTAGCTTAATAGCATTCAAAGTTGGAATCAAATGGTGGTTCTGTATGCAAAACTACTTATTTAAAAATCATCTCTTGCAGGCACTTAATAGCATAAATTAAAGGTAGACCTATAGCATTCAGCCCACGAAAGAAGGGATGAGTTCATCTCATACAAGAAGTAGATGTGTAGGGATAGCTCTATGTAGATGTATATAAAAATAGCACATGATTGCATATAAAAGCAAATACTATTCACTAACCTTATAATTTGTGATGGATAACCAATAGTTATCTGCATGTACCCCACTCTTTTTCCTGGGAATGTTCCTATTTTTCTTTTCATGGTTGGCAGTTTGAATAAATCTCAACACAGTACCAAAAAAAAGTGGTTATTTAGTTTAGAACTGCGAATATTGACCTGGAGAAAAAGAAATTTAGAGGTTTGGTCTCAGTCATCTTGAACAAGATGTATGAAATATATGGCTTAATCTTGGCTAAGACTTTGCACTGAAAATAAGTCCACCTGTTGGATGACTTCTAATTGAAGAAAACATGTAGTGTTCAGATCTGCCCAGTACAGAATAAGTAGTGATAAAAATAAAAGAGCCTCAAAATATTTTTATTTCATGAAGTCTTTTGTTTTGCAAGTCAAACACAGATGCAGGCATGAATGTACTTTCCTTTTATTTATTTGTAGCACATTTTATGCTATTTTTATGAAGCAAAGCAATGCAAGTTGATTTGACTATAGACACAAAGTAAAAGGCAGGCCACATACTTTCTAGCAAGAATGCACATATGTCCTTTAGACCCCTATACTACTACAACCGATTCAAATAAAAACGTTTTAAATGAAAAGTGAGGCTAACCACTCAAAAGTCGTGGGCAACATATGACAGGTTACTTCTGTCCACCAAATAGCATATAGAATATTTGAAAAAATTTTCTGAAAATGTTTTCTGAAATTGCCTAACATGCCCAGTGAGTGGCCCCACGGGATCTGACTTTTTACTCCATAGGATATTATGAAATATTATTCTTTTCAGTTGCTAAGCTGTTTCCAATTTTCTCCACGCACATTTCAGAAGACCCCTTGCTGAGTATAACTTGAATAGAGGGTTTTTACAGATTTTTACAAAGTCTGAAGACTGAAAAACTTCTTGTTTAGCTATGAAACTCAACAGCCAGAGGACTAACATTTGAACATTGTAACAAAACACATGATGTCTTGTTGTTCTGATAGAAAACAAAACTGCATTATATGGTTTAATATTCTTATTTATAAGAAGAAATTATTAGAAACATTTAAGTAAAGGAGAATAATTTGTATGTTGTTCCTGTTTTGTGAGAATGCAGCTTAAAGCATCCAGTCCTTCATATAGCAGATGGTTATGGAGCGGTAACTATGCACTATTCATTTATATAACAAATATGTACGGAGAGCCTGCTATGTGCTGGGGATTGTTTTAGTCACTGGGGTTGAGGAACAAATAAGGCAAAATCCCTGTTCTCAAGGACTCACATATGGAGAATTTGGTGGTTCACTGGGAAGAGCAAAAGGTAGAAGGAAGGATGACCACCAGGTGGTTGGTTGGGAAAAGGTGAAACATGTTTGTCATACTACTTGCCAAAGTAGAGACCACAAGGAATAGAAAAGTTTATGATAAAGAATAATTTGGAGATGTAAATTTCCTGGCATATCAGTTGGTTGCAGGTCCCTGAAATTCAGGAGAGAGGCTTGAGCTGCAGAGACAAGAGCTTGGGAGTTATTCATGTATGTGTTGGGCTAAAATCAAAGGAGTGAATGAGCTCATGGAGGGGGCATGTGAAGTGCAAAGCAAAAAGTCAAGAAGAAAGAGGACAAATATCTCAGAGCATTTAAAAGGGCAGGTTGCAAAAGCAGTTCTGATGACAACTGTCCTCCCTTGGGACCCATAGGAGTTGTGGGTAATGACTCAACAGACTCATCTTTTAACTACAACACGGACTAAGGAATAGACATCTTCTGCTTTAGTACTTTTCCTTCCTCGCTCATGTTTTTCCTCTGTAGTGTTGACTAGGAAACAGGCCAGCAACCTGTTGAATTCAGAATTGGAAGGGAGTTGCATGAATTCAGGAAAACTGAAAAACAGTGGGATTCATTGTATTTGATAGGAAGATAGAAAAGGCATATAAATATTGTTTAGTCTAAAAATTAAATTTTCTAGTTTAAAGCTCACGTTAGGTTACAATGACAACTGTCATCTGCTAAAATCAAGGTTCTTATAGTAATAACAATGACAATAATCATAGCTAACTTTTATTGCACGCATGCTGGATGCCAATGACTGCTAAGTGGTTTACATACCCTGTCTCATTTAATTTTCCTTACTACCTAATAGTTACATAATTATTATCCTTATTTTACAGATGAAGAAACTAGGGCTCATCATTTCAGGATATTCTCTGACAAGATAACCTTGATACTCAATGTATTTTTGAATGAGAGAATGTATAAAGGTGCTCTTAGCAATGAAGAAAATAGGGTCATTGAATTAATCCAACCTTTCACATGGTAACTGGGAGTTTCATTGGAATTAGTGTTGGGAGCAACAGAATAAGTAGGCTAATCCTAATGTTTATTGGAGGAAAGAAAATAGACTTTTGGAAACGAAGTCTAATGAGATAGTGCTTTGTGTTGCTAATGTTGTGTGTCCATTTCAGCACTTGGCACATAGTCAGATGGCTTGTGTTCTGCCTGGCAGGAAGAACTCTGGTGACTTGTATTCCTACTGGGAATACTGTGCCCATTTGCTTCCCAGTTTCCCCTCCCTCCTGTATCCATCTCTGTTCCTCCTTCTCACCTCTCGTTGCCAGTTTATCACTTCGGTGGTGTGATATGGGGTTGTGTGTGTCTTTGTTCATCTTGTATCTAGTGCTTAACATTCCCACTATCTTCTGCTTCTGTCATGGTCCCTAAAGCAATATCAATGGACATTCCTACAACCTGCAATCATAAAATATACTACAGTGCCTCTCTTTTTTTCGGTCTTTAAATGTAATACAGATACTTTTCTTTCATTCTGTGCTATGCCCTTTAGAGGTCTAACAGATTGAACATGAAAGACTAAAATACTTGAGAAATTTGATGCAGGGGGCCTGGTCCTATCTAATAATCTCTTTTGTACAGAGCAAATAGCATTAGATTTAAAAATATAAAGAAGCAAACAAAAGCAGTTGGATATTTAACCTAATAAGTTGAGGTTGAATCCCATTTCAGGGGCGAAGTCACTGTTGAATGTGGTCTGAGCCAGTGTTGGAAGTGTAAGAAAAAGGATGGATGAAGGATTGGGGACGGTGAATCAAAGGGCTGAATGAAGGATTTCTTGGCTGGAAGAATACAGACTGGTTACAGAGGAAATGAAAGCTGAGAAAACTAGAGGAGGTCTTTGAAGCTGAGATCCCGGGAGTCTGCATTTGATAAGAACAATAGAGAAGCCACAGTGGGGGCAGGGGTGACCTGGTCAAAGCTGTGGGTGAGAGAAAACAATTTTTACCAATTGGTAAAATTGAGTGTGTACTGGTTCGTATACGTGAGTTGTCTATTAGATCCATGTGGTTGCTTGAAAAAGCCTGGAGGATGTTACATTGGAAAATAAAAGAGAAAAAACTGTGGTTCTGAGATTTTTGAGTTTTAACATAAAAAGTGACTTTTCCTTTAAAGAAATTAAATATAATTTCTCTTGTTCAAGGGTAGGTATTTTTTTGGATCCTGCCAATTGAACTTTTAAAAATATGCTTTAGTTCTAATTTTCATAGTATTCTTTCTATAGAAATTTTGTTTGTAACATTAGTTACAACTAACAGGTATTTCTCTACTTTCCATTGTAATGAATGTGGTATATACATGTCTTCCAACAGTATTTTTTTTAGTTAACATGTTATTTTTAACAGTATGAAAGTGGCTTCATTTTTATTGACTTTTTACTAATATTTATAAAGTGTCAACATTATTATGTGATAGTTGAAGCTGTCTTTTTAAAAGTTGATGCACAGAAATAAAATGCCTATGATCTATATTGAAGAAATGAAAATTTTCTTGTAGCTGGATTTAGCTATAAATTTTAAAAGCATTCTAAGTGAACATATACAAGTAGAAAAAGTCATCTATATATATTATATATTTGAACAACATTATTCTGTGTGCTTTAATATTGTATTGGATCGTTATATAATCCTTTAAATATTAAGTGAAAAATTTCCTTTACTATGTAAATAGAAAAGTTAAAAACAGACAATGATACTGTGATATTAAAGAAACAGCTTTTATTGTGTCCTGACAGAGGGCAAGGGTGTTTACACGGTTTTTTGCTAACACCATCAGAGAGCCCTTTGAGTTGCAGAAGTTGTATACACAAAACTTTCATAGTTATCACTCAATCTCTCATTCATTGGTATAGCTTTATTTTATGCCCTTTTTTCTTCCAAAAATCATTCAGTGAAACCAAAGCTGAGGTGTGTGAAAGCCCAAGGAGAAATCAAATATTGGAAGATCATAGTTGTTTGCACTAAGCACTGAATACTCTGAATGTGTCATTGTGTAAACAGAACAGATGTTGGGAGCAAGTTGGTACAATGTAATGAACCCAATTCCAATCATAGATCATCCTGTTACTCTTTAGTGCCTCCAAGGTAGATGTTCAAAAGTAAACAACCAATTTACTACTAGGGAGCAACACAAGTGTTAGGGAAAATAGAGTACTACATTTAGTTCAATTGAGTATGTCAAATTACAATTTGAACAGCTCCCTTAAAATTCAGAGGTTGAAAATTCTTCTACTTCCCTTTCTCTTAGGGAGGAAACCTCACGCCAAACAGATGCAAAGTTTAGACTCTCTCAAAGCCTCTCTAGAGGAAGCTTGAACACTATTCCTTTGCCAACCCGTTCCAATATGTCATACTTCTTAGGAACAAGAAATTTATCTCTGCCTCATATTGCAGCATAGGTATTTCTTCACATTCATCCTCAGTGGAAAGGAAAAAGCATTTGGTCACCTTCCTCCATGAGATCTTTCTTTATGTGTCTGAAGAATATTATGACGATTATGATCATGGGACCAATGTTATCAGGAGGTCCTGACACAAACCAGAAAGACACATTTTTGGAGGTGTTCTTATTTCTGGTAGATTATTCCTGGTTCCAATATCATGCTCCCCCCCTTTTTTTTTGGAGACAGAGTCTTGCTCTTTCACCCAGGATGGAGTGCTGTGGCACGATCTCAGCTCACCTCCGTCTCCTGGATTCAAGCAATTCTCAGGCCTCAGCCTCCCGAGTAGCTGGGACTACAGGCATCTGCCACCACACGGCTAATTTTTTGTATTTTAGTAGAGACGAGGTTTCGCCATGTTGCCCAGGGTGGGTCTTAAACTCCTGAGCTTAGGCAATCCGCCTGCCTCTGCCTCCCAAAATGCTAGGATTACAGATGTGAGCCACTGGGCCTGGCCCCAACATCATGCTCTTTGATTCTGACTTTAAGGATGATCTCTTGGAGAGATAGGTTCTAATGTAAAAGTACTACTTGGATAGATAAGACATGTTTTCAGTTGTAATCAGTAAATTTTGATGGCAGTATTTACTTATTTCTTTAGGTTAGAACACTTTTATCTTTTCCATAGTATTTTCTGTTTTAGTTTTTGCTTCATTGTATGTGTACTACTATTTTAGTTCTCTTCACTGTTATTATTTAGCCAAGATAATTTTGAATTCCAATTCTTTGAGTCTCCTCCTGCTTTCTTAGAGCTTCTTTTTTAGATTATCCTAATTGCTACTAAGTAATAAAATAATCTTGAGGTCAAGATTTGTGTTTATTAAACACTATTTTAAGATGTTAGTCATAATAGCAACATTTAAGTCTCATTCTTCTGAGTTCTTTCATTGTCACACAGCTTTTCTAGTGCACTGGCGATAGAAAGCAGAAAGATGTGTTGATTTGGAATTATGTCCATCATGTTTCCTCTAGCTAAAAAATCTGTTAACTTCTTCTGGATCAGGGGTCAGCAAACTATAGCCTGTGAGCCAAAGACAGCCTGCAGCCTGTTTTTCTGAATAAAATATTGAAACACAACCACACTCATTCTCTTACATATTGCCTATGGCTGCTTTTGCTCCACATTGGTGTAGTTGAACAGTTGTAACAGAAACTGTATGCATCACAAAGTCTAACAATTTACTATCTGGCCCTTTACAGAAAATGTTTGTCAGTCTCTGTTCTAGGTTAACTCTGAATTGGACATTAGAAAATCGTAGTTCCAGTTCTACCTCTAGTTTCTAATTAGCTTTATGACATTGGCCAAGTCATGTTTACTCTCCAGCATTGGTTTCCTCATTTCTGGGATTGGAAGCAGGACTGTGTGATTGATTGCCAGTCTCTTCTAGCTGTAAAATTCCAGAAATCTAATGAATCTTATTTTACCTAAAATAATCTAAAGTAGATTTTTTTTCTTACAGATTAAATTTTCGGTTTGTGTTAATCACTTGTGAGTATATTAGACATACATAGAAATGTCCATACATATTCAAAGATATAAAAATAATACTAAAGTTTGTCTACGTAAGCTCTATATGTGCCAAGTATAAAGGCAGGCACAATACTGTATTTCTTTTAATCTTTAAAATAACTCTGCATTGTGGGTGTGTATGTTCACTTTTTAAAGAGTAAGGTGTTGAGACTCAGAGACAGCTGGTAAGAGGCAGAGCTGGTGCTTGAACCCAGTTCCATTGGTAAAACCCCGTGCCCTTTCCACTATAGCAACTGTCTCCTTTCATGAGGTACCTCTATTTTAATTCAGTCATTTGAATATATGGCCACACCTCACTTCTCCAGAGATTGCTACCCAAATTACTCAGAATATAAGTAATTATTAAAAAGCAAAAAAACAAAAGTGGTTATGATCTAAATAGATGTTCATTTATGCCATTAAAAAAAAAGATTCCCTGAGGCCCTCTTTTGGAGCTTGTTCACTTTTATTTAAAAAAAAACATTAAAAATTTGCTTTTTTGGGTTTCCTAGATCTCTGTAATTACTGGGAAATAGATTGGAAATGTGGAGGGGTACAGTTACTGGTGCAGGGATATGGGCACTGGTAGAGATCGGGACTGCTGTGATTACATCGTGGAGAAGAGCGACACACTCTAAATAGCAAGAAAGTCTTAGGCAGGTTAGCACGGGGACAAATTCACCCCAGGAGCCTCCACGCAGGGCTGAGAAGTTTTTGCTGTTCACCAAAAGTACCCTGGAGCATTAAGAAAGTGGTTAAAATTAACACACTACATTTCAGAAAGTAGAGAACAGGTTTCCCTTTAACAGAATTTTAATAAAATCATGAAAGAATTTACAACTCTTAAGTAGATAAGCTTCAGTTGTTTGAATGTTTCCCTGCATGGGATATTTTCTTCCTTAAAAATGCTGAGTGGATGAAATACTGCCAAGTCTAGGTTATTTAAGAAATCTTTCCCCAGATGTTCAACTACTTCTTACTTTTCTGTTGTTTGTTACTGTCTTATTCATTATTCACGTTCTGATGACAATGCTCTAGAAATAAATAAGCAATTAACAATCTGACTTCTTGGCTTCATCTCTTGGCAGATTTTTCTCCACACCTAATTAAGTCTTAAGATTTTTCCATTATCTCTTTTTATTCCCTATAGCTTTGAAGAAAGTTTTATTGTTTTCTTTCTATTCTTCTAATTTTTTTCAGAGTAGAAGCCCATTTTTCCTCTCAGTTTTTAAAAACTGCCTTACCCTGATCTATGCGTATTATCTACTATAAAGTTAATCCTGTAAAAGCAAAACTTATTTCTTCTATTGTCTTTCGGGGAAACCTTACAGTGATCTCCAGAATGAATCATGCCCACTCTCCACTTTTGGCAGCTCTTCCTTTTATGTTTCTCTCATGTACTGAATTCTTGGTTTCTTCTTTCTGATGCACATTTCTTTCCTTGGTGATTTCTTAACCCATTACTTCTAATTGACTAGTTTGAGTAATATTTTAACACCTCATGTATTTTTGAGGTAATATTTTATGCAGTTTGTTTTGAAAAGACTTGCTAAAACTTCTTGTGGAAACTAAGAGATTTGTAAACATTTAAGTAATTTATCTCTTATCCCTCTCTGTGTGGCAGCCAGGGGAGGAAGGATTGTTTCCCCAAGCCTGTTGCCATATACTTCCTTAAAATAAATGATGTCAGCCGGGTGCAGTGGCTCACTCCTGAAATCATAGCACTTTGGGAGGCCAAGGAGAGTGGACTGTTTGAGCCCAGGAGTTCAAGACCAGCCTGGGCAACATGGGGAAACCCTGTCTCTACAAAAAATACAAAAATTAACCAGGCATGGTGATGCACACCTGTAGTCCTAACTACTTGGGAAACTGAGGCAGGAGGATCACTTGAGCCTGGGAGGCAGAGTTTGCAGTGAGTGGAGAGTGTCCCACTTAACTCCAGGCTGGGCTACAGAGCATGATCCTGTCTCAAAATAAAAATAATTAAATGATGTCAATATATATGACATTATATTATCATATATATCATGATAATGTGTCATATTATGACTATATTATGTTAATTATGACTATATTATGATGCCGGTTTAATAATGTCAGTAATAATAAAAAGATCAAATTGATTGAAAGCTCATTTGGTATCAGATGCTATGCTTAATTGTTAACATATATTATCTCAATTAATCTTCACTACAGTTCTATGATGTAGGTACAGAATTCCAGGAAGATTTCAGCTAATAAATTGGCTGCATTTCAAAGTTATATTTACAAATTGGTTATTTCAGATATGAAAGCTGCTTTCTCGTAGTAGCAATGTTGTAGGTACAGCCCTAGGCTGGACTGGATTGCTGAAGTCTGTCACGTTTATAGCTAACGTGAGTAAATGAATGCCTTTGTGGGAAAGTGCTTTCAGAGTTCTCATTGTGATGTGAAGAACCCACCCACCTTCTTCCCAGGGACCTTACTCTCATACCAGGGGCTTGACCTTATTTTCAGACCTGCTCAATGAATAGATCAACAATGGGAATGAACCCTCTCCAGATTCAAATTATGCAAATACTAAGCTGCCATAACAATAGAGATCCCAAAATAGAGTGGCTTAAATAAAACTTTTTTTTCTCTGTTAAGCAAGAGATCCAAGGTGAGCTTTTCAGTTTGCCAAGTCAGGCTTACCCCATGAAATTATCCAAAGACTTGGGCTCCATCTATTTCTTGCTTCACCAATCCCTAGACTATGGTCTTCACCTGTGTGGTTGCAGCTGGCTGAGCCCTGTATCTGTGTTCCAGCTTGTGGAATGGTACAGAGAGGAAGTACATGGCAGCACGTCTCTTTGAAGGAGGTGAAGTAGAAGAATGACTTGCTCCCATTCTGTTGGAGAGACCTTAGTAACATGGCTGCACCTATCACAAAGGGAACTGGGAAATGTAGTCTTTGGCTGGGTACATGGAGGCATCTTAAACTCCATTACTGTGAAAAACGCGGGGAGTGCATTCTGATGACAACCGGCAGTCCCTGCCACATTATAGTCATGGCTCCCTTGTCTATAGAGTGGCTCCTGCAGGATGGACTTTGGTGGGTGTGGCAGGAGAGATGTGGGTGGAAGATGGGTACAGTGATCAAGGGGTCAGGTTTGAGGGGTACTGGGATGCTGAGACCCCTGCCAGTGGGACTTCTTAGGGGACTTCTCTCAAGCTTTCATCCCACTACCCTCCTTGACATTCTTTGTTCTTCAAAGTCTGAGGGCAGGGCTGCCTTCATGGGTGGGTGACTTCTGCAGGGGCACAGGACCCTACTCTCAGAAGGGATCAGCATTTGGTTTAATGCTCTGTTGTCACTGCCTTAAAATTCTTAATAACTTTATCCTTAAACTTGCATTTTGCAGGTAAGTTTGATGGGTAATAGATCATGCGTGTGAGCAGTGGGGATAGACTAGATGGTATAGCGTGTGCATCAGGGGCACATAGGCAGCATGCATGTGGGATAATTAGCCTGGCTACCCAAAGCCCATGCTTGTGCCACACCTAGTTACAAACAGGACTGGGAAATGGAGTCTTCAGCTGGTAATTACAGGGCAACAAGGTGGCCGGGCCAGTGCCTGGGCACAGATTGGCAACAGCAGAAGCAGCAGGTATGGTAGCAGCGGCCAAGGACAAGCGGGGAAGGAGGAGCTCTATAGGGGGGCAGCACTGGTACCCCTGTGAGGCCAGCCTGGCTGTTTGTCCCCAAAGTCCGTCTCTGTGGCATCTACACAAATATTAACGCTTTAGCCTGAACCTTGGGACAGAAACTGCTTGGCAACATCAGGAAGTAGACGTTATTAGTAGATTATTACAAAATAAAGTCATACACATGAACATTGCAATAAAGCATTTATCAAGGAATTATTAGAGCTCTTTAAAGATTTTAGAATCTTTGGATTTAAATGCTGAAACATTGCAAAATGAATATCCACAAGCTTAGAAACAAGTTACATTTCACATTCTCAGTGGAAAAGAACGTTATTTTCACGTGAACTTCAGATGGACCAATTATTAATGAGGAAGATAAAATAAAATGAAAATTTCCCTTGAAGTTGAAAATAGAGTTATAGAATGTATAAACAGGCACTTAAAATTATATACAAATCATGAGGCTACTTTCAATTTCTTGTACGATCTCCACAATTTTCAGCAAATGTCAGAAGAAACATCAAAATGTCATTGAATAAATTTACACTTAAAATTCAGACTTACACAAAACTGACTCATATGAAGAGTTAAGTCTTTGTATTAAAATTGTTCCATGAGACTCATCAACTCTAGACATACTAAAATTTGTATTTTGAAATAATTTATTGAAATTTATCCCAAATGTTGTCATAGCTTCTAAAATATTCTTAACAGCTCCAGTAACAGTTGCATAAGAAGAAAAATCCTTGTCAAACTTAAAAGTTAACAAAAATTGCTTGCAACCTTGTCTGTGTGTAGAGCTACTAATGCCATTTACAGCTATTCAGAATGAAAATAATTTTGCTACAGTACAATTTTGATGGCCTAAAAAATAAATTTTCAAAACATTGAGTAAGAAAAAAACCTTATAATCAATTGTGATGTCACATTAATAATGTATTGGTATTTATTTTATTTATTATTTTTAAAGGAAAAACATATTTATATTTTAGTATCTTTAAAGCACTTCTGGCCAGGTGCAGTGGTTCATGCCTGTAATTCTAGTACTTTGAGAGGCCGAGATGGGTGAGTCGCTTGAGCTCAGGAGTTTGAGACTAGCCTGGGCAACATGGCAAAACCCGTTTTTACAAAAAATACAAAAATTAGCCAGGTGTGGTGGTGGGTGCCTGTCGTCCCAGCTACTTGGGGACTGAGGTAGGAAGATTGCTTGAGCCTGGGAGATCGAGGCTGCAGTGAGCCAAGATTGTGCCACTGCACTCAAGCATGGGCGACAGAGGGAGACCTTGTGTCTAAATAAATAAATAAATAAATAAATAAATAAATAAATAAAGTACTGCAAATTATGTAGCCAGCCCTGGCTGAAGGATTTATCTATCTGTTCAGCTTTCTGCAACTGCCTCTTTGCTGTCTTTTCTATGTCTGCTGCAGAACAATATGACATCTCCTACCTTATTTTTTGTCCTGAAATATATTGCTCTTTTGAGGTTTCAAAGAGATTTGGGTTGTTAACGACAAATGGAAAGGGAGGGAAGTCAAGGCTAAGCTCCTCGTCAGGCCATTGCCCTCTTCTGTTTCTTGCTCAGCTTTTGCTTCCTGGGAAAGTCACAAGCACTTGTAGCTGATAGCTACAAAAGCACAGGGAACACTTGGTTGAACCAAGGCCTGATGTCAGATTTATTTACATTTTAGAGTATTATTCCCCAGTCTTTTGAACATTCTCATTACAGGAGTAGGATCTAACAGCAGTTCTCCTCCCACTGATCTTGCATGGCCAAGATGGCTGCCACCTTGGCTCCTCGCTGTAGGAGAAATGAGCGAAATAAGACCAGAGCCAAAGATTTCGACTAGAGAAAGATTCCAGGCTGCAGCATTTCTGACAAAGGCAATAGGAGGGAAGAAGAGGGCAGTCAGCAGGTGGGAGAGAAGGCACACTTGCTTGAGTCAGCCATTTGCAGGTGGTTGTTGGTATGGAACCCAGAGGCACATAAAAAATGAATAAGATATTAAGGCACCTGTGGTAGGGAGAATAATGACCCCCCCAAAGATGTCCATGTCCTAAATCCTGGGACCTGTAATTAGGTTATGTGGCAATGGAAATTGAAGTTGAAGATGGAAATAAGGGTGCTCCTCATCTGACCTTCAAATAGGGGAATTCTGAATTATCTCATTAGGCTCAATGCAGTCACAAGCATCTTTAAAAAGGTAGGCAGAAGAGGAGAGTCAGAGAAGGAGATGTGATGACAGCCCTAAGATCAAACAACTGCCATGTTACTGGCTTTGAAGACAAAGGGGATCCATGTGCCAAGAAATGAGGGATGCCTCTAGAAGACAGCTTTGCCAACACCTTGATTTTATCCCAGTGAGACCCCTGTTGGACTTTTGACTTCCAGCATTGTGGGAGAATAAATTTCTGTCGTTTTCAGCCACCCAATTTGTGGCAAATTTTTATGGCAGCAATAGGAAACTAATACGGCCCTCTTGAGCATTGATATTAACAGCATGAACTCTGGAGTCAAACTGCTTAGATTCTGATATGTAGCTCCACCACCTATTAGCTATTTTATGGGGAAAGTAACTGGAGCTTTAGTTTCATCCTCTAGTCAACGAGGTTATCACCTCTTGAATGTGTTCTATGGAAAAATGAAGGTAAAGTCTTTAAGACATATACTGTGAAGAGAAAGCACCAGATAAGTATTAGCTTTAAAAGGATCATGGATGCCTGGCTCTTAGCATGGCAAAGGACTTCCCTCCACTCTTACTCCCTTGTAATTTACTACTCCCCTCTTCTTTAGCCCCTGCTAACCCCACACTGACCCCTGGTCCTGTAGGGTCAGTACATACCCAGGTATATTCTCACCAGGGCCCCATTCTTTAGATGCCACCCTTTCCTATTTTCTCATCTAAATTCTCTAATGTCTTTTAAAAAGTAGAAATAAAGAAGATGAATATATTAAGTGCTATCTGCTGAGGTATTAATCACTGATAATGGCTTCATCTCTTAAGGTCCTGTAGTTTTGCCATGTCCAGGACTGTGCCTTTTGTGGAGAGCCTCTGGAAATCTTGGTTAGTTGCAAGATAGAGGAGTCCTTAGGAATTGGCTTTTAATTGAGGACTTTTGGCTTAAGTTAAACGAGTGGGATTCACAGTGAGGAATTTCAGCTGGGAAATATTTTAAGCAGAGAGACCTCCCAGGATTCCTTCGAATTATACCACATTTTATGAAGTTTTTGGCCTCCTGTTCTGTCTACTTTTAAGCAGTCTTGAAATGACTGTCACAAAATTTTCATAGGATAGTTGCTGAGAAAAGTTGGTAGTTTTCTTTTTTTTCTCTTCTTTTAAGAATTTATTAAGCCTATTATACCACGCAGTATGTTTTATACACTAACATACAACTCCCTAATAAGATAAAGCAAAGATAAAAAAGTTTATCTTATTAGAAACAAGATACACCACCACTTATTGTCTTCAAACATTATTGCACTTTAACTTTCTTAATTTGACAAAGCATTCAAGAAACATCTGCAGACTAGTTTTAACAGACAAATAACACCTGTAAGCAGACATGACTGTCCTAAATTGTTTATTAGGTATGAATTTTACAAACTTTACTTGTATTAGCGGTAACGGTGGAGCTGGAGAGTATTGCGCCTTCTCCAAGCTGCCCGGCGAGAACCACAAATAGTGTGGTGGAACTTATGGCCCTTTCCAAGGCCACGGCTCTTTCGGCCTGCAGATGTCAGCCCACGCATCTCCCTGTGCTTGTGGACTGGTTTGGTGATCCATGGGGTGTCAGGATTTCTTCTGATAGCTTTATGGAATGGATCAATGAGGATAACCTCAAAAAATTTGTATGTGGAATCTTCACCAACCCAGTAAGAATTCAGGACTCCCAGAGCCCCACAGTGGCGTCCAGCTCGCTCCTCCGCAACGGACTGAAGGCTTCGAGCAAAATTTTAGCTGGTTAACACCATGATGGACAGGCTTGCCGTAAGTTGCACCCTTAGGAACTGGGCGTTTTCGGCCACCACGGCTAACACAAATCCTATGTATAACGTAACCTTGCTTGGCCTTGTAGCCCAGTTGGCGCGCTTTATCAGGCCGGGTGGGGCGGGGAGCCCTGTGAAGAGCAGAGAGCTGGCGGTACTGCCAGCAGCGGACCCTCAGAAGAAAGCGCGTGACATCAGACTGCTTCTTTCTCCATAGCTCCTGGATATACTTGTATGCACCCATCTTGGCTTACCTGATGGCTGCCGCCAGACGGAAAGGCAAAAGTTGGTAGTTTTCTTGAAAGTCCATAGAGTAGAGCAGTTTAGAGCTTATGATACCAACAAATTTCGGAAGAACTTTTCTACAGCTGTGAAGAATTTCATTTCAATCTGGATACCACGGTGAGAAATTCTAACAGGGATTTGTAATGAGATTATCTTGTAATGAGATCACCTGCTGAAAAATCCATTCAGCATCCACAGAAATCACATTATGTACAAATTAGTAGTAAAAATGTATAAAAAGCCATTTGAAACAAAACTGGCTGAGTAAAAACTGAATTTCTGAAGTTATTGTTTATTATAAGAATGTAAAAAGCAAATTCTAAAATAAATGCACAAATAACATAGTTATTGGTTTATGAGGATTCATATTTTTGTGTTGGCATGTAAAATGCAAAATGATTTTTAAAAGAGCTATGATTTTGTTTTAAAATAAATACTGAAAACACATGAAATAGGATGGTTTTCAAATACTGTTACACACGGGGGGCACTTCACAAATATTTTACGGGCCGTGTGCTTGAATTTATGATGTGGTCTCCCTCTTGTGGTAGGTGTTAAGAAAGGTACTGGCTTCAAAGCAGTTAATAAATTTCTTTCCCTTTTGCTGAAATTTGAATCTGGAAAGCATTTTGAGAGGTCAGGCTACGTATTTTTCATTTTGACTATGGCTTTTGGGAAGCTTGATTATTTTAACAAAAATCAACCGATTGATCAATCTGTCTCCTCCCCCTATGGCCACGTCGAAATCAGTTTTGACTATTAGGAAATCTGACCTAGTTTCTCTATCTTGTGGCCTGTTTTTGGTGTATTGTGGCCAGAATGTATCTCTTAATTTTGGCAGTAGTATTTTCCATCTGCTTTAGAAAGGCTCTAGGTGAATGCAAAGTTTATTTAGTTCATGCTCTACACTTGTCACTCTTCTGGGTCCTTCAGCCACAGCAAGAAACCAAACAGGTAAAATTCACTGCCCTCACAGAGTTTTTGTTCTATCACAAATATAAGCATGGTTTATGAAGACGTAAACCATAAAGACTGACATGTTAGACTTCACGTTTGCAAAACTTTCATGTAGCTGAAGAAGCTATAGATTTAAAAGACAAATACAGGAAACACTGGGAGAAAATAATTGCAACACAAGGAGCTCTGATAAACCAGTCAGGGGGAAAAAAAGCAGTAGAAATGTGTGCAAACAGTAGGAGTAGGCATAAACTGTGAAGGGCTTTCACTTACCTTAAGTAATCATTGGTAGAAGTGGGATTTCATTATTTCAGATTTACTCAGTCGCAATCACAAGCCAAGTATGCCCTTCAGAAAAGATATCTCTTAGCTGAAATCCACTGGGTCGCCATGCCTCTCACCAGTTGAGGGGATCAGGCTGAATTCTTCCCTGTGTGTGCCTCACAGCGACTACGTGCTGAGTATGGCTGCCATCGTGTGATATGGCTTGGGAACTGCACGTGTCCTACCCTTTTGTCAAGTGGAAAAAAATGAACCTTCTCTCAGAAGTATCACCTGTATTCTGAGTTCAGCCCCTCCTCCCACACCCTCCACCACTGACATATCTTCATGTTATGAAACCTCTCGGGGTTAAGCATATTCAGTTGATCGATAGCGTGTTTTTAGAGGAGACTCTGTATCTGCTCAAATTGCAGCAATGAGAGTTCATAGGAATAGGAGCACAGTTTTTGACTTCCCGTTATCTGCTCAATGCGTTCCCTCTTTATGGATAAAGTAGACCATTCTCTGCTTGACTCAGGGCTAATCTTAAGGCCAGATATTTTCTGTACATTTCTTCCCCTGTAGTCTCTCCTGAAACTTCAACCTCTTTGAACCTCTTACCCCTTATTGCCCTGGCTCGTTCTGTCTCCTTGATTGGATGGCTATAGATTGTTCACAGGGGCCATCATTCCTGTTTACCAGTATAAAAGAACATGTGAGTCCTGTGAAGATTCTGGAAACATTTTAGCAGTTTTTCTCCCCTCCCTGCTGAGTGCTTGGATGTTGTGTAACCAATCCTCTAGACTTAGCAAATTGGGAGCTATGACTCTGGAATGCGAGTTAATTAAATTGTGCTTGTATTTAGTTTTACGCAAGGTTAATTTTTTTTTCCCCTGTTAGGTTTAGTCTGTGTGGCTTTGTTATATGCAATCCTGGTAACTAGGGATACTGAGAGAGATTTTATGTAGTGTGCTGTGAAAGGCATGCGGTAGTAGAAAAGCGGAGGAGCCTGGGAGAAAGAATCCAGAGACCTCTGTGTTCCACCAGCGTGTAAATCATTTAACAGGACACAAACGATTAAACAGTGAAAATCAACTTTCCTGAAGCAATTGACTTCCTTTTCTGTTTATGAGCCAAAGAGAAGTTCGTATTAAATAATTCTGTTCCTAGATGTTGTTGTATTAATGCCTGTGTGTGTTGATCACTTGAGACCACTTTCTCCTCCAGTTATCTGGGTTGTTTCAAAGAACCCAGGTGCCCCTACCTTCCAAGTCTAAGTAGATATGCTATATCCATAAGTTTGGGGGTTAGGACCTCAGCTTAACTGCAGGTTAACCCTTTAAGCAAAAGGCGTTTTTCAATAGTTTGAGATGGCCATCTTTCAGAGGTGAGTTGTACACTTCCCAGCCTTAGTAAACAGAACATACTGGGCCTTACCTGATTTGGTGCTCGGCACTTTATGTCCATTACTGATTAATATACTCAGAGACGATCCCAAAGTAGGTGGGATTCAGGTAAGGAAACTGAAGCTCAGAAAAGTTAAGTAATTCGCCAAAGCAGCGCAGATAGTGTAAGTTTAAATACCAATCTCTGCTTTTCTACAAGATTACCTTTATTTTCCTATCTCAGGTCATGATTGTGAATAGTTTCTTTTCTGGTCTGTAGATTCAGTATTAGTGTGGATATCAGGGTGTTTATGAACTCATTTCCTCACCATTAACTTTTTTCTCTTAATTATGGTAGTGTTCAGAATGGAAGTTATCTGATTATTCTGGGGTAGTTTAAGCATGAAGGGTCAGATGTTCAGAAGTAGCTAGGTTTTCCCAATTCTACCTTGACCCAGTGAATATGTGCTGTCACTACCGGCTGCTGCATGGGAGCTGGTGGGTGGGGTTTATGTGGTGAGTGAAGGGAATGGAGAGTATAGGAGGGGCTCCAGCGGAGTGCTGACCTAGGGCTTCAGAATCTTGGCATCCAACCGCTGGTTATCCAATCCGGAAGATAGTTGAGGTCCTACAGTACCAATATCCTGAAGATCAGTGGATTTTTAAAAATGCTAATGCTGAGAAATACCTAATGTAGATGACGGGTTGATGGGTGCAGCACACCACCATGGCATGTGTATACCTATGTAACAAACCTGCACGTTCTGCACATGTATCCCAGAACTTAAAGTATAATAAAAAAAAGAAAAAAAAAGAATGCTAATGCTTTGAAATAGTCAAGTTATGGTAATCAACAATAGAGAGTAGGTAGGAAAGTGATGCAATACATTCTTCATGGGATTGGAAGTGAATTTTTAGACATTAGGGTAGAACCGTAATCTGTTTTTGAAAGATATTTTTCAAAGTTCTTTTCACTGTAAATTTGAAAGAAGTATGTTTTTTTTCTATTTCTGGTTCTCAGGATACATAATATTGTAAAGTCATAGGCAATTTATTTTAGCTTTTAAATAGCCAATACATAAAATGGACTAAAAGAAACTGTGATTAAAAATAAGTTTGGTTAGAGTTGGAATGAAGTCCACAAATTGTTAACTTGTAAAATGAAATTTGTTCAATTTGTACAGTATAGCCCAACGAATAAGAAAAATACCATGGGATGGCTCTTCAAACTGATGATTTTTCTTTGTTTATGTTTGTCCTAAGTCTTTCCATAAACGTTGTGACTGAGTTACACATTTAAAAAAGGTCTAGAAAAAATACTAATATATATATAGCTTTTCAGATACTACCATATGTATGCAAGAGACTATTTTCTTTCCAAATAAAATTTATCTCCTTTATTTTTCTTAGATTTATATGCAATCATTTAACTCTTTTATAGAAACCATCCTGTATTTGTTTAAAATTTGTCAGAAGTAGTTTATATGTTGTTCCATTGCTATCATTTTATGATTCATAGTGAATAAATGCAAAATGTCACTTGAAACAGCCTTATAATTGGAGGAAAGTCTCAAAAATATATTAAAGTATTATTAAACACAATTTTTTTAAAGAAACTAAGTGTTTATTTCCTAAAACAAATTCGGAAGGTAGCACCTCCCAAGAAACCTAAATGAGAAATTATCTTTGAATTTAGAAACATCTGTCTGTCTCATTGAGAGGCAGATAGATAATAAGCAAAAAAGTTTAAAAATTGCCCATGTTTTTTAGAAATTTGAAATTATGTTACTGCACTTCTGTTCAGGAAATGATAAATAACAGAATCATGATGTACATCTTGTTTTCCAACGATTTAAAAAAAATGCTTCCAGGTCATATTTAGGACTTCTCCCTCACCCCTCCCTCCCGCCCTTCCTTCCTTCCTTCCAAAATTGAAATGTAATTAAGATTCTTTAGATTTCTGCTTGGCCTTCAGTTTCTGGCAGTCTCTGATCATAAAGCTTAGCTTCCTGCTTTTTACTCTGCCTTTTAAAAAAAACTTTCTACTTTTTAAATTAGATTTAAAATCTACTGGGTAGGATTTTTTACTGTGACTGTACTTGAAATGTTGAATGATGACATGGAAATGCTTTCTAAATTCTATTTACATTCTCTCTCCTATCAAAGTGCCACCAGTTACAGATCTATTCTGTTGTTTCTTGACAATGTTTTAGAAAATGTTATGATGACTAATTTTTTTTTATAGAGTAATAGCTCTTCCATCATGCTATCAGGCAGGCAATAAGTATACTTAGCTCTTATTTTTAGGAATTTAAGCTGAAGGCCAGATGGCAAAGTTTTCATTGAATCAAAGCATAGCTTTATTTCAAAGGAAAAAAATGAACCAATGAGTTGACTTAATTTCAGGAGTTGTTTGGGATTTTCTCTGAACATTTGTTTGACAGAGACAGTTTCTCACTAATTAAAAGATATATAAATGACACCAAGGGACGTTGAATGAAAGAGTTGTATTGTTGTCAAGGGGCTGATTTTACCTTGTCTTTGCAGCAAGGTGAAGCCTACAGCCCATAAAAGAAGATGTCACCATGACATTGCCTTTTTTAGAATATTGATGTTAAGAGCTCCTTAAGTGCATTTATTCAGCAGGCATTTACCAACCACCTATCATATGCTACTTTTCACCAAAAATGTGTAAGTTAAAAGGTACTAATGGAGACCTTTGCATTCTCAGTAGTGAAGGAAACATCAGTATAATAGCACCATCTACTAAGAAGACAAAACAAAAAAAAGTGTGTTTTCATCTCTGCAGCCTCCGGAAAGGGAAAGCAGCATTGAGGAGGGAAGGACTGAGCAGAGATTGTGTTGGGTCACCCAGGTTGAGTGGCATGGAGAGAAATGTCTGGAGGGTGGAGGAGGAAGCAGGGGGATGTAGGATGGCCTTCCCATTATATAGCAGAGACCAGTGCTCACGTGCTTGTAGAAGAGGCTGGACCTCCAAAAGGAATGGCTGTGTGGGGCAGCCAGGAAAGCTGGACCCTGGGGACCATGGCCCTGTACCCTGGCTTGGCACAGACACAATGGCGCGTTCTGTCTAGCACTCACTTGAGGACTTAGAGGCCATGAGCCTCTGGCAGTTCTCTGAGGAATGAAAGCTAGAAGTCCTTCCTTCGTTCTTCCAGGTTCCATGTAAGCCCCTTGCATCCTTGTACCATCCTAAGGAGGGAGAGATCCCTGCAAAATATGCCTGAAAGATCTTTCTCATCAGCTTTTTGAGTGGGGAAGTATGAATTTACTTTAAGAAAATATTGTGGCTTTTCTTGTACCCTGATGTAACAGCGTTGAATCCACACACTGTACACCTTCAAGCAGGGCTATTCTGAGCTCATTTGTGGGTCCAGGTGTCACTTCTTACTCTGAGTCTTCATGTTCTATACCTTTCCTGAGTCCCCCTCTACCCCTAAAAGTCACTCATTCTATGTTTCATTTCTCAAGTCTAAGTACAATGAAAAGCTAATGATAACATAAAGCTAAACAGTCTATAATTACATTCAGAACTAAGTGTTCAACTGAACAGAAAATCTTAAGGGTGAAGGAGTTTTCAAACTTGTTTTTGACAACAAAAGCCCATTTTCAAAGAAAATTTTCCATGGACTCATGTGTATAAAGCAGCCAACAGTAGAGCTCTTTGGTTGAAATGGAGTAGGAAACTGAATACACCCCTTTAATCCATGATGTGGCCCCAAAGCCCCTTTCCTTGCTAACCTAGAGTTCTTCTAAAACCTACCATTTTAACCCAAAGTGTGGGTAATGTGGGTGTCAGGGGTGGAATGTTAGACACATCATCACAGGCCAGTGGGGAAGATTATTTTCCGCAGAAGGGCCATCTGTTGTCCTACTAAGAGCAAATGCCACTCATAAACCAGATGTGTCTGCAGGCTTGAGTGAGCATCACACTGTAACACAAAGGGATTTTTATTCCTGCATCAGTAGTTTATTCTCCTAGCAATGTAAATAATAAGTTGTAAGATATTCATTGCCATTGAGAGCCAATAAATAGGAACGATCATTTATTCATGCTCCATAGACACCTCATATTCTCAGTCTTCATTTATTTATCCAACAGATATCTAACTTGCACGTATAATGTGTCAGTTCTATTCTAGACTCAGGGTATAGCAGTAAGAAAAACTGATAAAATGCCTTTCTTCAAGGAAATTGCATTCTAGAAGGGAGAGAGAGACAATCAGCAAACGGAAATCTTCTGTGAATATAAATTATGTGAGCTATAATAAAACAGTTTTTTTAAAGAAGACTGCAATTTTGATGGTCTTGGGCACTGGCACTATTAGGAGTGGTTAGTGTAGTGCCTGCCCTGCATTTAATAGATGTCTAAGAAGAGAGTGAGAAGGATTGCTTAGCTTGGAACACAGATACTTCTGAGGAAGCCACATTTAATGATGGGATTAGAGGGACAGAAAGACATAGATTGAATTCATTTTTAGATTGTAAGTATATTCTTGATGTGGATGATACTCTGTTTTCAAAAGAAAGTTTGAAATTTCCCAAGCTCCTAGATATTCAAGGATGGTCATTGTTTATTTGACCTGAGCCAACCTATAGTCAGAAGTTAGTACTGTCAGTCATATATTGCCTAACGATGGGTATACATTCTAAGAAGTGTGTTGGTAGGTGATTTCATCATGTGCAAACATCAGAGTGTACTTACACGAACCTAGATGTAGAGCCTACTACACGTCCAGGCTATGCAGTCCAGCCTATGGCTTTTAGGCTACAAACCTATACAGTATGTTACTGTACTGAATACTCTAGGCAGTTGTAATACAATAAGCATTTGTGTATGTAAACATATCTGCACATAGAAAAGGTACAGTAAAAATTTGGTATTGTAATCCTATGGGGCCACTGTTGTATATGTAGTCCATTGTTAAGAAAAATGTTGTTACGTGGTACATGGCTTGTACATCCAGCATCCACTCATGTCTCAGTACCTCCACAGCTACTCAATAAATAGACTCCCAGCTGCTATCCCTACTTCTTCCCTTGTCCCCCTAGAGTCTATTTCCAACACAATAGGCAGAGCAATCCTTTAAGAATTTCAGTCAGATCATGCCACTCTTTACCGAAAACCATGTAATGACTCTTGTGTTAAAGTTACAAAGTCCTTACAAAGGCCTGCAGAGCCTTGTGTGTTTGGACCCTCCCTTCTGCTTGGCCTCATTCTTGTGCTTGGTCCCTGCTCATGCTACTCTAGCCACACAGGTCTTTTTGCTGATCCTGACACCTGCCGGGCAGACTCTTGCCGGAGGAACTTTGCACTAGCTCTTCCTTGAATCTTCCTGAGACTCCCTCACCTCTTTCAAGTTGTTGCTCAAATGTCAGGTTTGAGTGAGGCCTGCCCTGGCACCCTAATTAATATTGGGTGCCAATATTAATAATATTAATGTTATTACCCCACTCCTATACCCTATACCTCCCTTACCCTGCAGTACTCTCTTCTTCATAGCATTTATTAACATCTTGTGTGTTATATAAGAATTTTAAAATTATGCTTATTGATATAGTTTGTCATTCTAGAGTATAAGCTTCCCAAGGCAAGGGAGCTATTCTGTATTCAAAAATACATAATACAGAATAGTATTAATTATTCTATAATAATTAATTATTATAGAATATACAGAATAATAGTTATTCTGTAATAATACAGAATGTTAAAGAAATGAGTGCATAAATCAGAGGGCAACACAAGCCTTGCAGATGGAGGAAGGCGTGTGTTATATCTCCAGTTCCTCATGAAATAACTTAAAATACGTCATTAGATATTTCTATTTTCCAAAAAATGGAAATACTGTACTTCTAATGGAGACTCAGCCACCTTTTCAAATTTCTCTCTCCCCCAGCACAGTGCCCAGCAGCACCAGCTCCCCTTTCTCCTCATGGGAATTCTCACTCCTCTTATTTTTTATTTTCATTTTTATTTTATTTTATTTTTTGAGACAGAGTCTCCCTCTGTTGCCTAGGCTGGAGCACAGTGGCATGATCTTGGCTCACTGCAACCTCCGCCTCCCAGGTTCAAGCGATTGATTCTCTTGCCTCGCCTCCTGGGTAGCTGAGATTACAGGTACATGTCTCTATGCCCAGCTAATTTTTGTATTTTTAGTAGAGATGGGGTTTCACCATGTTGGCCAGGCTGGTCTTGAACCCCTGACCTCAGGCGATCTGCCCGCCTCGGCCTTCCAAAGTGCTGGGATTACAGGCATGCGGCACTGCACCTGGCCCCTCACTCCTTTTGTACTCAGAGCTTCCAGACCCTCATCCATACCTACTGAAAATATCTTAATTTCAGCAGAATGAAGGGCCTTCCATCTAATATGACTCACCTCCTCAGAAGGCAGGGTAAAGTCCATGTTGGGTTGGTTGAGCACACCCTTAGATTTTCTCTCCCCTTTCTCACCTCTTGTCTTTTACCCCAATCCTTTTACCAATCTATTGTGCCTACAGATACAGTGCTCTCCCCAAGAAGTATTCTTGTATCAGCCGCTGAAAGATTACACTCAGTCTTTTTCATCTAATGACATAACCTTGTAAAAGGTAAGGGCAATAGTGGTTTATAGTACTTGATTTCGAGCAGCATGGAGAATGGAGCGCTGACAGGCTCTCAGCACGGGCCCATGTGATGTGCAGAGCTGTGTCAGCTTTCTCTTCCGAGGTGGAGTTGAAACTGAGCTTTTGACTTTCAGCAAGGACTCAAAGACAGGGCAAGTAAGGGCACCATACAGTCCGTGGCAGGCTGGTGGATAATTTTTGAAAAGGACTCTAAAAGTTAACAACCAGAATAATAAGAGCATTTGCCAATAATATTGATACACAGACAGAGAGAGCCTAGGAAGCTGGAAGCAATTGCAGAAAATCTCAAGGTGATTTCAGGCTAGGGATTATTATTTTAGCAGTCTGTTGTCAGAGACAAGAATGCTGAAAAGAGCTGATCATCCTTTGGGTATGTACTCTTCAAGATCCATGTCATTCTGAAGTCCAGGGGATCCATAATTGTCCCCATCATCTGGACATGTAAACTAGCTTTTTAGGCAGTATAACTTCATATACTGCTATTTTTGCAGTAGTATTAATTAACTGTCCCATGTGTAATGGAAGTCAGCTTTGGCAGTGAAGTATCTTTACTTGGTAAAATTATCTTCATCAGATGATGATCAATAGAATATATGCTCTATTTGGGGATTTTTTTTTGTTTTCTTCTCTGCTATATTACCAGAGGCTAGAATAGTACTTTGCACATAGTAGACACTCAGTAAATATATATTCAATGAATGAACGAATGTTCCAGTTATCAATCTGCCATTGATTTAAATTCCAACATATACCTCTTAGAATTATAGTTAGTGGAAATAGTTTCAAGATTGTATAGCATGACTTCTCATGGAATCTCCCTTTGTCATCCTAAGGGGCCACTCAAAAGCCTGTTGGAAAATGATTGTTATAAGACAGTGATATTTATGGTAGAAAAATCTCTACAGAAACCTGATAAGAGCTCTCTCAGGGTGTTCAAAAAAAGTAGAACTGACATGGAATGTCATCTCATCTGGATCCAATTCACTGCAAGACAGACATTTGTCTTTTGTTTAGAGAGAAAAAGACAATGTTGAAGTTTTACTCAAACCTAGTGCCCTTAAACTGGCCGAGTATCAGCCGACTACACTATTGCACAAGTACCAGGAACAGGGGAGTGGGTGTGGCATGGAGGATTGGGCCTAGATCATAGACCTTGGGATTTGGGGTGTTTTTCATCTTTCCTTAATTATGTGGCTTTGGCCCATTTCAATGTTGACCTCATGATACTTCATTTCCTTCATTTGTAAACTACCAAATAAAATATGTTTGTAGTACTTTAATAATTGAACAGTTTTATACAAGTAAAGTGGAAATTCTGAATACAGGTTAAGAAGAAATCAAACAGAAAGATTTTACAAAAGTTATTCTAGTTTTATAAAAGTAATATTAACTACCAAAACTGTGAACTTTCAAAAAAGAACAAGAATACAGTAACAATTTATGATACCCTAAAACCAAGGACAGCCACACTTCCAGATGAGGAACCACACAAAAGAAGTCAGTTTCTGCTGAATCAGCCAAGACAGGGGATATCAATAATCAAAACAATGCAAGCTGTGCTGGGTTTTAAATTTGATCCAGATTTGAGATGACCATATGCAAGAAATGGCTTTACTGGAGTCAAATATGTAGGGTCTTAAAGATAAAATCTGGAGGTTAGGAGCTATTGAATCTTGAGCTTTCAGTTCCATTTCCTGAGGAATCATCGGAGCCATAGGTGGGGAATGCAATAATTCTTGTGAGGCATTGCAGCTGCTGAAATGCAGACATATGGAATTTTTGCACTCTCTAGTATAATACAGAAACAATCTCACAATAAGATAAACCCTCCTTTAAAACTTTCTCTTAAACCCAGAGAGAGGATATTGTACAGACTGGATAGGTAAAATCTTAGTATTTTGGTTTTTCATTTTTAGATCTGGTTTTCTATGAATCGTTTAGGAGTCTGTATTTGTAGGTATAGGAGTGCACTCCTGTGCGGAATCTTCTGACACCATACTAAACATGTTGGATATTTTGGCAGTTGAAATCCATAGATGTAATTTGTATTGATACTGAAATTATGGACTATAATGGAAAACTGGGCTTTTGTTGTTGATATTGTGAAGATGTTACATGAAGTAGTATCATAAGAAACTTACCAGATCAACTAATGCTTAATGTTCAATGAGTTGAAATGCTGATTTCCTTGATAGCATTGGGAAATAATTCATTAATTTTGTTTTTTTTCTGCTTTATGGCAATATATTGTTCTATTAGGGATTTAGGTAACTTTTTCCATTGAATCGAGAACCTCCTGAGTGCCAGCCACTGGCTGGGTCCCAGGAACATGGGTGGGAAATATATTAATCGAGAACCTCCTGAGTGCCAGGCACTCCGCTGGGTCCTAGGAACATGATGGGAACTATAACAGACATGGGCTTCATTGACTGGAGCTTTCAGCCTGTACTTTTCTCTATTTCTATTGCTGAGTTAAAATGTTCCATATTCCTGGATTCCCTGTAACTAGTCAACAAGGTTCATCTTATCAAGGAATACATACTGCAGGGAATGGTGGCAGTGACCAGGCAACTGACCACACAGTCAACACACACACACACATACACAAACACACACACACACAAGCTTTGGTGGAAGGTGAGAGAGAGACAGAAGGAGATTTTTGAAGGTTCTACTTAACTTTTTTTTATCTGAAACTAGAGCTCATAAAAAAGTTATTTTTTTCCCAGCTAAAAAGATAAAACATCATCATTGTAAGAAAATTTGTAAAATGCAGAATACAATACAGTAAAAAGTAAACTTACTTTAATCCTAATACCAAAGATAATATACCTCTCCCGATGCCAAACTGTATTTTGTTTTCTAGGACCAGTTGGTGTTTTCTCATCTAAAGTAGCTTGAACTTTGTCCTAGGACATTAAGTATTTTCTACAATGTAGTTTTCAATGGCTGTAACAGTATTCCTCATTATGGTGGTATCAAAATTTATTTAACTAGCCCCTGAATATTGCATAGTGGTTATTTCATAGTTTCCTCATTTTAAACAATGATGGTATGAATATCATTAAACATAAAACATAAATTCATAATGATTTCCTTTTTGTGAAGTCTAAGAAATAAGATGATTCCTGAGTCAAAGATTATGCACACTTAAAAGGCATTTGATGCACATTACCAAATATTTTTTATCTTAACATCCACTTTGTTGAGCTGATTTATCCTTTTATTAATGGTCTTCCTGAAAAATTTTGTATCTTTTTGTCTTAAATTTATTGTCTACTGTAATTTTGAAGCAGTGGAATACTTATTGCATTTTGAAGAGAAAAAGAACACCAAAATATTAAAAGCAAAAATATAAAAATGTCACTGTGTTAAGGAAAAATAAATGAAAATTTTATTAGTGAATGCCATTTCCCGTTCCTTATGCCAAAATAGACGCTGACATTTTAACTGGCATTTTCATTAAGGCAAGTAAATACATTTCAAATACAGGGCACTGGGTCTCTATGCTATGTTCAAACACACAGTAAATGGTTATTTACTGACTCTGTTTTTACTGGAACTTTCTCTGTGGTACATAGAGTAGCTTTTTAGAAAGGTAGACTTTTTAAATGTTGGTTCAATTAGTAGCACTTTACTTGGACATAATTTTCAATTATTTAGAAAGATACACCCATTGGGTATTCTCCCCACATAAATTGTGCAAATGATGAAGCTACCCTCTTGCTCTCTGAACATGGATGCCTCACTCTGCAAGCCCACTGGTGAACTATCTCCTGCTTTCCTCAGACAAGCAATCACTCTTTGTATTATTTCCAGGTAATTTTTCAATTAATGTGCTAGGATGCCAAAGAAAAATTGATGACAATAAAACTGAGGGAATTTGGAAACAAATCTGTTGAATAGCAAAAGAAGATTTTCTATGTATTTATTTTTTGTAATCTTAAAAGAAAAAAAACCCATCTTATTCTGACATTATTTCCTGCCCTTTTTTTTTAGTGCTCTGTGGAAGGGGTGAGAACTTTCTGTGTGCCAGTGGAATCTGCATCCCCGGGAAACTGCAATGTAATGGCTACAACGACTGTGACGACTGGAGTGACGAGGCTCATTGCAGTATGTGACAAGCTGTTTAGGGTTTGTCTGAGTGGACAGGGATTCTCAAATCCTGACAATCATCAGCATTTGTGTAGACTGCTTTTTGTTTGCCTTTCTAAAGCGAGCAAACGTGTTTATCTTCCCCCAGAATGACAGCAGCATGTTTGCACACCTTTCAAAGGCATGGTTTATTAGGAGCTCAACAGGTAGAGGCTGCATTGGAACAGATGAGGGATTGCAGCGTTTTTGCACAAAGTGGTTTAAATTGGGAGAAGGCTTTGGTTTATTTTGATTGGGTGAGAATTTTCATTTTTGTTTATGAGTATAAAGGTCAATTTTTTTTAAAAAAGGACATTTTTATAGCAACATTTTCACCCTAATGATTCTTAACTTTCATGACACAGTAAATACAAAGCCTCTTGTTTTTTTTTTTATGCTTCTTCCAAACCTGGAGATAGTCAATGGCACTAACTGTTTAAAATCCACTAATCAGTAGATTCAGCCTTATGTGTCCTCAATTTATTCCCCATTGATTGATTAGTCATTTTGACTGAATTGGCCAGTGGTTTGTCCAATATAGATTCAGATTTCAAGTTGTTTTGCACTTACAAACTGGAAAGAAGGGGAAAACCATCCTGAAGAAGTACATTGTAATAAACAAAGCTAGTGTCCTATTTGTTCACCCCTAGTAGGTTAAAAAAAGAAAACAATTACACTGAGTAATCTGTATTCAAAACAGAAGTATCTCCAATTAGAACACTACATGCAAGAGTTCTAATTGTTCTTTAAGGGTTATATAAACAGCCACAGTTAGTATGGCAAGAGCTGTGTTTCACTCCTTATGGGAATTGCCAAGATGTAATAAGTGCTTGAGAATACTGATCTTAATCAAAAAATTCTTCTGGTCTGTTTGCCAAATGGACCAACTCATCTTTCATCTGAGTTCTAATTGTTCTTTAAGGGTTATATAAACAGCCACAGTTAGTATGGCAAGAGCTGTGTTTCACTCCTCATGGGAATTGCCAAGATGTAATAAGTGCTTGAGAATACTGATCTTAATCAAAAAATTCTTCTGGTCTGTTTGCCAAATGGACCAACTCATCTTTCATCTGATGGGCTAGGACGCTCCTTTGTCCTGCTGAATGGCAGAACTACTGAATGGCAGTTTATCATGGTAACATTTCAGGTCAGTGTTTCCCAAACTGGTGTTTCATGTAGTATCTGAGTCTGGAATAATGCTTGAAAAAAAAAAACTTTGGGAAATACTATCAGGTCTACTTCTTAGAGGGTTAGAATACACATTTGTATATTAGAGGTTCTGAGAAATTCTGTAGTTTTAAAAAAAGACATTTGCCTAACTTTTTATTTCATCAGAATTATTTCTCATGTGAATCTTCACCTTTATTTATTCATTTATTCATGCATTTTTTATTCTGCCTACTATCTAGCATCCCGTGGAACTTCAATTATGCCACGCATATTTCAGGAAACGTTCTTTTCAGTAAGAAATTTGTGTTTTACGACTTGGAATTTTCTTTTCAAAACAACGCATGGCACACAATTTTACATAAAAACATTTTTGTAGGCTGTGTATTTACACTGGGAAGTGTTGCTGTGGGCTTAGCAGAAGATGCTGTGCAAAGCAGCCAAAATAGGGAACTTTAAATAATTCAATGTAACGATATCCAATTTATGGGAATTTGGTAGAATCTCTAGCTATTCTCCCATTGTGGCCCAAGTTATGGTATTGTTCAAATTCTGCATATGCCTGTATCTCCTGTGGTGGGCCAACTATGGTTTTTATCATATGTTCCTCAATAGTACTGAGCATTGCACTCCAAACCCTGTAAGTGCTTTCTGCTGCATTTGTTAACATTAAATTTGAAGGGGCTAATTTTCCTTGTCAACAACGTGTTACTGTTTTGCAAGGCATTTGCCAATGTCTGAGGAGCTGAAGCATTTATTAAGGAAAATAGATATGGCCCTTTCCCATGAACATATCACAAAAATGATCTTTTGGTCCGTTGGGGAAATACATCCCTTCAGAAAACTTCTGTATGAAAACACAGACATTGAAGGCTTCTTATGCAATTGTTTTTGACCTTACAAGGACATCTGCTTTTGAGCTTTAAGGTTGAATGCTTGTGGTGTTTCAGCATGAGTGTTTATGGAGGGTGCCATACTCCTTTTGTCACCACCCTGTGGTGAAGGAATAGTGTAAGTCTGAATTAGGCCTTGGATGTGAATCAGAGTGAATGCAACCCACAGATACTCATGAGAGGAGAAGGAAGTTTTGCTGTGCGTTCTCAGTGAGGAACAGAAGAAAATGCCTAGTTCCTAAGGTTCTCGCAAGTAGGCAAGAAGGAGGACTGTCAGAGGAGATTATGCTTCTATGGATTAGATGCAAAAATGATCTCTAGCTAAGCACTTGCCTGCTTTTATAAAACATGGGTCATATTAGGTGGCCTGTGTAGTTCATTGAGTTATTAATTTCCTTTTTAGTCAGGTTCAAAGGAAGGGAGAAAAGGGACTTATTATTTGTGAGTTACCTCATAAACTATGCTAGAAGCATTTACCTACATGCTTTGATTTAATTATCAGCATAGGAAGTGTTATCTACCACCTTTTGTACAGGTGCAGAGACAGAGCTTAGGGCAATGAATAAATTTGCCCATGATTCGCTAAATTTGAACCCAGTCTTAAATGGTTCAAAATCTAATGCTTTTTCTTTCAGCTCGTCTGCCTTTGACTTGTCCTTGTCCATAAAAAAGTTCAGATTTAGTGAGATTATACTCTGATCATTCATATTGCAGGAAAATGTTTTAACTGATTTTGATGTATTACGGCTTTCAGAGGTAATTGTTTATTAAAGAGCACTCCAGGTATCTGTGACTTTCTGACTTTCTCCCCTAACTGGTTTTGTCTTGTCAATCTCTTCTTAAGTATTTGTTGGATGAAAAGATTTCCAAACACCTGAAACAATTTTAGTGGTGCAGTAGAAAAATTTTCAAAAACCAGGAAAATTTTAGAAATGTCTACCTCTGTGGCTTTAGGCAGGCCACTTCTGTAACCCTGGCTTTCAGTATCATCATGGATGGCTGCATGCTGGCCTCCTCAGGAAGCCCCATCTGCAGAGATTTTGATTCAGTTTGTCTGCAGTGGGGACCAGGCAGCAGTACTTTTGTAACGCTCTCCAGGTAATTCTAATGGACGGCCAGACTTGGAAGCACCGGGCTAGAAGGTGCTTGGTGTCTCTTTTGTTGTTAAGATTCTATAATCTTTTGAGTCTATAACTGGCTCCTAGAATAGTGCCTAGGACATAGCAAGTGCTTAGTAGATGAATACTTCTTAATTTTAAATTAGAAACTCAAGGAAAACGTTTTCACAGTGAAATAGCTGCCACAAAGTTCACACATTTTATGACACATAAAAACCACTATCAAATATTTTTGAAAATCATTTTCTGTGAATTTTGGGTAAAATTGGTTGACTTATTTTTGAGGATGGTGGCTATCTAATTACACCGAGTGTAATACGGTGTAGTAATGACTACTATAAATTCTTGAGTCAGGCTGCTTAGGTTTCGATCTTACCATTTCCTGCCTCTGATAACTTAGGCAAGTTACTCAACCTCTCTGTGCCTCAGTTTCTTCAGTAGTACAATGGAAACAATAAATAGTGAATATCTCTCAAATTGTTCAGAATAATGATTCACTGAATATAAAGCATATAGACCAATGTCTTGCATGCAGTAAGTCTCAAAAAGCACTAGGATTTGCGGTCGTGACTGTTGTTGTCACTGTTGTTATCTTATTGTTCCTCCACTCCCACCCAGCACCTCTTGTTACTAGGTGCAGAGAATGACCACTGGAAGTCGTGGGGACAGCTGATAATGTCAGCTGATACATGTAAGGAAGAGAGAAACACAAAATATGCACAACAATTTTAAAAGCAGCACCACGTGAAGCTATTTTAGAATGGAGGCAGCCTAAAAAGCACAAAATAAAAATTGATATTCCAAATGATGTTTGAATCATCAAAAATGACTGTATCTATAATAATCTTTCTACTAAGATGTAGCTGCAAGTAAATGCTAGAAATAGTTTCATCAAAATTATAAAAATAAAAAAACTCTATGCTTATGGAAGAAGTACTAAATGTTTGCAAATTTTACTTTTTTGTATAGTGGCAATCTGATTATACTGAATCAATCAAAGTATTGAATATTCTTTAATTCCTACTATGTATGAATCATGTTTTAGCTACCTAGTAAATAGAAAGATACTGTTAAGCCATGGTTTCTTTCTTTATGAGTCTTTTAATCAAATCAGGGAACTAACGTATACACATAGAAACTATTAAATATGTTTTTTAAAATTTTTTTTTGAGATGGAGTCTCACTCTGTCACCCAGGCTGGAGTGCAGAGGTGTGATCTCAGCTCATTGCAGCCTCCACTACCCGAGCTCAAGCAATTCTCCAGGCTCAGCCTCCTGAGTAACTGGAACTACAGGCGTGAGCCACCACGCCAGGCCTGATTTTTGTATTTTTTGTAGAAACAAGGTTTTGCCATGTTGCCCAGGCTGGTCTCAAACTCCTGAGCTCAAAGTGATCAGCCTGCCACAGCTTCCCAAAGTGCTAGGATTACCGGCGTGAACCACTGTGCCCAGCCTAAATATGGTATTTTAAAACAGTATAACACAAGCAATATCACAAAGTCAAAAAAATTGAGGTAAACAAGCAAACAAAAAAAGGCAGCAGCAGGGAGTCCTTCTAGTAAAAAGAGTAAGATTACTAGAAGCTGGATTGCGTAGACAGCTGATGGAAAAGATGGGATTAAAGCTAGGCCTTGCACTCAGGTGATGTTTGTATACTGTGCAACATGATTTTCAATTCTCTAGGTGACATTTTGCAATGCATGGAGACTTTTTTTTATTGTCACAACTGTGAGAGTGGAGGGAGGTGCTACTGGCATCTAGTGGGTAGAGGCCAGAGATGCTGCTAAACAAACTACCCTGCACAGGGCAGCCCCCAACAACAAAGAATTACCCAGTCCAAAATGTCAAATGATACTGCCGTTGAGAAACCCTTTTCTAGAGCTGGAAGCCAATAGTAGAAAGAACTCAGAGAGTCAAGAAGCCTGGTTCTTCTCATGGTTCTGCTGTAAATGAGCTGAGCAACAGTGGACAGACCGTCTAACTCCTCTGGTCATTTCAGAATCAGAGGATTGGATGAAATAACCTCTGGTCCTTTCCATATTTAATCTTCTGTGGGTGGAAACTGAGCATCCGTACTTGCATCTTGAGTTGAGGCAACACATTCATGTTTATAGTCATAGAGACTGTACAGTTGAAAGAAGCCTTTGAGAAAAAGCCTTTCTGTGTGTTAGTTTTCTGCTCTAATTTAACAATAATTTTGAGAGACAAGAATTAATAGTGTGCGTATGAGATGCCAAACTGAAATCAATATTAACATGCAAGAATTTCAGAAGAAACATTTTGTATCAAGCTCTCCTTAAGAAAAAAAAAGGTGTGTCTAGAAAAACATCTACCTTAGGCCATGCAAAATTATGCTTGTTATTGAGCAAGAAAATCACAGCAAGCAGCTTTTTCAAATTTTGATTTGCTGGCCCCAAATTGCACTGACAACATCTCTTTCCAGGTCAAATAAACATTTATTTCAGTAAAAGGAGACACTGTGATCTTTGCCATTTGCTACTGTATTTGCATTTGCCATTTGTATTTCTGGCTTTGCAGTGCCTCTGGTTAAGGTTTTGCGTGTTTACTAATCACACAGACCTTAGGGAAGTAACAGATTGTTTTCCAAATGCAGCTCATTTTGTATCTCACTTCTAAAAATGGCTTCTAACCAAGCAAGTTATAATAGTAGAAAGTTGAATCCACACCTGGGAGAACAATGAGGATTTTTAAAAAATGCCTGAATCCTCTCCATTTATAAAGTAATTTAATAAATGAGGACATCAATTTTTAAAATATCTCCAATGCAGTGTTTTAGTATGAATTACCAGGGGTCCTAGAATGGGCCTCATAGAAGACAAATAAACTTTTGGAAATTTTTGGTGTGTTCTTAGGTTAATCAGATTCTGAAAGGGGTATTTGATTCCCTAGTAGTCCTACTGTCAAAAAAAGTGAGTGTAGTGCTTACAAAGAAATTAACTCCTAGGGTTTAAATTGTGCTGAAACACTGTCCCCCATCCTCTGGGCGAATGCATGCGTATACTTTGCACTGATCGTCAAGTTGAGAAGCCTTATTTCCCGGGCTATTGCTGATTCTAGCATGTTGACTCAAAACTTCCCACAAGAGTAATTTAGATTAAGACAAAAAAACATCAAAAAGATCTTTTAGAATTTCACAAGGTAGTGTATATATCTTGATGCACGAATTCCCCAGATCTACCCTGTGGGCAGAAGAACCAGTGTCATAACCTTTCCACTCAGCTGTCACATGTGTTGTAGCCTCATTCAGCAGTGGGGGTGCAGGGTGGGGAAATAGCGCCCTCTGCTGAGTGGGATAAAATACCGTTGTCAAGGTGATCGCTAGGACTTCTTAGTTCTTATATTTTCCCTTATGGTGGCTGTCCTTATTTGAAAATTATTCAGGCTGGGGGAAGTGAAAAATAAAAAGTACTTACAAAGTTCTGTATGCTTATAAGTATGGACTTACGTGTATATATGCGTGTGTGTGTCTGTGCACATACACACCTTCCTAATGAAGACACTGAACAGGTGATTTCTAAGGCCCATTCCATTCCTAAAATGATGTGATTCTAAAAACTTTAAGTTGTTTTTTTTTTAGAAGAGTGCTTTTTTGAAACAGTAATTTATGATTCATGTATATGTAAGTGTCATATTTTGGCAAGCCTAATGTTTTAACTGATCAATGCCAAAGGCTTTGGATAACGAATCGTCATCTAGTATGGGATGTTTACAGTAAAGTGGTGGCTGCTACTTGTATGAGATACAGGCTTCTGCTTGAGGAGAAACAATCAGCTGGAATTCAGGAGATTGAACCACTGACTGCTTGATTTCTGGCCTTCATCAGCCAAGTAGACTGATCTTCAAACGTGCCCTATTTTTTTGCCTCTTTCCTTTGTTCTTGCTATTTCATCTGCTTGAAATATGCTAAACTTTTCATTACATCCACCCTATTGAAATTCCGCCTATTTTCTGTATTCCTTCTCCAGCCTTAAGCAAACTGTTTTGCACTTAATTTACTTTAAATAAGGGAAATAAAAATATACTTAAGAAATCTAGTTTCTGTAAAATGCAGATTTCTTTACATATATTGATTTTAAACATTTTTACAGCTTTATTGAGGTATAATTTACATCCTATAAATTTCATCTATTGATTTTTAGTAAACTTATAGAGTTATGCGACTAACCGCACAATACAGTTCTAGAATGTTTGCATCTCCCCCAAAATTTATCTCCCACACATTTGTAGTCAGTCACCAATTCTAATCCCTCAGCTACTGTAACTACTTCTCAGATTTCTGTTTCTATAAATTTGTTTTTTCTGGGAATTCCATAAACGAGTCATATAATATGTAATTTTTGTATCTGATTTCTTTCACACAGCGTAACTTTTTGGGGTTCATCCATACTGTCACATATATTGGTAGTTTCATCCTTTTAATCACCGAGTAGTATTTCACTGCATGAGTATTACGTTTTGTTTGTCCATTCCAGTTAGTGAGTAGTTGGATTTTTTTCCAGTGTTTGGCTTATGAATAATGCTGCTGTGAACATCTATATATAAATCTTCATGTGGATATATGTTTAATTTATCTTGGGTAGATTCCTAAGAGTGGAATTCACAAATTAATTGTATGGTAAGGTTGCAGTTACCTTCATAAGAAACTGCCAGTTTTCCAAGGTGGCATTATTATTTTAGTCTCACCAGAGATCCATGAGATTCATTTTCTCAAAATCCTTGCCAATACTTGCTATTATCCATCTTTTCCATTGTAGCCATTTTAAGGGATGTGTAGTTATATCTTCTTGTGGTTTTAATTTGCCTTAGCTTATTTTTTTTTCTTTTGTTTTGTCCTGCCCTCTCACCTCCCGCTGCCTTTGCTTAATGACTAATAACGTTGAGCACCTTTTCATGTGTTTTTATGTCTTTCATGAAGACTTTCTATTCAAGTCTTTTGACCATTTATAATTGAATTCTTTTTCGTCTGATTATTGAATGTAAGAGTTCTATAGAGACTCTGGATATCCAAATTTCTTTATCATACATATAATTTGCAAATATTATTCTAGTATTGTCCCAATACCGTTTGTTGAAAAGAACATTCTCTTTCCATTGAATTGCCTTACACACACTATTTCATTAAACTCTTCTTTCAAACCCTATTAAGTGGCTGATTTTGTCCCAATTTCATACATCAGTTCACAGACTCCTAGACTTGAACTAACAATAACACACTAAAAGTCCCACAGCTAGTAGATGGCAGAACCAGGATAGGAGTTCTGGTTTACCCAAGGACAAGACTTTATTTTCCTATTAAAATCAGGAAACCATTTGCCCTGGATGTTGTTTATTTCAACATTAAACTATAAGCATCCTGAGATTACATAGCACTTCTCATCTTGCCACCATAGTCTTTGGACAGTACTTGCTTATTTGAGGATTGCATTATGAAACACTCAATTGACTTAAGCAGTAATGTTTATGTGAAAGGAAATAATAACTCCATAATCTAAATGACTTATTTTATTTGTTATGTTTATGCTTTCTACTGACAAACCTAGACTTCAACTCTAAAGAAAACATAAGAGTTACTAAAGTCTATTCTGCATGAACAAGAACTTCATTAGGAATGATGGTGAACTGAGAATGTCTTTTCTCATCTTTAACAATCAAGGATCGTTCAGGTGACATAAAATAGAAGTCAGAGAAACACATCAGAAAGTGATAAAATCACTTGGCTTGGGAGCCACTGTTCAAGTGGCCTTGAACAGGTCGTTGTATCTCTGTGTGCCACCTTCTCACCTATAAAACAATAGGTGTGGACCAGGTTACCATTAGGGTGTCCCTTCCATGATTGGCTTTTGTTAAATATCGTACTACAATAGCATTCTGTATGGCTCTGATGACACACTGGTGGCTTCTTTTATTTGCAGACTGCAGCGAGAATCTGTTTCACTGTCACACAGGCAAGTGCCTTAATTACAGCCTTGTGTGTGATGGATATGATGACTGTGGGGATTTGAGTGATGAGCAAAACTGTGGTAAGTAGCATTGTTTCCCCAAAGGTTTTAATTTAAAATCATAGAAATTTATAACCAAAAACTTACAGTTCATTATGTGTTAATATGATTAGCAGTTTAAATTACAAAATGATTGGTTTCTTGTTTTTTAGAAGGAGGAAGTTTGTTCAGTCACTGTCCTCAGTAATGTCTTATGTGTAAATGTAATACCTAAAAAATCATATTAAGAAAATGTTTAAGAAGTGGGATGGGAAGACTGGTAAAGGTTGTTAATGCATTAATAGTTTTTTTTCCTCTCCTCAAATGTGTTCTGTTTCTCCTCTGGTTAGAGCCAGTGGCTTACGTTAGATTTGGGCTTTTGAGCAAACTTTGAGGGCAGATATATTGTCTGTGCCTGATTCCCTTGGTACATGTGACTGAAGTCCCCTCCTTTATTTAATCCTCAAATAGTACAGGGACCACCTGTTCAGCAGCTACACCCAGGGTTAGGATGATGCATTTGTTTTGTGTACACATGGTGATCTTATCTTTTAAAGAATAACCCCACTTTTTAAAGAGTCATGTCCAATTCTGAATGCCATCTCATGAATTAAAATCAGCAAAATTCCTCTTGCTCATTTACTTTTTTGGCTTTGTGACTAGCTTCAGAATTTTTAGGTAGCATATTATTGAGTGACGTAGGAACTTTGCAACATGAACAAAAGGGCAAACTGGGATGAGGATACACCCTGGACAAATGATATCAGACAATGTCCTGCATTAGATAACATCAAAATGAATGTTTGGGAAGGATCAGCGGTATGGTCAGAGGAAGGCATTGGAATCATGAATGTTAGGAATAACCCCATGCTGGGAAACCTGGTGGTTTCTAGGAGCGCTGTCTAGCTGCCACTTGCTGTATCTGTAAAAATATTTTAAAATGTATGTGTACAAACCATTCCTGTGTGACTAGATAGAGGTGGGTTATTGCTTTTTTCTGATAATAGTTTATTTTTATTTTATTTTGACTAATAATAGTTGTACATATTTATTGAATACAGCATGATATTTTAATACATGTATACAATATGTAATGATCAAATCAGGGTAATTAGTGTATCCATCACCTCAAACATTTATCATTTCTTTGTATTAGGAACATTCAGAATCTTCTCATTTAGTTATTTGAAAATATGCAATAAATTATCATTAACTATAGTCACCATCCAGTGCTATAAAAACCTACAACTTGTTCCTCCTATCTAGCTGTAATTTTGTATCAGTTAAACAATCTCTGTCTCTCTCTCTCTTTTTTTTTTTTTTTTTTTTTTGAGATGGAGTCTTGCTCCATCACCCAGGCTGGAGTGCAGTGGCGCTATCCCGGCTCACTGCAATCTCCGCCTCCCGGGCTCAAGTGATTCTCCTGCCTCAGCCTCCTGAGTACTTGGGACTACAGGTGTGTGCCACCACGCTCAGCTAATTTTTGTATTTTTAGTAGAGATGGGGTTTCTTCATGTTGGTCAGGCTGGTCTCTAACTCCTGAGCTCATGATTTGCCTGCCTCGGCCTCCCAAAGTGCTGGGATTACAGGCATGAGCCACCGCACCTGGCAGCAATCTCTCTTTGTCCCTCCTCCTCCATACCCTTCTGGCCTCTAGTAACCACTGTTCTACTCTCTATTTCCATGAGATCAACTCTGCATATGAGTGAGGGCATGTGGTATTTCTGTTTCTATGCCTGGCTTATTTCACTAAACAGAATGTCCTCCAGGCTCATCCATGTTGCTACAAATAACAGGATTTTATTCTTTTGGCGTGGCTGAATAGTATTCCATTGTGTAGATGTACCATATTTTCTTCTCCACTCATTTTTTGATGGCATAAATTGATTCCATATCATGGTTATTGTGAGTAGTGCTGCAGTGAATGTGGGGGTGCAGATGTCTGTTTGATATACTGATTTCCTTTCCTTTGGGTATATGCCCAGTAGTGGGATTGCTGGGTTATATGGAAGTTCTATTTGTAGTTTTCTCAAGAACCTCCATATTGTTTTCCATAATGACTATACTAATTTACATTTAGATGTGGGTTATATCCTGGGACTGACTAGTCTTGAGAAAAAGGATGAGAGGAAATTGTAATTATATAGATCACAGAAATTATAGTTGCAGGAGGCCTTGGAGATCATCAGATTCAACCCTTCCCTTTACCAGTGAGATAATTAGGAAATGCAGGGGATTGAAAATGAGTGAGTGTCGTTTGGTAGTTGGATAGGTTAGTGGAGAGGGCCAGCATGCAGGTAGCATGTGAGAAAAAATGGTCTTAACAGGCAACAGAATTCCTCTGAAGATAGCAGGCTATCATGAAGTTTGTGTGTCTGGATGCCAGTTGTCTCCATCTAATAGCAATAATTATCACTTTCCTTCAGACCAGCCTCTGCCCTGGCTCCCTGTGCTCTTCTGGTTCCTGCCCAAGCACTTCTTATGCTTTTCTTCTTTTCTCAAACCTATGTCCTCCCTATACTTTCCTCTGTTGATCCAAAATATGCTTTAAGATCCATGGTCACTCCGGAAGTCTGTCTATGACCATGGCACTGTTACTAGACTCATCATACTTTCTCATGGAATCTATTATTCATGAATCCACATACATCTTCTAAAACACTGCTTATATTCAGGGTATACCACCTCTCATGGCAAAGCATCCTATGGATTCTGCCCTTTGTGAGAGCGAACTTATCACTTAGTTCTTTTTCACTAATATATAAATTGGGACAAAGTTGAAGTCCAGGCTAAAAAGAATCATGAATATAACATAAATATTTTGCATGGCTTACCTAGCAGTTCTTTTGGATATAAGGCCAGGCATGCTGGCATATTCCTTGTAGTCCCAACTACTTGGAGGCTGGGGTGGGAGGATCACCTGATCCTAGGAGGTTGAGGCTGCAGTGAGCTATGATCACACCACTGCACTCCAGCCTGGGAGAAAGAGAGAGACCTTGTCTCAAAAAAAAGATAATCAATTAAAAACTTAAGCTTAGCATCAGGAGAGATGACAAGGAGATACGTGCCTTCCCAATTTGCCAGACAGGTAAGTTATAATTCCTAGAAACGTGAGAGAGCTGTTACAGATACATCAAATCCGCTAGCCGCATTGTGAAACACAAATCACAGTTCTGTTTTTTGAACCAGGGTAGAAATCATAAATTTTTCATAAGGAAAGAAAATGACAACTAAAGAAAACAAAAGCCAACAACAATAAGAACAAACTACGGGTCCTGGGGCAGCTAGAGTAGTTACTTATCTGAAAAACAGACCCATCTTACCCCACAGTGATGGTGGTCAGTGGGGCACATGAGTGGGGAGGGCGTGGCATTTTAATTGGGCCAGACCTATTGTAGAAATGTTATTGAAGGTATTGGAGCCATTGGAACAGACTCTCTTCGATGGGAACTGGGAGCCATAGAATCCTGCCTGTTAGTCATGCTGGTTCTCTGCATCCTCGTGAGTTTTCATTTCTCCAGATTGCAATCCCACAACAGAGCATCGCTGCGGGGACGGGCGCTGCATCGCCATGGAGTGGGTGTGTGATGGTGACCACGACTGTGTGGATAAGTCTGACGAGGTCAACTGCTGTGAGTGCTCTGAGGACGTTTGTTTTGCTTATTTTTCCATTTCTGGTTCTTTAGGCTGTACTCAAGGTTGAGGACTGTACTTAAGACTCACTATATACACAGCATTCCAAGGGAAAGATTCTTATGCTTTGGTTCTAGCCTGTAAAGATCACTGAGTCATGGGATGACAATAGCAATGGAGTGTATCTGACTTCCACACCTCTCCCTGCAAAACTCCAAGCTTCATTTGGCTGATCTAGCCAAGTGGGTGTCTGTTTTCTCTCTCGTTGCTCCATATGTCTCTTTTATGCTTCTGTGACTTTGTCAAAGGTGATGCTCTGCCCACAGAATGGGGAACCTTTCTTCTGCAAACAATACATGAGTAGTTAAGCTTCCCTGCAGGAGTGCCCTAACATGTTTTCAGGGGCCATTTGTGGAAGAACATGGAAAGAATCGTCAGAGAGAAGAGAGCCTTTAATGTTCATATGATGATACAAAGAGAGCATAATAGGCCGGGCATGGTGGCTCACGCCTGTAGTCCCAGCACTTTGGGAGGCAGAGATGGGTAGATGACCTGAGGTCAGGAGTTTGAGACCAGCCTGGCCAACAGTCTCTAGTAAAAATACAAAAATTAGCTGGGTGTGGTGGCAGGTGCCTGTAGTCCCAGCTACTCAGGAGGCTGAGGCAGGAGACTGGCATGAACCAGGGAGGTGGAGATTACACTGAGTCAAGATCAAGCCATTGCCCTCCAGCCTGGGTGACAGGGTGAAACTCCATCTTTAAAAAAAAAAAAAGAGAGAACGTAGTAATAATATAAATTTATAAACTGTTGTGTTTCTGTGTGAATGAAAATCTTCAGACAGTTGTTATACTTCAAACTAATAACAAGTATGGCTATTAACACTTTTTCCCCCTGGAAAATATACTATACCCATTAGAGAATAATATACATGATTGAATAGAAGCTGTCAGGTCTTAAGAGAGAGTGCAGTTGACCTGAAAGAGTTAATGTGATATGTTCTTTTGCATGTTTGAATTAATTATACTTTTCATTTCATCTTTTTGTGTCTAGTAAAAGTAAGAAAGTTGATTATATACATGAGATTGAATATTTAATTGGCTTATAATTTGAGGCAAAAATAGAAATGTGGATTACATAGTTTTTATTTTGACATAAGAAAAGTCATATAAAAAGTCACAATGCGTAGCTCTCCTCTTCCCTGAAATGGATTTGAAGTGGGATGTCCTCCGAGTCCTTGCCTAGTGGACACAGTGGAACAGAGTGGACTGTATCTCACTAGATCTTGGAGAAGCAAGGACATGGTGCTCAGGTAGAACACTTCTGGTGTGGAGTCTTGACTCAAGAACAGAGAGGTCATAATATTAGTAATTCAGTGAAGGCTGAGGTCACATGATCCATGGGTTTCCGATACTCTAAAAGACAATAGGTATAGAATTTAGAGAACCGATAGGAATTAGAAGGTTAATGGATATTAGGCCATCCCTTTCAAATATCAGTTGTCATAAACAAGTGTTGAAATAAAGTGTTTATTATGTGTTAGTTACTATGCAAGTTCTTTCCCATATACTATTTTGTTGGCTTATGAGGTCAAGTAGATAAATAATGAAATATTGGGGCTGAGAGTCCAAAAAGCTTGCCTTCACATTCTGGCTGTAGCTCTTAGCCATGGGACTTTGAGCAAGTACTATGCTCTGTAAACTTTAGTTTCTCATCTGTAAAACAAAGATGATAGTATCTACTTTACAAGATTTATATGAGAATTTGAGATTATATATACAATGCAGTTAGCACAGCTCTTGCCATATAATGAACCCTTTACAAATTGTCATTTTTATTAGTAAGTAGGATCATGATACTTCCATCACTAAAAACAATCACACAGTTCTCAAGAAAAAGTTAATCTTGGTAAGTGCTGTTCAATAAGGCAGGAAAAATTCTAGAAATAAAATCAATGATATGTTCATTTGTGTGTGCAGAACACCTTGTTTCTTAGCGATGCTTGATAAATGGCTGTTGCTTATTTGATGTGCAGATTGAGAGAGAAGAATTAATAAATAAAGTGAATATTGTTATGGTCCTTCCTAGCCTGTCACAGCCAGGGTCTGGTGGAATGCAGAAATGGACAATGTATCCCCAGCACGTTTCAATGTGATGGTGACGAGGACTGCAAGGATGGGAGTGATGAGGAGAACTGCAGCGTCAGTAAGTGTGTCCCACCACCCCAGAACATTCCTTTACTGGTGGTCCTCTCCTTGGGAACAAAGGAACACATTTGAAGTTGCTTAAGTAGGATTCCCATGTAAATAATCCCAGATTGCCTAACATAGTGGTCCTCACAGCCCTAGTCAGCCAGGAAACACTTTCTTGTGCTAAACATAATTCTCAAGCAACTTACACTGAAAATCATTCCTCAGGTGAGACACCTGAACAGCATGGTCAGATTCACTTAACTGTTCGATGGGGAAAGCCGTGATAAAGAGAGAAGTTTAGTGTATAGCATCCAATTAAATCAGATTAGATTCCAGTGAGAAGAAATTGGCTTCTGAAAGGAAATGTAATGTCTTCCTAAAATAATCATGTTCAGAGAAGCAGTTTAATGCCTCTTATTACCGAGCAATACACTTTAAAAGGATTTGATATCTGCGTGTGAATCTCAAAAAGAAAAACTAGATCCAATAAATTGTTTTTTAAATGTAACTATTTCTGTCAGAAAAGAAAGTTCTATGCAGCTCCAGTGTGTGTGGAAGCCTCTCAGTAGGGTCCAGGGAAGAATATGCCTAGACTCAAACATCACATTTGTTTATACTACACGGGCACAGCCTAGTTGTTAATAACATGATTGTTGCAGCCCTGATACCCAGGATCAAGCCTCGGTCTGCTACTTACTATATGGTGACTTTTGGCAAGATACTTACATCCCTTTTAGGTCTCAGTTTGCGTGTCTGTACACTCAGAATAGTGATAACTACTTCATAGTGTTGGCATATGGCAAAAACTCAATATATGTGAGCTTTTATTACATGGCTACTACATTAAAGCATATCTTGGGCTGTGTATATTCATAATCAGCCAATGAGACTGGTCACCTATAGATAAATTAGGTTTGTCGTAATGCATATTGATCATTAGAATAACTTTAATGGAAAAATGCCCAAGACCTAAAGGGAGAGCTTTTCAGTCACAGACTTATTACATAAAAATAATATATAAAGAGTGCTTTGTTTTACCAGTTTTTAAATTCAGAATGAAATCCTTTATTAAACGTAATTTATTGTGTGCATATCAACCGAGCACTTCCGTTTGCATCAAACTATTCTTTCTTTCTGTATAATTCAACTCTGAAATAATTTTGGATTTTTCATGATGAAATGGCAGGCTTTGTAGATTATTTCCTTACATGTGTGAGATGTAAGAAAGTCATATGATAAAACAGATTTAAAAGTAAAATTTTAGTATTTTTATATTGTTCACTTTAATGGATTCAACTCAAAAAATGTATATTGTGGTGTTTATATGTGGCCATCCCCTGGGAATTCAGTGGTAAGCAAAACCGCTGATGGAGCTTGCAGACTCCTGGGGGACATAGGCATGCTACGAATTATTAGGCAAGTCAATGCTTAACCATGCAGCAACAGAGGCTAAGAAGGGAAATTCAGGGTGCTTGGATGCCCTTAATAGGGTGCATGCCCTGGTAAAGCGCCTCAGACAAAGCTTCCCTGAGGAAGAGATACTGGAGCTCAGACCTGAAGGATGAGTGGGGTTAACCAAAAAGAACGGGGCTTGAAAAAGCAATTGAGACACAAGGCACCGCTTGACCAAAATTCCTGTGGTGGGAAGGTGCAAGGCATGTGTAGGAGGACCATGAGAGAAGGCAGACCATTGTGATTAGAGAGCTGAGAACGAAAGGGGGCCTGGTACTAAATACTACATAATTGTCAGCATGGGTTGCAGGTTTGTTCTGCTAGACAGAGCTGGAAAGGGAAGCAGGGGCCACTTCTCTGGAGACTTTGGGTCTTGCTGAAGAGTCAGGCCTTTGAAACTCTTCAGGCTCTGTCCCTGCCTATCTGTCTAGCCTCTCTCAGCCCCTTTCTCAGTGGTTGAAGCTCCAGTTACTTTGACCTGTGCACTTCCCTATTCTAGGCCTTTGCATGTGCTGTTTCTTGGCTTGGGAAACCCATCCTTTCCTCTTACCATGACTTGGAAAAGTCCTTTGAGAAACTTCCCCATACTGGTCTCATTGGCTTCTACTGCTCTTTAAATGTATTTTAGCTGGGCGTGGTAGCACATGCCTGTAATCCCAGCACTTTGGGTGGCCGAGGCAGGAGAATTACTTGAGACCAGGAGTTTGAGACTAGCCTGGGCAATATAGCAAGACCCCCATCTCTATGAAACAATAAATAAGTAAAAATAAATATGTCTTCCATAAAGCAGTGATCACACAGCATCAGAAGGTTTTGTTCAGGATGATACCTCTATCAGAGCACAAGCCACTTCCCAGGGGGTATTATGCCCTTTTATGTTTTAATGCTCAGTGCCTAGCTTGTCACATAGATTGTCACATGGCATGCACTTAATATTTGCCAAAATAATGAATGCATGATGTCAATAAAACCTCCTCAAGAGCCTAAACTCACAGAAATTGTTTAGGTTTGCTTTGAGAAAAAATTTTGACCCTGCTGACATTAAAAAAAGAGTGACATCTCTTTTCTGCAAGGCTTTGTGTATTAATTTGCACATTAGTGGTACTGGAAAGGATAAATATTTCAGTATAATAAACATCATCTTAGAATTATAGGTAAGAATGATTATACATACACACATACTATTATTTATACTTAAAAGTGCCTTGCAAGGTTGACTAGATTCCAGATGACATGCCTGAAGGTAATTGATCGTAATGGGGGAGAGAGTGAATGGGCAGTAATTTATTACCTTCTCCATTTAATCTACAAATGACCAGGGAATCAAGGAAAAGCAGTTTCCTCTCTACCTACCTTAAGGAAAAATCATTAGGGCAAACACTGATACTACTGCTGTCATTCACTTAGAAACAAGAAACCCAGTTCTCAAGTCATCACAGCTAGGCTGATGACACTTTCCAAGGACATATTGAAAATATGGATAACAGCTGCATAACACTTGTATTATGGTAAAGTATCCTTATTGTATTGGTGTTGATGCCCTATTTATTACTAGAGAAAGCATTTTCCTTAGAGGGAGACTAGAATTGGGAGCAAATGAGTCTTAAAAAAGTGTCACTTAATATTCAGAATTTCAAGATTTTTATAACGTTCTCTGTCCCTCAAATCTCTTGAATTTTATTTTGTAATCAAGTGTTGGCACCCATGTAAAAAGAAAACACTATTTTTTTCCCATTAAATGCAACAACCACCTGTTTTTAGTGTAGTTTGTCTCTTATTTCTTCATTCCTATTTTGGAATACCTGGATTGTATTTAATTACCAGGAAAATGAATCCAGAAAGCACCTATTCAACGTACGTTCAATACTTTTGGAGAAATTGGAAGGAAATTAAAGTTGTGTTATTCCTCAGCTCCATCAGACATTCCTGATCTTTTAGATCCTTAGGTAAGGAATTTGTAGATGATGAAAGCCAATGTGCCTTTTCCTCCCTCTGTAGTTCAGACTTCATGTCAAGAAGGAGACCAAAGATGCCTCTACAATCCCTGCCTTGATTCATGTGGTGGTAGCTCTCTCTGTGACCCGAACAACAGTCTGAATAACTGTAGTAAGTACAACAGCTGACAAATGCAATAGCCATGTCAGGGCATGCATTCAGCATTTTTCTTCTGCATTGACATTCAAATACTGAAGTCTGGAATCCCTCCAAAAAAGCCTACCTATTTTCTTTTTCTTTTTAAAAGGTCGCATGTGGTAGCAGTAAAGAAACCAAATGGTCTTAATTAACTTCAATCAGAAACAAATGTGTCATTGCGAACGCCTATAAGTCCACATTGCTTAATATCATTACCATTACTTTCAACTCAGCATTAGTTCTCTGTATTATTTTCTTGGCTCCATCTGTAGGCAGATGCTATCTTTCTTCCTTTTTAAAGCATAGCTTCAAAAATGGAAACTTTAACCAAGAAGCAAATATGAAGTTCATAGAAATAGCCACATACAACTTTGGCAATCTGTTCTGTTTTTTTTGAGACACACTCTCACTCTGTCACCGAGGCTGGAGTGCAGTGGCCCCATCTTGGCTCACTGCAACCTCTGCCTTCCAAATTCAAGTGATTCTTCTGCCTCAGCCTCCACAGTAGCTAGGATTACAGGCGCTAAACACCCTCAGTGATCCATCTGCCTGGGCCTCCCAAAGTGCTGGGATTATAGGCAGTCGGTTCTTTTAATGAAATTTATTCTCGCCTTTCCAGGAACTCTGATGACCTGTAATGGTTTCGGAACCATTAGGCTAATTTGTTTCGGTGACAGTGTAACAGCTCCAAACGGTGTAAGCAGGTGGCTCTAAAATGACTTTCAGGAGGAGGAGTTATTTGGGGAAGACAGAATGGGCGGAAGTGAAAGAGCACCCTATGGACTCTCATGGAAAATGGAATCAGAAAATCCCCAGCGACTGATTTCTAGTAATGATTTCTGACTCCTGGGCTCTGTTTTCATGTTATACTCGCTTCTTTCACTTTTTCTAATGAACTTTTTGCTGCATTTTCAGGTTGGGATTAGAAATTTAAAAGCAGGTCAGTCAGTTTTCAGTTGGCAAGAGGATATTCCTTTTTTTTTTTTTTCTGAGACAGAGTCTGGCTCTGTCACCCAGGCTGGAGTGCAGTGGCACGATATCGGCTCACTGCAACCTCCGCCTCCCAGGTTCAAGCGATTCTCCTGCCTCAGCCTCCCAAGTAGCTGGGATTATAGGCACACACCACCACACCCAGCTAATTTATTTATTTATTTATTTATTTATTTATTTATTTATTTATTTATTTTTTGGTAAAGATGGCGTTTCACCATGTTGGTCAGGCAGGTCTCAAACTCCTGACCTCAAGTAATCCACTGGCCTTACAGGCGCGAGCCACTGCACCCAGCCAGGGTATTACTTCTTAACACATGTCCTCTCAGTCTAAGGCCCTTGGAAGCTGGGATGCTGAAAGTCTTCGGCCTTGCATTTGCTGCAGTTTCGCGGTCCTAATTTTTCTGGGTCACTGTAGAGCTTATAGTGAGTACCTCTATAACTGTTACAGAGTCTCAAGGGGGTGAAAAAAGGAGGCTGGGAAGGGGGTGTAGGCAGGCAGCTAATTAACCCAGACTGACAGGATTGACTGTGGCATTTAATAACTCTTTGCCTGGAAGCACATGCCCACCCCTCCTCCATTTCCCATATGAGAGAACAGTAGATATTAGTCAAGCCACAAAGTCAACACACTCAAACTGCCATTTTACTTCCTCTAAACTGATTTAAATAGAAACTGATTTAAATAGAACATATCTATAGATATGCATATATATGTGTATATATGTGTGTATATATATACACACACACACACACGTATAACATATTTGGGCCACTGTTTCCATTGTTTCATTTTACTCGTCTCTCAATCTGCCGTGGAAATTTTTCAGAGCGATTTCCTTACTTCACCTTCAACTTAAATAGTGACAGTGTCATCTCAAAGACATGTGTTTACTATTAAAGTTTTGGGGGTTGTTTGACATGGAATGACACTTACTATTAGACTCAAAAATGTAGAAAAGGCAATGTTAGCCTGTGTCAAATTTGGGTAGGAAGTGACTGGGTGTATGTTATCCTATTTTCTCTATATTTGAAATATTTCGAATTTTAAATATTTAAAATATGTTGTCTCCTGTCAAAAGAATAAATTGTAGGAAAGGCAACTGGATAACTCTTGGCTCATAGAGCTGACCAATATTTGTAGTGTGTACATGATGTTCCAAGCATCGGGATGGGCGCTGGGCTTTCTAGTGGTGGAGAAAGGAGACAGGCTTCTAGCTTCTTAGAAGTCACTTTTCAGTGTGGGAGAACATATTGTCATCTTCCCACTGATATATTCTACACTGTTGTTCTCTTTAAGCTCTTTAAATACACTCAGTTTACCTAGTGTCTCACTGTGTCACCAGCTTCCTCATTCATCATGTATATTCTTGCCAACTTCTCTCCACATATATTCAGCAAACGTTTGCACCTGCTCTCTTCTGAGTAAAAGCCACTAGGCTAGCCACTTGCCCTCATTACTCCTGTGTTATTAAAAATGGCACATAGGCCGGGCGCGGTGGCTCACGCCTGTAATCCCAGCACTTTGGGAGGCCGAGGCGGGTGGATCATGAGGTCAGGAGATTGAGACCATCCTGGCTAACATGGTGATACCCAGTCTGTACTAAAAATACAAAAAAAAAAATTAGCCGGGCATGGTGGCGGGCGCCTGTAGTCCCAGCTACTCAAGAGGCTGAGGCAGGAGAATGGCATGAATCCAGGAGGTGGAGGTTGCAGTGAGCTGAGACCGTGCCACTGCACTCCAGCCTGGGTGAGAGATCGAGATTCCGTCTCAATAAAAAAATAAATAAATAAAAAATAAGGCGTATGTGCCTAACTTGCAGTTGAAAGTCAAGATGTTATTCCTGATCTTTCAAAGAACTTCAAGATGATATATGCATACTTAGGTCTCTGTAAGGACAAACAAGTGGCATCTCAGAAAATCCTTCATACATTTGAAAATATGGTTCATTACTTGAAGATGTTTACCACTATCAAGAGACTAGTATTACTTAGCTTCTGAGGCACAAATGAACAGTAATTTCTTAGTCTGCTTGATGCCAAAGGAAAATTTGAGTTTGGAGAATGTAGTAGATATTCTGTCTGGTGGAGACAGCCTCTCACTGGAGTTGCCGGGATTCTTGTCCTTGAAGACTCTGATTCTTGCCATCCCATAAAATATTATGTGATTTTCTAATGGTCGCTAAAGATATATTGGGTGGGACCCAGTCATCAGTATTTTTTAATTCTACAGATGACTTCAATGTATAGCCAAGGTTGAGAATGTATTGCTCTAGTGCCTATTTATGACTGGGCTGCAGGGGTATGTGAGAACTTTGAAATAGAATATGAAAAGGTTTGTGTATTCCCATGTGCATTTTTCAGTGGAGAAGCTTATTTTAAATTCACAGAAGTGCCTACAGCTTTTTTAAAAAGCCTAAAAACCACATTTCTTATGATACATAGTTTTTTCAAGAAATAGCTTTTAGCAGCCTGTGTTGCCATGTCCAGTCACAACCCAGCATCTTTAACATTTCTGTGCCATGTTGGGAGGCAAAATACAGATGTGTCCTTGCCTTTGAGGGTAGGAGCAGGAATGCTATTCTCCTCATTCCGGTGTGGAGGGACTAATCCATCACTTCTCCCTTGTGGTATGCAATCCAGACAATGGGGAGAACCTGCAAAAGCGACTCCTGGGCATGTCTCTCCTGCCTCCCTGTGCCCATGCTGACCATGGCTGTGAAATCCAGGCATGGCTGTCATGTCCCAGGCCCTCTCTCAAGCCTCCCACAGTGTTCGTCAACCTTTAGTTTTACGCTTACTCGTGCATTTTCCCCTCTTATTCAACACCAAGGAAGAAATGAACAGGTTTGCTTTTTGAATAATTCCCTAAGGGTCTAGCAATTTCCTACTCTCTCTTTGCAAGCTTCAGTTGGTAGGAGTAAACGGTGTAGTCATGTGGTAGAGAAGCCAATCACTATAATGGTTACAGACTTCTGTCCTTAGGAGCAAATAGTAGAAGAGAGGAATGATGTATTTACAAAAGCATTTCCATGTGCATTTTCTAATAAGTGAAAAAAAGATTGAATACAATATTACCATTTGGTAACACGTTGAATTAATGAATGAAGACATGGAGCATCTACAGCTGCTAACATCACAAAAAGAGGGAAATCAGAATGATGTGGCTTCTGGTGAAAGAACAGCTTAGCCACTTCTAGTCTTGTGAATGGAATGAAGCCCAGCCCACTCTTGTTGATTCAGCTGCCGAGGTTCAGAAATAGAAAGAATGGGGAACGTGTTTAACTTCACCAGGAGTGTGCGATAAGCAAGATTCAAAAGCTGGTATACCCTACAAGTCAAATGTCTGGGTTCTTCTATAGTTAAATTATAAAGAAAAACAAAAGAATGGAGGAGGAACCCAAAGACTACGAGAGACTTAAAAGACAGGACAAGTTTCAAAAAATGGGCAAGCCTAAATTACAATATCCAGGGGTGGTACACACTTAGGTAATAAAATTATAAAGAAGCCGGGTGCGGTGGCTCACGCCTGTAATCCCAGCACTTTGGGAGGCCGAGGCGGGCAGATCACAAGGTCAGGAAATTGAGACCATCCTGGCTAACATGGTGAAACCCCATCTCTACTAAAAATACAAAAAAATTAGCTGGACGTGGTGGTGGGCACCTGTAGTCCCAGCTACTCGGGAAGCTGAGGCAGGAGAATGGTGCGAACCCAGGAGGCAGAGCTTGCAGTGAGCCCAGATCGTGCCACTGCACTCCAGCCTGGGTGACAGAGCGAGACTCTGTCACAAAAAAAAAAAAAAGCATATATATATATATATAGAAGAGCAAGGAAGTGAGACAGTTGAGATAAGACAAGATATATGGAAGGTTTCTGCGGTGTCTGCCTGAGTTCAGTTTCTTGACCTGGGAGGTAGTTATAAGGATGTTCACCTTAAAATAATATCAAACTATTAAAAATAATAATGTTAAAGAGGGATTTAGAGTTTGAGGCAAAGATGAATTTTTGAATATTATTATATACGCAGCTAGATGTAGAAAAGTCACATTTTTCATGTAAATGACCATCGCTTAATACATGATTTCTAGTAACTTCAGAGTATCACATCATAACGATATAACACCATTGAGTTAACGATCCCATCTTTAGGTTGAATTGAACGAATCTTGTTACAGACTTTGAAAGGTGGAATACCATTGAGATTCCATCAGGATTTTTTTCTTTGACAGATCTTTATTAAACCTCATCTGTGTTCGGGACACTGTACTGGGTACTACATCAAACTTATATCGGAAGCACAGTTCTGCAGCCCTAAAATATCCTCACGTTTGTGATGCGATCTCCCTCTAGTGGCGATTTTTAAATCAGGATCACACATGAGCCTAATGCTTAAGATAAAAAAGCTTATTGATATCATAAATCATAGAATTTGGGGTTGACAGGTATTTTGAGAGTTTATCTTGCTTAGCATTCTGTGAAGAATGCCTTTAAAGGAATAAAACTCAAGATCCAATAAACCTTACCGAATTCAATAAAGATCTACAGAATAATATATGATCATTACTTAATCCTTTCCTTTTCCTTGGCTCCTAAACACTTAAAAGTTATGTCTTAACCCAAATCAAAAGTGATACATTCTCCACATGTAAAAAAGAGAAAAATTATTCATGCGATATGTTCTGTTAATCATCTTCAGTGAAATACATCAATAAAAAGTTGAACCTTGATGGGGTGGTAGAAAGAAAGAAACGGAGGGTATGCACAAGGAAAGAAAGGACTGCATCAGAAATATCTGTAAGTGAACCAATTGTGTAAAATTTTAAGTATATTAAAGATATCAGGAAAAAAGCATAGAGTTAGAGCTGCATGTGCTGACTTGTAAGATGGTCATGACAAATAAGCAACAAAAGCAAATTGAAGGGTGATAGGAATGGTATGCTTCTGCTTTGGCAAAAGCAAACAGAAATCCCTGTCTAAGTGTGCAAAGGCATGTATGGATAAATGTGAGCGGGGAAAGGCATGGAAGCATTCAAAGCCTTCTGTTGGCTTGCAGGGAAGGTAACAGAAAGGGGAGTGGAGAGATGTTGAACTTTTTCTTTCTGCATCTTTGTAGTGTTTTTATTGTTATGAAAAACATGCATTTTTAAATCTTGTAACAAAATATTTAAATGTTACTTCTTGTCTTAGTTCAGACTGCTATAACAAATCATTATTGCTTATAAACAACATACATTTATTTCTCACAGTTCTGGAAGCTGGAAATCTGAGATGAGGTTGCCATCATGGTCAGGTTCTGGTGAGGACCCTCTCTGGGCTGCAGATGGCTGACTTTTCACTGTATTCTCACACTGTGAAAAGAGAGCGAGAGAGATCTGTGTGGTCCCTTTTATAAGGGCACTAATCCCATTCTTGGGGGCTGTACCCTTATAACTCAATCACCTCCCAAAGCCTCCACCTCCTAATACCACCACATTGGAGGTTAGGATTTCAACATATGAATTTTGGGGGAACACAAACATTTAGTCCATAATGTCCAACCCCTCCTTCACAAATCACAGGAAAGGATAAACTGAACCGACCAACCCCAAACCTCTTCCGTCTAGTCTTCTCTCCACTCTGACTCATCCTCAAGATTATGCCAGCCTTTCAGTGTTGTGTCTTCTTCAGCAAACTGAGAGTCATATTGCACTTCATGCATCATTTTTTTTTAATCAGGCCAACATCAGCCTCCTTATAAATATAATATCTGTGATATCCTCGGATTCTTTCAATTAAGAAGTAGTCCTGGAGATGTTTTAATATTTCAGCCCAGTCCTTATTGCAAATCTATTTGCATGGATACCACTTCTTAGTCAAATAATTAAATTTAATTTGAATAATCACTCTCAATAAGGCATGGAGTCTTTGGTCTGCCTGGGCGAATTTTACCAGGACACTTGCTTGCCTGCCTCTCCACACAGGGAATGTGGCATATCTACTGCAAACAGAGAGAGGGAGCTGGGAGCCTCTCTGCTGTATTCCCCCAAAGCTGCCCAAACCACATTTATCATTGGAAGGAGTGTTAGTCTGTTTTCACGCTGCTGATAAAGACATACCTGAGACTGGGCAATTTACAAAAGAAAGAGGTTTAATGGACTTACAGTTCCACATGACTGGGGAGGCCTCACAATCATGGTGGAAGGTAAAAGGCACGTCTCACATGGTGGCAGACAAGAGAAGAATGAGAGCCAAGTGAAAGGTGAAACCCCTTATAAAATCATCAGATTTTGTGAGACTTATTCACTACCATGAGAACAGTATGGGGAAAACTGCCCCATTATCAGTGATCTCCCACTGGCTCCCTCCCACAACAAGTGGGGATTATGGGAGCTACAATTCAAGATGAGATTTGGGTGGGACACAGCCAGACCATATCAGAGGGCTTCCCAGTTCACTCTTGCACTACCTTTTCCCTTTGGACTCTAGCATTTTGTTCAATATGTCTGTCTTAGTATGTTCAAGCTGCTACAATAAAATGCCATGGATTGGGTGGCTTAAATGACAAACATTTATTTCTCACAGTTCTGAAGGCTGGAAGTGCAGGATCAGGATGCTGGCAGACTTGGTCTCTGGTAACAGGCTGCTTCCTGGTTTGCAGACAGTTGCCCTCTTGCGTTTCCTCACATGGCTGAGAGAGCGAGAGCTTTAGTCTCTTCTCCTTCTTATAAGGACTTTAATCCCATATAAATGCCACCCTCATCTAGACCTCATTGAAACCTCATCACCTCCCAAAGGCCCCACCTCCAAATACTATCACATTGCAGGTTAGAGTTTCAGCGTATGAATGGAGATACACAAATGTTCAGTTCATGCAAACTCTATCCTACCCTGTTCACATTCTACTACAGCTACCAGCGCGTGCATCCTTTTTCCTATCGAGATTGTGGAGTTCCTCAGTGGCAGAGACAATATTTCTCATTACTCTTACATTTACATTGCCTAGGATAGTCCCTGATACATTTTCCTCCCTTCATTCTGGCACTGTGCTAGGTGTAGACTTCAAGATCAAGAGATAAAGTCTCATTTCACAAAAATCTCAGGATTGTGTAGGGGAGGCAAGTAAGTAAATAAAGAATATGGCAGAATGCAATGAACATATGGTGGGTATGTGCCTAAGACGCTATTGCACTCACAAAAGACTCATTCTGGAAGTAGTAATGGGAAGAGTGGTTGGCCAGGAAGGTTTCCTGGAAGAGGTATTTGTGCTGAGTCTTCCAGACCACAGAGGAGTTAGCTTGTTGGGGAAGATGGGAAAGGGTTAATCCAGGCAGCAGGTGCCGTATGGCCCTGGCAGCTAGAACCATGACCACCTTTGGGGAGATAATTATGAGCATGTTATAAAAGAGGAGGTAAGAGAGGAGCAAACAGGGTGCATAAAGTCATACAATTCTTAAAATATCTGGTGTCATAAGGGAATAGAATTTATTACAGCAGAGATACTGTTGATTGGATAATCACAGGCAATGAAGCTGAAAAGTTAGCCTAGGGTTGAAGTATAAAATAGCCTCAGACTTCAAGCTAAGGGGTTTGGATTTTGTCTTATTAGTGAGAAGTATTCAACAGATCTGAGCCTCCTCTTGCCCTGAAATCTTGTAGCCTTATATTTAAACACATTAATCAACAATAAAACATATAGACAGAAGTTATCTACTTGCCTATTTGATCAAATTCATTAATTAGTTTAGTGACAGTGAAGATGATGGGGCTATCCTATTTTAGTAGTAATAAGTAAATCAGAAGAAGAAGATGAATTGGAGTCAATAAAAGGAATGATGAAAGAGAGTCATCTTTAGATAAGTTGAGCCAAGGGAAAAAATGAGGAAGGACTTTCTAAAGCAAGATGTTGTCACAGTGCTAGCAACTACATATACAGAAATGAATCTTAGTTGCCAGGGCACTTCACTAATCAACTTACTTATTTTCAATATCCATAAAAAATGTTATATACTACTGGCATTCTAGTCTTAGCTACTCTAAAGAAAGAATAAAATAGACTTCAAGTTTGTAAAACTTAAAGAAGTTGTTTTTATATGTGAAATTTAAAAATATTTGTGTGTATGTTTCTTTGTTAGGTCAATGTGAACCAATTACATTGGAACTCTGCATGAATTTGCCCTACAACAGTACAAGTTATCCAAATTATTTTGGCCACAGGACTCAAAAGGAAGCATCCATCAGCTGGGAGTCTTCTCTTTTCCCTGCACTTGTTCAAACCAACTGTTATAAATACCTCATGTTCTTTTCTTGCACCATTTTGGTACCAAAATGTGATGTGAATACAGGCGAGCATATCCCTCCTTGCAGGTAATATGATGGGATCTACCCCAGTCCCTTATTTTGCCTCAGAGAGAACCAAGGGGTGAAGACTTAGTTGAGTTTGGACAACGTAAATTTCCCTAAGGAGCTCTGCATTTATCAAATACTTTATATTTAACAAGTGAGACAAAGAAGTAGAAGTTGTAAAATGAATATTTGAGTCAGAATTCATTAACGAAGTACCAAACAAGGGAGCTGTGAACGTCCTTTGATGATAGTTTATGTGTTTTAATCAAATAAATTCACAGGTATTTCATTCTGTTGTATTAAAAAGCCATTTTTTTAAAAAAGTATGATAGTATAAAAGGGATATATCTGCCTCTTTTTCTGGCAACACTGATGTGTTTACAATGCTGCACTCTGACAGCACTTGTTAGAGATATGACATAAGAATACATAGTGCCAGACTCACAGATTGGACAGCGATGGACATTGCTGACATTTCTCTGCCTGTTTGAATGAAATAAGATGCGCTATTTCAAGAGCGTAGCTTGGACTTTGAATATGAGTGATATTCTAGTGTCAAGAGTATTGTTCCAGAGTCCATGTTTGGGTTAAAATCTTGACCCTTCTCTAGTTTCTAGGTAGCCCTTAGACAAAATCCTGAGTCTCTCTCAGCCTCGGTTCCTTTACATGTAGAATAAGGATAGTAATGGTTGTTGGGTTGTATTGTTTTGAGATCAAATGAATGTAAAGTGCTTCTGATTCATTGTAATGAACCCTGAATGGACAATAGCTATGATGATAGCACAGGAACACAATAGCTTCTTGGCAGTCTGTCCCTTTGCTGCGCCATGTGTTAGGCATTGTAGTCAGAGGGTTTGCATATACAGGATGACTCTCAGAAGTGAGTTGCTACTCTCTTCAGTGCTGTTTTCCCTCAAGGGGTAGGTATACAAATGTGCTGGCCTAAATGCGAGTAGCAACTGCAGAAACCATATGTTGGGATCAGAAGTCACGCAGAGTTTTTTTTAAAAAGCAGTACTATTACTATAGTGGACAGAAGAGAAAACAATAAATTATATGCTGAATACCAAATGGATAACAAAGTAAGGGCATCTATAGAGACAGGACAGGAAATAATAAAATTTCAAAATGACTTGGGGAACTGAACAAATTATACCAATAGAGAGAATAAAACTAAATGTTAGCTTGTGTAGAAAAATATCTGAAAATTTCTGCTAAGTACTTTTAAAAGTATCTCTAATAAAACATCTACCAATTTTATGTTAAAAAGCTGTTTTAAATCTTACTTCACTTTTGCAAAGCAAGGTCAGTGATAGTGAATAATTTCTTTTAATAGTACTTAACAATTTCTGGCATTTGACTTTCTTTTCATATGTAGATAAAAATTTCCCTGAAGCAGCATTTTCTGCTATAAATATAAATGTGAATTTATATCCAGATGTAATTTATAATTTCAGGGCTTAAGTTCCATATTAAAATGCATAAGACCAAGGATGATCCTGAAGTGTTGTTCAATCAAAATTTTGGTAAATTTCTTTTAGATAAATTTATTTCTTTTTTTCAGGTTTACCCATACATCTTTCATTTTCAGTGTCTATCACTACGAATTTTATATTTTGATATTTGTTTATAAGAAATTTTTGAATAATATGCTAATAAGTTCATAAAGCAATACATAGTTGCTTTTGCTAGGTGTGTTTATTAATTTTAACATTGAATTTTTTAGCTATGAGACTGAAAAATCTAACATCGAGTCCTTACAATGGGCTAAATACTTGAGGATTGTTATGCTGTAGCGTACTCAAAATAACCTTTTGAAGTGTGTATCATCAGAGGTGCTACCTATGGCTGAACACTACAAGGACTATGATAAGAACAGCGCCCCCTGGACTTGTGGTGCTGCATATTGTTGTAATTTCCATTTTACAGAAAAAAATTGGAAGTGGTAGAGTCAGGCACTATATAGTCTTTTGTACAAATAAGTATCATATGACTAATTTAAAATAGCAGTTGCAATTGAGTTATATACATTTTTTATAAATCTGCAACAAAACTAGTTAGTTCAACAGACAGTTATCAACTATTGAACTTTCCATCTTTCCTGACCTAATATAGAAATACCATGGCTTTATCTTTACCACAAATTCCTGGGCTAAGCCAGTGTTGAGTTATGCTGAGCTTTGTCCAGACTTAAACCTAGACAGAACTTTCTCCGAAATTTCCTCATTTGATTGTTACACTTTCTCTACCAGTTTTGGGCAAGACTGGAGCTGGCCTTTCTGGAAGATCTGTCTCCCATTTTATCTTAAAAATGAGAACTTAGTTGAATTAGTGTATAAAATTTGAAACTTTTGATAAGTAAGAGTTTATTTGAGTCCATTAAGAGTATATTGGCCTAGGAACTTACTTTGGTTAGTTTTTTTTTTAACTGTGTAACTAATTTCTTAGTAATATATTGAGACAAAAATCATATTTTTTTCCATAAGAAGTAAAAAAAGAAGTAAAGAAATCTTCTGTGAGGCACGCTGATACTTTAACTTAAAAATATTCTGGAGACAAAAGACATAATACGCACGAAAGCACCTGATACAATAATATATCATTTCTTTAAAACAAAAACCAAACATTTTAACCAACTCGAGCTCAACGTAAGTGGGTTTGGAAGGAGTCCTAAGCTTTTCACCAATATTGATGGAAGCTGAAGTAAGGGAGGCATGCCTTAGGCAAGCTAAGGTGGCACATGAGATGGCTCACAAGGCTGGTCTGCAGAGGGGGAGATCTCTGAGGATGAGGGTGTTGTATAGATTCAATGACTTTGGTGGCAAACTATCCAAAGTGATGTTGGAGACTTCCCTGTTTGGAACAAAAGGTTGGAGAATATGTCTCCTTCAAAGACAGAAGACAGAATGAGAAAGGCAGTGTAGAGAAGGGAATCTGTGTCCTGGAAACATCTTTAGACCTATTTCTGCAATAAAGTTTCTTTTGGTGAAAGTGTGGTGCTGGAATGTATACTCTTTGCAGAGATATTACTCATTTTGGTTTCCCAAATACCTATCATATATATGTGCATCTTTTATATCCACACACCCACAATACATGCCACATACACAGAATTAAAACTTGACATAAATTTATGACATCTGTCTCAGATGGAGCTATTTCTGCTTCTAATGTTTTGTCTTTCTTGTTCATCTAGGGCATTGTGTGAACACTCTAAAGAACGCTGTGAGTCTGTTCTTGGGATTGTGGGCCTACAGTGGCCTGAAGACACAGATTGCAGTCAATTTCCAGAGGAAAATTCAGACAATCAAACCTGCCTGATGCCTGATGAATATGTGGAAGGTTAATTTTAAAATTAATTACAGCAGGGTATCTAACATGGATGAACATGTTAGCTACCTTTTGAATTTCTTCTATTTATGGCTTCTTGTTTGTTTGTTTTCTATTTAGTTTCCAATCAGGCTGCTTAGGTGAGTGAATTTGTGAACTTGATTGCATTGAAGAATTTGGCACTCATCTGTTAGATATTGCATTCATTTTAAAAATAAAGAAGTCATTTTCTATTTCTATTCTTTTATTTTTGTGGGTACATAGGTGTATATATGTATGGGGTACCTAAAATATTTTGATACAGGCATACAGTGCATAATAATCACATCAAGTAGATGAGATATCCATCACCCCAAGCATTTATCCTTTCTTTATGTTACAAACAATCCAGTTATACTCCTTTAGTTATCTTTAAATGTACAATAAATTATTGTTGACTGTAGTCACTCTGTTGTGCTATCAAATACTAGATCTTATTCATTCTATCTAACTATATTTCTGTACCAATTAACCAACCCTGCTTTCCCCCACCACTACCCTTCGCAGACACTGGCAACCATTGGTCTACTTTCTATCACCATGACTTCAATTGTGTTAATTTTCAGCTCCCACAAATAAGTGAGAACATAAGAAGTTTGTATTTCTGTGCCTGGCTTATTTCAGGTAACATAATGACGTCTTCTTTTATCCTTGTTGTTGCAAACGACAGGATCTCATTCTTTTTTAAGGCTGAATAATAATCCATTGCATATATGTACCACATTTTCTTTAACCATTCATCTTTTGATGGACACTTAGGTTGCTTCCAAATCTTGGCTATTGTGAATAGTGCTGCAACAAGCATGGGAGTGCAGATATCTCTTCTATATACTGGTTTCCTTTCTTTTAGGTATATACCTAGCAGTGGGATTGCTGGGTCATGTATTAGGTCTACTTTTAGTTTTTTGAGAAGCCTCTAAATTGTTCTCCCTAGTGGTTGTACCAATTTGCATTCTCACCAATAGTGGGTGAGGATCCCCTTTTCTCCACATCCTTGCTAGCATTTGTTATTGTCTGTCTTTTGGATATAAGACATTTTAATTTGGGTGAGATGATACCTCATTGTAGTTTTGATTTGCATTTATCTGATAGTCAGTGATGTTGAGCACCTTTTCATATACCTGTTTGTCATTCGTATGTCTTCTTTTGAGATATGTTTATTCAGCTCTTTTGTCCATTTTTAAATCAGATTATTAGTTATTTTTGTATAGAGTTGTTTGAGCATTTTATATATTCTGGTTATTAATCCCTTATCATATGGATATTTTGCAAATATTTTCTCCCATTCTGTGAGTTGTCTCTTCACTTTCCTTTGCTTTGCAGAAGCTTTTTAACTTTATGTAATCGCATTTGTCCATTTTTGCTTTGGTTGTCTGTGTTCCTGTGATATTACATAAGAAATCTTTGTGCAGTCCAGTGTACTGGAAAGTTTCCCCAATGTTTTCTTCTAGTAGTTTCATAGTTTGAAGTCATAGGTTTAAGTCTTTATTCATTTTGATTTGATTTTTGTATGTGGTGAGAGATAGGGGTCTAATTTCATTCTTCTGCATATGAATATCCAGTTTTCTCAGCACCATTCACTGAAGAGACTGTCCTTTCCCCAGTGTGTGTTCTTGAAACCTTTGCTGAAAATGAGTTCACTGTAGATGTATGAGTTCTTTTCTCAGTTTTCTGTTCCCTTAGCCTATGTGTCTGTTTTTATGCTGGTACCATTCTGTTTTTGCTATTATAGCTCTGTAGTGTAATTTGAAGTCAGGTAATGTGATTCCTCTAGTTCTTTTTGCTCGGGATAGCTTTGGCTGTTCTGAGTCTTTTGTGATTCCATATGAATTTTAGGACTTTTTTCCCATTTCTGTGAAGAATGTCATTGGGATTATATTTAATCTATAGATTGCTTTACATAGTGATATAGTTTGGATATTTGTCCCTGCTCAGATCTCATGTTGAGATGTAATCCCCAGTGTTGGAGTTGGGGCCTGATGGGAGGTGTTTGGATCATGGGGGCAGATCCCTTGTGATTGGTTTGGGTCATCTCCTTGATGACAAGTGAGCTCTTGCTCTGCGTTCACATGACATCTGGTCATTTAAAAGTGCTGTAGCATCTCTTCCCCTACTCTCTCTCTTGCTCCTTTACCATGTGATGTGCCTACTTCCCTTTTGCTTTTCACTGTGACTGTAAGCTTCTTGGGGCCTTCATAGAAGCTGAGCAGATGTCTTCACCATGGTTCCTGTAAAGGCTGCAGAACCATGAGTCAATTAAACCTCTTTTCTTTATAAATTACCCAGTCTCAGATATTTCTTTATAGCAACACAAGAACAGCCTGACACAGAAAATTGGTACTAGATGTTCAGCATTGCTATAAAGATACCTGAAAATGTGGAAGCAACTTTGGAACCGGGTAACAGGCAGGGGTTGGAAGAGTTTGGAGAGCTCAGAAGAAGACAGGAAGATGAGGGAAAGTTTGGAACTTCTTAAAAATTGGTTAAGTGATTGTGACCCAAAATTCCGATAGTGATATGGATAGTGAAGGCCAGGCTGATGAGATCTCAGATGGAAATGTGGAACTAATTGGGAACCGGGGGAAAGGTTCACCCATATCTTGTGTTAGAAAAGAGTTTGGCTGCATTCTGTTTATGCCCTAAGGATCTGTTGAAGTTGGAACTTCAGAGTGAAAATTTAGGGTATCTGATGAAAGAAATTTCTAAGCAACAAAGTGTTCAAGAGATAGCCTGGCTGCGTCTAACAGCCTGTGCTCAGATACAGGAGCAAAGAAATAACTTGAAGTTGGAACTTATAGTTAAAAGGGAAGCAGAGCATAAAAGTGTGGAAAATTTGCAGCCTACCTATGTGGTAAAGAAACAAAAAGCTTTTTCAGTAGAGGAATTCAAGCAGGCTGAATTGCTGGAGAAATTTGTATAACCAAAAGGGAGCAAAGAGCTAAGACAATGGGAAAAATGCCTTGAAGGCATTTCAGAGATCTCCCAGGCAGCCCCTCCCATCACAGACCCTAAGGCCTAGGAGGACTGAATGGTTTTATGGGCCAGGCCCAGGTCCCCACTGCCCTTTGCAGCCTTAGGACACTGCTCCCTGCATCCAGGCTGCTCTACCTTTAGCCATGGCTCAGAGAACATCTGTCAGAGCAGTGCAGAGGGGAAACGTGGGGCTGGAGCCCCCACACAGAGTCCCCAATGGGTCACTGTTTCATGGAGCTGTGGGAAGTAGGCTTCTGCCCTCCAGACTCCAGAATGGTAGATCCACTGGCAGCTTGCACCCTTTGCCTGGAAAAGCTGTTGGCACTCAACAACCTGTGAAAGTAGCCATGGGGACTGAACCCTGGAAAGCCACAGGGGCAGAGCTGCCCAAGGCCTTAGGAGCCCACCCCTGTACCAGTGTGCCCTGTATGCAGGATATGGAGTCCAAGGAGATTATTTTGGAGCTTTAAGATTTAATGACTGCCCTGCTGGGTTTTGGGCTTGCATGGGGCCTGTAGCCTCTTTCTTTTAGCCAATTTCTCCCTTTTGAAATAAGAATGTTTACCCAATGCCTGTACAGCCATTGTATCTTGGAAGTAAATACCTTCTTTTGATTTTACAGGCTCATAGGTAGAAGGAACTTATTTGGATTTGGGATAAGGCTTTGAATTTGGGACTTGGGACTTTTGAGTTAATGCTGGAATTAGTGAAGACTTTGGGGGAGCAACTGAGAAGAGATATTGTATTTTGAAATGTGAGAAAGACATGAGATTTGGGAAGGGGCAGAGCAGAATGAGGTAGTTTGGATATTTTTCCCCACCCAAATCTCATGTTGAGATGTAATCCTAGTGTTGGAGGTGGGGTCTGGTGGGAGGTGTTTGGATTATGGGGGCAGATCCTTCATAAATGGCTTGAACCATCTCTCACTCTGAGTTCACAGGAGATCTGGTCATGGTGCCTCCTTCCAACTCTCTCTCTCTCTTGTTCCTGCTTTTGCCATGTGACGTGCCTGCTCCCCCTTCACCTTCTGCCATGATTGTAAGCTTCGTGAGGCCTCCCTAGAAACCAAGCAGACTCTAGGCCTCCTTTAAAGCCTGCAGAACCATGAGCCAAATAAACCTCTTTATAAATTATGCACTATCAGGTATTTCTTTTTCTTTTTTTTTTTTTTTTTTGGAGACGGAGTTTCGCTCTGTCGCCCAGGCTGGAGTGCAGTGGCGTGATCTCCGCTCACTGCAAGCTCCACCTCATGGGTTCTCGCCATTCTCCTGCCTCAGCCTCCCGAGTAGCTGGGACTATAGGTGCTCGCCATCATGCCTGGCTAATTTTTTTTGTATTTTTAGTAGAGATGGGGTTTTACTGTGTTAGCCAGGATGGTCTTGATCTCCTGACCTCATGATCCACCCACCTTGGCCTCCCAAAGTGCTGGGATTACAGGCATGAGCCACCACGCCTGGCTGGTATCAGGTATTTCTTTATAGCAGTGCAAGAATGGCCTAATACACATAATATGGAAAGTTTAACAATATTGATTCTTCCAATCCATGAACATGGATTATCTTTCCATTCTTTATATCCTCTTTAATTTGTTTCATCAGTGTTTTATGGTTTTCATCACAGAGACCTTTCATTTCTTTGATTAAGTTAATTTCCAGGTATTTTATTTTATTTGTGGCTTTTGTAAATGAGGTTACTTTCTTGGTTTCTCTTTCACATTTTTTGTTGTTGGCATATAGAAATGCTACTAATTTTTGTATGTTGATTTTGTATCTTGCAACTTTACTGAATTTGTTTATCAGTTCTGTAGCTTTTTGGCGGAGTTTTTAAGTTTTTCCAAACATAAGATCATATCATTTGCAATCAAGAATAATTTGACTTCTTCATTTCCAATTTGGATGGCCTTTATTTCTTTCTCTTTTATGACTGCTTCAGCTAGGACTTCTATCACTATGTTGAATAACAGTGGTGAGAGTGGGTATCCTTGTCATGTTCCAGATCTTGGAGATAAGGCTTTCAGTTTTTCCCCATTTAGTTTGATACTAACTGTGGGTCTGTGAAATATGGCTTTTATTTTGCTGAGCTATGTTCCTTCTTACCCAGTTTTTTGAGGGATTTTTTTTCAGGAAGGGATGTTGAATTTTATCAAATGCATCAACTGAAATGATCATATGATTTTTGTCCTTCATTCTGTTGTTATGATGTATCACATTGATTGATTTGCATATGTTACATCACTCCTGTAAATCCTAAATGGTCACCGGGAGCGGTGGCTCATGCCTGTCTTGCCAGGACTTTGGGAGGCTGAGGTGGGTGGATCACCTGAGGTTGGGAGTTCAAGACCAGCCTTGCCAACATGGTGAAAACCTGTCTCTACTAAAAATATAAAAATTAGCTGGGCATGGTGGCAGGCGCCTGTAATCCCAGCTACTTGGAAGGCTGAGGCATGAGAATCACTCGAACCTGGGAAGTGGAGGCTGCAGTGAGCCAAGATCATGCCATTGCACTCCAGCCTGGGCGACAAGGGAGAAACTCCATCTCAAAAAAAAAAAAAAAAAAAATCCTAAATGGTCATGATGAATGACCTTTTAATGTGTTGTTGAATTCAGTTTGCTGGTATTTTCTTGAGGACTTTTATGTCAATGTTCATCAAGGAAATTGGTGTGTAGTTTTCTTTTTTTTGATGTGTCTTTGTCTAGCTTTGGTTTCAGGGTAATACTGGCTTTGTAGAATGAATTTGGATGTATTCCTTCCTCCTCTATTGTTTGGAGTAGTTTGAGCAGAATTGGTACTAGTTCTTCTTTAAATATTTGGCAAAGTTCAGCAGTGAAACCACTGGGCACCAGGCTTTTTTTTTTTTTTTTCTGCTGAAAGACTTTTAAGTATTACTTAAATAGCATTACTTGTTATTGTTCTGTTCAGATTTTGGATTTCTTTATGGTTCAATCTTAGTAGGTTGTATATTTCTAAGAATATATTCATCTCTCATAGGCTTTCCAATTTATTGGTATATAGTTGCTCATAGTAGACTCTGATGATCCTTTGAATTTCTGCAGTATTGGCGCCCAAGCCACAAGTCAAAGTTCTTCTCACTCTTCCTCTTTCCACAGAGAGGTAATGGAAGAGTGCTAGTGGTTTTTCCTCATGATCACTACCACCCCAGGTCTATGACAAGTACTACCAAACCACAAGTGTTCACTCAAGGCCCAAGGGTTCTTCAGTCAGTCTGTGGTGAATGCTGCCAGGCCTGGGACTCTCACTTCAGGACAGGGGGCTCCCCTCTGACTCAGGGCACATCCAGAAATGTCATCCAAGAGCCAGGGCTTAGAATTAGAGACCCCAAGAATTCACTTGATGTTCTACCCCGCTGTGGCCAAGCCTGGTACCTAAGCTGCAAGACAAAATCCCTTTTACTCTTCCCTCTCCTGTTCTCAAGCAGGAGTTTCTCCCTGTAGCCATCACAGCTGGGAATGTGCTGAGTTACACCTGAAGCCAGCCCATCTCAGAGTCTCACCGAAGGCTCATGAGAAGTACTGCCTGAGTACTGCTACTGATTATTCAGGGCCCAAGGGCTCTTTAGTCAGCTGGTAACTAATGCTGCCAGGGCTGGGCCCTTTTCTTCAAGGCAGTGGGTTCCCTTTTGGTTGAAGATATGTCTAGAAATGTCTGGAAGCTAGGGCCTGGAATGGGGGCCTTAGGACAGGACTCTGTCTGGTGCCCTATTCTACTGTGGCTAAGCTGATATCCAAGTTGCAAGACAAAATCCTCTTTACTCTCCCCTCTCCTGTCCTCAAGCAGAAGAAAGGAGTCTCTTTCTGAGCTGTGAGCTGTGCCTGCCTGGGGTTGGGGAAGGGGTGGCACAAGCACTCTCTTGGCCACTCTGCGGCATGCACTAGGTTGCATGCCCCCAAGTCCACTGTCTCCAAGCCCAGCACAGCATCAGGACTTGCCCAAGAATTGCAGTCCTTGTGAGCTAGACTGCCTTTCAAGTTTATTAAGGACCCCAAAACACTTTAGCCTGTGGTGGTAAGGCTTGCCAGAACTTAAATTCTGACCACTGGGATGGGTGATTCCCCTTTGGCTGGGGTTCATCTAAATGCTCCCTCCATGCATGGGCACTGGCTGAGCTCTGCCTGGTGTTGCTTTCTGCTGTGATAGGACAGCACTGAGTTCCAATGCAAAGTCCCACAATCACTCCACAAGTGCACAGATTCTCTGTGCTATGCAGCTCTTGCTGGGGAATGGGGGAGGGGTGGTGTTGGTGATTCAAGACTGTCTTTCCTACCCTTGTCAGTGCCTTTTTCAGTGATCTGAATTTAAAACCAGGTACTATGATTGCTTATATGATTTTTAGTTCTTATGAAGGTGCTTTTTTGTGTGGATGCTGTTCAGGTTGGTGTTCCTGCAGAAAGGACAATTAGTGGAGGCTTCTATTTGGCCATCTTGCTCCATCTTCCCCCCAAAAAATCATTTTAAAATTAAAAATAATGAACTCAGAGATGAGTTTAATTAGTACTCCAGGTGTTTTTTAAACTGTACTTTACTCACAGAGCCCATTATGTATGGATGCTTTTATACTAGTGATCCTGAAGGCAAAGGTGAACATCAAACCTTGGTTCCTTCAAGTAAAAAACATTTGGGGACCATGGCAACATAGGATCATTAAGTACAGAAATGGAATTGTGGACTAGGTGGAAAGATGGGGATGTGAAAATGATTTTGACACATTGAGAGCCGCTAGGTAGTCAGGAGCACTGACTGCACAAGGCATATCAGGCTCTGGCAATTGTTGGGTTGTCCCATTTGGAAAGAAAATTAATCATTGGAATACATAGATGTTAAACCGCGTATCTAGAGGGATGAGGCCAAGAATGAAGGAGAAAGATGCTGATTGGCAGGCAGAAGAATGCCAAAGCAAAATGGCTATTTCGTTTTGCAAGAGACCACCCTTATCTTCAGTAAAAGCTCCTTGACAACATCCTACATGTAAATACATAAATTAGCTGATGTTTCTGGGTTTTCAGCCCTTTAACAGTAATATTGTTTTTAATAGAATGCTCACCTAGTCATTTCAAGTGCCGCTCAGGACAGTGTGTTCTGGCTTCCAGAAGATGTGATGGCCAGGCCGACTGTGACGATGACAGTGATGAGGAAAACTGTGGTATGTATGTGCAATGGTACTTTTCTTGAATGTACAGTGATAACTAGAATAAAATAAGAAACTGTGTTAAAAATGGAAACTATTCACTGATAGTAGGACTAGGATTCAATGCTAATGTCTTTACTTCTTAAATTATTGAACAGTATGGCATATATTTTAAGTGTTTTTCCTGACTCTTGATTTCCTCTAAATTGCACTTCTATATAACCCTGATACATACAGTACCCCTCCCCCTTATCCGTAGGGATATGTTCCAGGACCCCCAGTGGATACCTGAAACCATAGATTGTATGGAACCCCATATATGCAGTACTATGCTTTTTCCTACACATATGTACCTATGATAGAGTTTAATTTATAAATTAGGCACAATGAGAGATTAACAACAATAATAAAATGGATCAATTATAACAATGTACTGAAAGAAAAGTAATGAGAATGCGGTTTCTCTCTCTCTGTCTCAAAATATCTTATTGTATTGTGCCAACATTTTTGGACCATGCTTAACCAGGGATAACTGAAACTGTGGAAACTGAAACTTCAGATAAGGGTGGAGGGGCACTACTATATTTGCAAACACTTATTAAAAGGAGAAGCACCTCACAAATGTAAAGAATTATTTTTATTATTAAATTATAAAGCCATTGTTATCAGTTTTAAAGCCAGAATAATAGTGTCTTTGCGTATGCTTCCCATGTTGCTAAATAGACATCTAGATGCATGAAGGCAGAGTTCATACTCCAACATTCAGAGTTCAGACTCCATCATTCCCAGTCTAATTGGGATTCATTTTCATGTCCTCTCATATTTTTTCTCTTTCGGCAAAGGATAAAACTCTTCTTGACATTTCTGCCATTGAGTTCCAAAATCGCCAGTGGAAAAGCCATAAATGCCAATGGTAATTTGAGTGGACTTAGTTGTCATTATATTTCCCTGCAAATCTTTGTACTTGTAACCACAATGTATTAGGGAATAGAAGTCAGACAATGGTCTTTAATAAACAGTGTTTTTGAGGAAAGCAAAATGATTGAAGATCTATCCACAGAATTGTTTGGTTATGATTATTTAGCCTTTCCTGTTTAAGAAGAATTGACACTTTCATGACAAGCACGTAAGGCAGTACATCTTTTGAAATAATTTCATTCTTTTGGCCTTTGAAGTATGAAATATTGCGTTGCTCCATTAAGTGAATTTTAGGTGGTAAACATTGCCCTTCTGATCTAGACAAAAATGTCACAAGCAATCAACTGAAATCCTGTCAGCTCCTATAAATATGGACTAATGCATCTTCTGGAAAACTTCAGCTGTCAGAATGATGGTACAATGTCTGGGGTAATTTTGTTATGGAGGAATGTACAGTGTTTTTAGAAGCTACTGTTGTTTGCTTGTTTGTGGTTTTTTGTTTTGTAAAGAAATAAATCAAAATTCATTGAATATACCTTATATAAGTGATTTATTGAGAATGTATTAGATTTGTTCACTGAACTATGACTTTGATGGGTCATGGTATTTGAGATGCAATTTAAAATAGATTATCTTAGATGGTTCAAAGAGGTTGCATGATACTTTGTTGGGGTGGCTAGACCTAAATTTGTTGTAGGGGACTAAATATTTGAGAAATACAAAAGCTTAGTTAAAAACAAAACAAAACAACTTTACCAAGACTAAAAGTTCTGAGTTCTAGAACATATTCTGCAAAAAATAAACTTAAAGTACTATCATATTGGTATAGGGTTTAAACGACCCTAAAATATCAGGTTTCTAGTTAAGTAATTGGTTTTCACCAGTATTTTAATCACACAATTAAAGGCACATCAAAATAATAGAATATATTGTCTAATCTCTATCAAAAATTAAAAATAATTGACAGCACTATTGAGAGCTCTAGTTAAGGAAAGTTAAAAGTGGGTAAGAAATAATACATTTGGAGTTCAATTAATTGCTCCAGCAGTACTAATTTATGAGAAGTTTTCCAAAGTGACTAACAATAGAAAACTTTACATACTTCGTTCCCCTTTGATACTTCTGCATGCATTTGAATGGGCTTGTTCAGTGATTTGGGAGGACACACCACTTCAAATCAAATAAGGAAGTCAGGTTGATGAAGGCTCAACAGAGGACTAATAGGAAGTCATCTGTTTCCATTTGCCTCCTTGCTGTTTGTCTTTCTGTTTTCGTATGTGCATAGGCACACCATCTGGTAATGCAAGCACCAGCTCCAGCAAAGCTGGGTTTCACCCCAAGCTTCTTGCCTTTCTGACTTATTCTGTCCGTTGTGTTATTAAGTGTTTGAGCTTTACTGAATAATTGGACAATTAACTATTCATTGTCATGAATCTGCAGCTCCCTCAGAATTTCTAACAAGGTTATTGAGTTTCCACTCAAAACAATACTTATTTAACTCAGTTATGAAATAAATATTGTGTGAGAAATTACTTCTTGTTTCTTTGGCACTTTTGTAATGGAGAAACATGATAACCAAAGCACTTAACTTATAAATACACTTTTAAAATATATGCATTAGAATTTAGCAATCAGTAATACTGTTCTTAAATGTCTCCAGCTCTTGTGGTAGATTTTTGCTGTTGAGGCTGCTTTGATTGTGTAATTGCCAATGTAAACAAGAGTTGAAAATGTCAGTACTAGAAAAGTTTTCAGCAAGTGTTGGGATGAATTGTGCAAATCCGATATGGGAAGGAAGTCTAAGAGACAGGGGAATGCTGAGCAGAATCTGCACTGTGTCAGTACAGAAGTACTGCATTGTCTTAAGGATGCTTAAGATGTCAATTACTGTATGCTTAAGTAATTGAGCATACATGATATAGATGGAGCTGCCTGTAAAACTAGCAACTTGATAAATGAGTTTATTTTCAACGTAACATTTTCCAAGCATTGATAGCCATGCAGTGGAGCATGAGGGAAAGACATGGGAAAATAAATGATCAAGAATGACATCAAAGAAAGGAGAGCTAAGGAAAACAACAAAGGGATTGTATGTTTCAGCTGTTCTATCACTCTATAGATTTGAGTGTGTGAGGCTGAGGTTATCTCTTGCTAGGCTTTACCTCCACGATTTGGGTCAGCTACAAGAGCAGGTGGTACCTGGGCTGTGATGCAAGCAAGCAGCAACTCCCAGTGGAGCAGTCACATGAAAATATAGCTACAACAGGTGCTTTATATCGACTGTCAAAATAAAATCCTTTATTACATGAACACAGAATCAAAATTACTAATTGATCACTATTCTAAGTAAAATGGTATACATCATATGGAGAAAAGATTGACAGCAATGCAAATGTCTGAGTGTCATTAAGTGACTTTCTGTTTATCTTCAGATGACCAAAAATCAGTTCTTCACCTATCTTTGGTCTCCTCTTGATCTTAAATAAAATAAAACCTTTAAATATAACCTGAGCCATTTCTTCAAGTCAGAATCCCCTTAGGTTGTATTAGAAGATCTGACTCTGATATTTACGGGTTTTACAGCTTGATTTCAAAGAGTTTCCAAAAGGCATGTTTTCTTTTTGGATTCTTGGATAGCATTTCTATGAGTTATCTCACAGAAGGGCTTAACTGGCTTTCTTAACACTCCAAATACTACCAGTCTCTATGCTTTTGTGTCTCTTTGTCTGGGGAGGAGACCACTCTTTGCTCTGTAGCTAGCAGAAGAGTGAGAGTCATTATGTCCATAGCTTTGGCATATCCACAAATGTGCTTTCAGGAGGAATTTTCAGGATTGATTTCTCATCACTCAGTAGGGTTTAATTTTCCATGTTAAGGGGGAAATTTTCTCCTTCCCTTTAAATACTTGGTTAACTGTTTCATCGTCTTCTGTGGTGTCTTGGGAAGGCAGGCTGGAATGGCAGAGTGTCCTGCGTAGACTTAGACTTGAATTTACATCCTTACTTAGCCTTAGAGGCTGTGTGACGTTTGGCCAGTCAGTTTACTTCTCTGGGTAAGATGCAGAGAACACCCACATTATCTCTCACAGCTTGGAATGCTTATAACATGCCCTGTTCATCCTCAGAAGCTAATAACTGGGAACTCACCTGCTGTGGTGGTGGAAAATCAGGAGGCGATTCCTTTCAAAGGCTGCCCCAGCCATCTCCCTTGAGGGAAGGAGTCCTGTCTAGCATAGTCTTGTTTCTGACAGCTGTTTATGGCAAAAGAGAGTGGGCTGGTCTGTCAGGCTAAAGCATGGGCTGGGGGAGGTCTCTGGCTCACATAGTAAACTCAGGTAGATGGATGGTGTCTTTTCCTGGAGATAGTGTTGGTTTTGGGTTGGATGTTCTCTCTTTTTAGGATTAGAGCCATGCAGTTTAAAGTCCCATCCATTCCTTCATCCTGCCTCTTTCACGGGAGACTGGGCCACCCATATGTGAAGAGCATGCCATAACAATGGCACTGCTAAGAGTGGGAAGTGACTCAGGAATTGGGTAGGCTGCTGCGACTTTCCAGCTGGATGGTGGCTGGATGGCCTGTGCTGGTATGGCTGCCCTGATAATCAGGCCTAGACCACAGTGGGAAGCAGGTCCTCTGTTCCAGCTGCTATAGCAGGTGCAGAGGCAGAGCCCTTTGCAGCCATGCTTTGAGGGAAGGGGCTTTGTTGTCCAGGATCCTGCATGCTGTAGAAGGCTCTTCACACCTGTTAGGCCTGTACTCTGGCTGCTACAGCTCCTTATAGGTCACATCCACAGCCACTTCCTGGGGCAGACACTGGTCCAGGATGGCTGGATCCAGACTGTTCCAGCCTTTGTCAGCTCAATAATGCAGTATTACCTTGTCTCCTTCCTCCTTGTGAGCGGCTCCACTCCAAAGGGTGAGAATTTAAAAATTTCATGCAGCTCAACTCAAGAGGATGAGTGGACCTACTTACTCTATAGCTGCATAGCTAAGAGATTCTTACAGAACAAAAAGCATCTGCTTTGAGGTGATTTGCTGACTTTATTTGTAATGACAACTGTTTTTATAGAGAAACAAGGTATTCCATTTGGGGGTGGGGGGGTACTGCCTCTGTCAGGGCAGCCTGTTTCACAGAGTTTTTGTGAAAATGAGAGATAGAGTAAGCAAAAAACCCAGATGAATGCTTAGCACACTTAGTGTGACCAGTCAACCAGATCTGCCTGGGACTGATGGGGATCTTTTGGAACAAGGGACACTTTGTGCTCAAATCAATTAAATCCCTGGCAAACTGGGGTGAGTTGGTGACTTTTTTGGAACACTGTATCCTCAATTATTGGTTGTTGCTATTGTCTCTGTGCTGGAGAGGTTATTATTCTGACATCAACAATTATTTGGTTTCATAACCTACAGGTGCATTAAACAGCCCATCCCATCCATGCCTGTTTTTAATTTTTGATGGAATCATATCCTTTTCCTTTTAGAATATACATTTAAAACATAATTGCACCAAAATGTCACTTTACAAAGAAAGTGGTTTCTTCTTAAAATAATACTATCTCCCATGTAACTAATATCTCTCTCTTTTTATCCTACTTCTTTTGTGCTCACTGTAACTCCACAAAGGAGGTATTATGCTATGCAAACTTTTATGAGAAAAGAGAAGACATGGAGAGGTGAAAAGTGAATGCTTATGGAGTATTCCTTTAATGTTTATAGCAACCCTATGAAGCAGGCATTATTATTTGTATTTAAGATGTATGGAAACCAAAGTTTGGAGAAGTTAAGTAACTTACCCAAGCTCACACAGCTAGTGAGATTTGGAACTAGGATTCAAATCCAGTTGTCTGACTCTAAAGCTGTGCTTCCACTGCTCCTACCCCTTACGCATACTTCATGTTCGCATCTTACAAAGGACTGCAACTGATGACTTGTACCTGGATCCCATCCAGATCTTTCTCCGTAGAGCTGTGATGTGGAGGGATTCAATTTCTCTAAATGTTAGTTTCCTCACTTATAAAATGGTGAGCATAATACTGACATTATAGTGTTATTTTAAGAATTAAAGCTAATATCTAGAATGTGGATACATAGTGGATAATACATGTTATCTCATTATCATCATTATTATTATTATTATTTGTGAGGATGCACTTTAGGCGGCCTTCTGTCCCAGATGATCTATTTCTGTGGTATTTCATCATCTCATTCCAAATGTCGAAGTTCTTCCTTGTAGTCTTAAGAAGAATGGGCCTTGGGAATCGTCAGGAAAAACTCATGCTATTTTATTTCATTCTCTATTAGCAAGTGGTATGTTTTGTGAGCAGAGGAGCAGCCCTGGAGAAGGGTCAGCACCATGCATGGAGTGTTGAGTCCTCTTTCTTGATGTCTTTTGCTCTCTGGTAGAATGAGCAGACTGTACCATTTGGCGGGAGCTGGGTCACAGAGGACAGGCTTCAGGCTCTTTCTCAAATCTCAAGAGACTCTTATTGTCAGAACTTTTCAGATGCTGTCTGGATCCTCTACTAGCTGAAAACTCTAAATAATGTCCCTGTGAGTTCTTGGAATGGATGTCCCTGGGCCTAAGACCCCCCCGGATTATCAGCCAGTGAAAGACTCTCACTATTTATTTCCTATATCTTTGGATGATGAAACACACTAAATCTAATTTTAGCTTATAGTAAGCATTTTGGGTCACTTATTTTTATAATTGTTTTTAATGAAAAGTTTGAAAACCAATTTTTTTTCTCATAATGGATTCCAAGAAACCTGAGTCAATCATCTACATAATTTATTCGACTTATTTGTAGTAGGTTAGATGAACAATAACATTGTTTAAGAAACTTCTTATTTGATCACTGCTTTGCATTTCACTGACCTTAAAATAAATTATATTTTCCTGAGAGCCAGAGACATTTTGTTCCTTACATGAAATGAAGTTCTACTTAAAACACACACATGTTGAGGGCCTGCTACATGCTAGCCATTGTTCTAGCCAAGGGGGTGGAAGGTACTCAAATTTTTTTTGCCATGTAGTCTCTTCCTTCATGTACTTCACGGCCTGGCCGGGGCCAGGGATCTGACCGGAATGACATAAACATATTAGACTCTTGTCAAACTTTAGCAGGCATATGAAATGCACTGCACATGAATCATCAATGGCATTTATTAAATACATCACAAGTGCTTGCTATTTCATAGGCAAATTACAGTTCAAGTTATTACATTAATGTTGTACAAATTATATTCATTTCTCTTATTAATTGATGAAGTTTCCAACTTTAGATCTCTGACTACCATAAAGTAATAGCTTTTGCACCTGGCTCTTAAACTAGTTTTGTTTGGCATAGAAGGAGCCTCTTTTGCTAAAAAAACAGATGGCCTCCTGATTTGTAGAATGAAATTACATTTTAAGGTGATATGCATTTAGATCACTAGACTTTGGCATATTTGCTTAAAAGCATAACATTATTTTATAGATAAGTCTTATGCATTGACAGCAATTTCACTCAGAAAGAAAAGGGAACAGTTAAAGATGAATGTTAATGTATGCTTTTAAATTTTTTTCTCCATGTCCCCTATGTCACTTTTTTTTTTTTTTTTTTTTTTGAGACAGGTGGAGGTTGCGGTGAGCCAAGAACGTGCCACTTCATTCCAGCCTGGGCGACAGAGTGAGACTTGGTCTCAAAAAAGAAAAGAATAGAAAATACATGAGAAAAGTGACTAGGGTTCTAATCCTGATTCAGTTATTAATTATATGGTTTTAAAAGGCAGAGTCTTGTTCTGTCACCCAGGCTGGAGTGCAGTTGTGCAATCTCGGCTTACTGCAACCTCCACCTCCTGAGTTCAAATGATTCTCCTGCCTTAGCCTCCCAAGTAGCTGGGATTACAGGCACGCACTACCTTGCTGTTTTTTGTATTTTTTAGTAGAGATGGGGTTTCACCATCTTGGCCAGGCTGGTCTCCAACTCCTGAGCTCAAGTGATCTGCCCACCTCAGCCTCCCAAAGTGCTGGGATTACAGGCGTGAGTCACTGTGCCTGGCCCCATATGTCACCTTTGATCTTCTGTTAGGAGAGCTGTACAATTTATATCACAATATGAATATTATTGGTTATTTCTACTTTCAAAATTATATTATTCATGGTATGCAGAGGTCAAAACTTTTTAAGAAAAAAGACATTATGCCTTTTTTTTTTTTTTGAGACAAAGTCTCGCTCTGTTGCCCAGACTATAGTGCAGTGGTGTGATCTTGGCTCACTGCAACCTCCGCCTCCCGGGTTCAAGTGATTCCTTGTGATCCGCCCACCTCAGCCTCCCAAAGTGCTGGGATTACAGGCATGAGCCACTGCGCCCTGCCAACATCATGCCTTTATAGCGTAATTTTTCTACATTGATTGAATTTATCATTATTTTCAATTCCACGTCTATTGCAAATAACCTTTTCTTCTGTCTCTAGGTTGTAAAGAGAGAGATCTTTGGGAATGTCCATCCAATAAACAATGTTTGAAGCACACAGTGATCTGCGATGGGTTCCCAGACTGCCCTGATTACATGGACGAGAAAAACTGCTGTAAGTGCTTATGCGAATTTGTCAACAGAGCATTTTTATTTTAAACACCAGTTAAGTCTCATTTTGAATACAAGCTAAAAGTGTGTAAATATGCATACAAATCTTTTAGTATTTTCACATCTTTTGATCAAACTCCACTTGTAAAGACATATTCTAAGAAGCCAACTAAATATGTGTAAAATATATACACTATAATATTCTTCTGGCATTATTTATAATATGAGAAAATCAAAATACCTCCAAATATCCAATAATAGGGAACATAAACTACAATCATAAAAGAAAATAATATACAAATATTAAAATTAAATTAGAGAAGAAAAATTTCTCTTGGATTCATTATATGTCATTAGTTGAGTAAAACAGAATATTCAGTATTATGTGCACTATTGTCCTGAGTTTTGAAAGTACATATATCTACACATAGAAAAAGATCAGAAAGTCATATTTAAAAGTTTACAGTTATAGTCTTTGGGTGGTATAATTATTAAATTTTTGTGCTTTTCTATCTTTTCTACATTTTCTAAGTGAATGGCCATTGCTTTTAGAGCCAGAAAATAATTATGTCTCTTAAGATGTTTTACCTACAAATAACAGAAAAGCCCAAATCAAAATGACAAATAATGAAGACATTTATCTTTTATTATCATATACATATCACATGTTTTATATTATCATATAGAGTCAAGTAGGTGGACTCTTGAGGCTGTATGCAGCAGTTTAGCACTTTGTCTGTGATTTTTTCAGTTCAGCTTCAACTCAGGCTGGCTCCCACAATGGTGAAAATATGACATTACCAAGGGCATCTGGGGCACCATGCTTCCTTGATCATGTCCAGCTGGAAGGAGGAAGAACTGTGTTCATATCTCCAAGATATCATTAAGGGATTCGCTCAGGTCAACTTTGGGCGGAGTCACAGCTAGCCGTCAGGAGTCTTTGTGTAGTTAGAAAAGACACTTCCTACAAACAGCTGAACTGCAAAAAGAAGCACCACGCAGGGAGAACCAATCAAAAAAAAGGTGCTGTTTTCTCCAGGTTGTTCCTGTCCCAGGCTAGGGCACATGGCACAGCAGCAGAGTTTGGGCAGGAGCTGTCCTGTGAAGCACAATCACACAACCGTAGGTCAAGGCCCTGATATCGGAGCACATGTTTACTCCTGGACTACTAATTGTATTCAGAAACAAACAAACAAAAAAACTGTAGACAGAAAAATGCCATGCCCAGCTTAAACTAATCAGGATCTTCCTTTGGAAGTGGGGATGGCTGGTGTAGGGGCCTGAACAAAATCGGGCTCCCTTAAAGAAAGGAGGGAGAAAGGAAATGGTTGTTAAGTAGGCAATCAAGGAGATTTACTATAATTTTTAAAACCCAAAAGAGAACTATGTATGACTCAGAGAGTCATTTAATAATAGAGATGGAAAAAAAAACTTATTATGCATCTCTGTGGACAGAGATTGTTTTCTATCTAAGGCGGCTTCAGTCTGTTCATCCCTCATGCTCTGCTCATGCAGATTTTAACCCCGTTCTCTGATCTTTGGTATTTCTGCGGCTGTGAGTACTGTTTATTCAGTCTGATTGTTAGAACCAGAACATTGAGTCACTTGAACATAGTAATTCTGTTTAAATGCTCTTTGTATGTATTGATGTCTATTAAATGATATTTTACAAATTATGTTATTCTGTTTTTATGCCCGTTTGGAAGCCTCAGTGATCACATATTTTCTTCTTTCCATGCTCCTGCTGGCACATGAAGATATGCATGTTAGTGATAATCACATTTATTTCTAAAATGTTTTCCTTCTCACTTTTTGTTCCCCATGCCAGCATTTTGCCAAGATGATGAGCTGGAATGTGCAAACCATGCGTGTGTGTCACGTGACCTGTGGTGTGATGGTGAAGCCGACTGCTCAGACAGTTCAGATGAATGGGACTGTGGTGAGCTACTTGTTTCTGCCATCTGTTGTACTCTCTCATGCCTGTCAGCCACTGAAGCTGAATGGATCCTAAATTACTTCCTGGATTTTACTGACCAAGTTCATCTATTTTGTTTTACTGTTATAAAAGCTGATAGTGCTGATCTATGTGTGTTATTTCCAACTCACAGAAAATTTCCCCACGAAGCTACTTCTCTATTTGAAATATCTATATTGTATGGAAAAACGTTTGGGTTCAAAATGTTGTAATCATATAATTGCTGGGAGAGGATTTAAAAACTCTTCATTAAAACCCAACTTCAATAAATTTAATGATAGTCTGCCATTCTTTTGTCACCTCTACCTGCTAGAATAGAATAGTCAAGTGGCCCCTCTGCCTTCCCTACACTCTTCAGGTCCAAGACTTCTAACTGTCTAGCTCCTTACACAGACAGGAATTAAAGACATCTCCTACCAGCACCTCCAGTGTTGCAGTTTGTGATCTTGAGTTTGATTAATTTCCTCATCCCACACTCATCACTCCTTCCATTCACTCAGCTCTTTCTCAGTCCTTTGCATCATCCAGCCAAATCATGATTCTCATGTGTGTTGTGATCAATTGTGCAGCGTTTCCTAAGTGCTCTGAGGCTGGTTAAGTACAGAGGATTCTCCTTTATATAATAGGAATTAACACATATACCAAATTAATCCTAAATTTGCATCCCTCTCACGCACTTGCGTTCTCGTATACTTTCTTGAAGGAAATGATAGAAATAGATTTACAACTCGCTTCTTGTAATTATGCAAATCCTGGTTAACTCATGGGATGAGGCCTGGCTCTGGCTGTCTTCTAACTCATTAAGAAAAGTTAAGAACTGCCTGTCTCTTTCATTAGAGTCTACGGTTCTTTGAGGGTAGAGAACATTTCTAATTCATTTTTTTTTTAGCCCTCTAGCACACTGAAGGCAGTGATTTGCACAGGGTAGGTACACATCAAATGATTAACTAAAATAAATGAAAATGAATGTATGCCAATGAAGCAGAGGCATGTAAAGTTATGTGCTTTCATGGGAAGAAATGTTTTTAATTAGGGTTTCCCTTGTCTTTTCTTTCCCTAGTGACCCTCTCTATAAATGTGAACTCCTCTTCCTTTCTGATGGTTCACAGAGCTGCCACAGAACACCATGTGTGTGCAGATGGCTGGCAGGAGATATTGAGTCAGCTGGCCTGCAAGCAGATGGGTTTAGGGTAAGGTCAGTAGTTTGTAGCACTGATGAATTTCTCAGAAGGCTTTGTGGAACTTGGCAGTAATATCTTCCTTAGGATGCACAGAGAGTTAGTGCTCTCAAACAAAGAGTCCTTCAAAACCCGGGAAATGAATCAGGTGAGAGGACCATATTTAATTATAGGCACCTGCCCTGAAGAGTGTGTGCTGGAAATGTACTTTGATGAAGCCTCTAAAAGTAAATGAAGTAATTGTATTTTAAGTACTTCTGCAATGAAATGCTTTCATTATTTATAAAAGCATTACAATCATTTCCTTTGAGGAATCTGGATGAAAATATCTTGTAATTTCCCCCCAAGAGGTTATTGAAAATTTCTTCTTAAGCAACACACATTTTTAAATAAGCTGAAGTTGCTGGCATTTCTGTTTACTCTAAGTAAGGCAGTAAATGTAAATCAAGAAATAGTTCAGTATATTTGCTTCTTAGTAGAATGAAAAGATTCACTCTGGCTTTGATACAGATATACTGAAATGGATCCTTTGAAAGTTAGATACTTGCTATTTTGTGAGGTTTTTCTTTTTCAATTCCATTGGGGGTGGAAAGCAATAATTTTCAGGGTCTTAGAATGTGTAAGTATTTCTTTTACCATTGATGTATTTGAGATTTGGGGGAAATGTAGAAATTAGAGAAATTGAAGACAAAGGAGTTCTAAAATTCTAGACTAAATAAAAAATTGAGTAAATGCCATTTCCTAAGATCCATTGAACAAACTTGAAACAATTTTACAATAATGAGTCATGCAGTTATGGGATAGCAACTAGCAGCACATTTTTGTTATCCTAGTTTAAAGAATTACTAATATGCAGCTCCCACCATCTTGAGTCCATTTCTCCCATGTGAAGACCAACATCTTTAGGAATTGAATAACTAATGCTCATCTATAATAAAGGAATTTTAAACTTTGTGAGAGTGGAAAAATTATATTTGCCAAGATCTATTAAATTAGACTTCATTCTCACAACTTCCTTATTGTGTCTAAATGAAATAGGTTATGATTGTGTTCAGAGATAAATGAAAAATCTTTTGAATATGGTTATTTTTATTTTTCTTCTCGATAAAACCTTATTGGTATAAGGTTGAAACTGCAAAGATTTTACAACCAGAAAGTCCTTTTGACAAGCCACCCTGAACATAGCTGTTCTATTGTAAATAGAAAGGTTCCTGTTTTTAAATATGCTTCTTTATGTTTCTTCTAAATATTTGCATATTGGGATTTTTATTGTGTTAAAATACACATCCATAAAATTCACCATTTAACCACTTTAAAGTGTATAATTCAGTGGCATTTACTTTATTCACAATGTTGTGCAACCATCACCACTCTTTGTTTTAGAACACTTTTATTATCCCAAAAGGAAACTGTGTACTCACTAGGCAGTTACTCTCCATTTTCTCGTACCCACTGGACCAGGTAACAACTAATCTGCTTTCTGCCTCTATAAATTGGCCTATTCTGGATATTTCAATATAAATGGAAATATACAACATGAGGCCTTTTCATCTGGTTTCTTTTACTTAGCACATTTTCAATCATCTGTCTTGTAGCATGTACCAGTACTTCTTTCCTGCTTGTGACTGAATAATATGCCATTAAATGGATATACATTTTGTTTATCCATTCAGACATTTGGATTATTCCCACCTTTGGCTATTGTGTGCACAGTGGATTTTTAAAAAATTATGTACTCCATTTGCTCCATTTTCTCAACATAGCTGGAAAATGAAACTTCAGTATTTTAGATATCTTTAGATATATAAAATTCAAATAGACATGCAGATACTTTTTATTTTAGATTATTTTATTTCACAGAAGGACTAGGAAAATCTGAGATAGAGGTGTGGTTGGAAACCCATATCCATTATTTGACTGATTTAATGGGAAAAATGGGTAAGTGGTGATAAGTCCTCCAAAGAAATGAGTACTAGTAGTTTTTGAACTTTTTAGTTGCCTTGAAGTTTACTCTTTAGTTGACTTGAGTGGCTCATGAATTGACAGAAATCTGGAGAGCCAGGCTATGCCGGGAATGATGGTAATGGTCAAGATGAGGCTATCTTCCTGCTGAGGGAACAGGCTCAGGCAGCTGCCATGTGACCACTGTCTCTCGAGACCAGCTGCTGTGCTGCAAATTCATGATTCTGCCACCGATGCCTCAAATAAACTCTAAGTCACCCTGCACCTTTGAGTCATTTCCTCCAGATCAAAGCCCTTGCTAGAAGGGTTTGTCTGGCCATGATTGGCCTATGCTGCACAAGGAGGGAAGTGGGAATGGTGTTCCTTCTTAGCTTCTGGAGTGGAGTTTATGCCAGCCTGCCTTTGTACATTCAGACATATTCTGCATCAAAAACTTGAAGTTTAAAAAGCAACTCCCAACTAATTCCATTCAGCATTCCCCTTCCCTTTTTATTTTTGAGTATCTGCTTATGGGCCTTGTACTGGACTAGGCATTGGGTCGAGGATGCAAAAGTGAATAACATCATCAGAGTTTATAATGGAGTGGGGAAGACATGTAGGTAAACAGCCAAGAACACAAAGTTAGAAAAAAGTCCAGATATTTTGCCATCAGAGAATGGTGTAGACTTATTGCATAGAACATGGCATTTCTATTAAAATTATACAAGAAAAACATAAAACTTTAATCTTATCTTGATAGTATAAATTTGTTGTATCACTCATTCATTCATCCGTTCATTCAGTAAACATTTATAGAGAACGGCATTGTAGTGTGTATGTAGGGTCCGGAACCAGCATACCCTAATTCCAAGTGGATCATTCTTCTACTTCAGGGGGTATATTTTGGAGGGAATTTATCAAGAATGCAGGTCTCCCAAATTTCATGGGTTGCAGGGATTCTACTGAAATGCTTTCATGATAGAGGCAGTTGATTTAAAACACCTGCACTTAGGATGTTTTAGACCCAAATTATGCCTTTCATGTGTTGCTGCTCAAATGCTAGGCTCTCAACTCAGTGCTTGTCTAGATGAGAAGATTTAGAGTTCTTTGTTGAATTTGAAAACTTTTTGCTTTCATCTGTTGCTATCTCAAGAGTTCAGCCCAGATTGGAAGTATGATGGCTCTCTGATTAGAAGAATGCATAAATCAAGCCCCTAAATTCTCATGGCAGCTGTATTAGTCCATTTTTATGCTGCTAATAAAGACATACCCGAGACTGGGAAGAAAAAGAGGTTTAATGGACTTACAGTTCCACAGAGCTGGGGAGGCCCCACAATCATGGTGGAAGGCAAGGAGGAGCAAGTCACATCTCACGTGTATGGTGGCACACAAAAAAGAGAGAGCTTGTGTGGGGAAACTCCCATTTTTAAAACCATATGATCTTGTGAAACTTATTCACTATCATGAAGACAGTACAGGAAAGACTTGCCCCCATAATTGAATCACCTCCCATTGGTTTCCTCCCATGATATGTGGGAATTATGGAAGTTACAATTCAAGATGAGATTTGGGTGGAGACACAGCCAAACCATATCATTCTGCCCCTGGCCCCTCCCAAATCTCATGTCCTCACATTTCAAAACCAATCATTCCTTCCCAGTAGTCCCCCAAAGTCTTAACTCATTTCAGCATTACCTCAAGAGTCCACAGTCCAACGTCTCATCTAAGACAAGGCAAGTCCCTTCCATCTTATAAGCCTGTAAAATCAAAAGCAAATTAGTTTCCTAGATACAATGGGGGTACAGGCATTGGGTAAATACAGCCATTCCAAATGGGAGAAATTGGCCAAAACAAAGGGGCTACAGGCCCCATGCAAGTCTGAAATCCAGCAGGGCAGTCAAATCTTAAAACTCCAAAATGATCTCCTTTGACTCCATGTCTTGCATCTGGGTCACACTGATGCAAAAAGTGGGTTCCCATGGGTCTTGGGCAGCTCTGCCCCTGTGGCTTTGCAGGGTACAGCCTCCCTCCTAGCTGCTTTCATGAGCTGGCATAGAGTGTCTGCGGCTTTTCCAGGCATATGGTGCAAGCTATCAGTGGATCTACCATTCTGGGGTCTTGAGGATGGTGGCCCTCTTCTCACAGCTCCACTAGGCAATGCCCTAGTAGGGATTCTTTGTGGGGGTCTCTGACTCCACATTTCCCTTCCACACTGCCTAGCAGAGGTTCTCCATGAGGGCCCCACCCCTGCAGCAAACTTCTGCCTAGGCATCCAGGCATTTCCACACATCTTCTGAAATCTAGGCAGAGGTTCCCAAATCCCAATTCCTGACTTCTGTGCACTCACAGGCTCAACACCATGTGGAAGCTGCCAATGCTTGGGGCTTCCACCCTCTGAAGCAACATCCTGAGCTGTACCTTGGCCCCTTTTAGTCATAGCTGTCATGGCTGGGACACAGGGCACCAAGTCCCTAGGCTGCACACAGCACAAGGACCCTGGTCCCAGCCCATGAAACCACTTTTTCCTCCTAGGCCTCTGGGCCTGTGATGGGAGGGGCTGCCATGAAGACCTCTGACATGTCCTGGAGACATTTCCCCATTGTCTTGGGGATTAACATTCTGCTCCTCGTTACTTCTGCAGCCAGCTTGAATTTCTCCTCAGAAAATGGTATTTTCTTTTCTATTGCATTGTCACGCTGCAAATTTTCCTAACTTTTATGCTCTACTTCCCTTATGAAAATGAATGCCTTTAACAGCACCCAAGTCACCTCTTGAATGCTTTGCTGCTTAGAAATGTCTTCTACCAGATATCCTAAATCATCTGTCAAGTTCAAAGTTCCACAAATCTCTAGGGCAGGGGCAAAATACCACCACTCTCTTTGGTAAAACATAACAAGAGTCACCTTTGCTCCGGTTCCCAACAAGTTCCTCATTTCCATCTGAGACCACCTCAGCATGGACTTTATTGTCCATATCGCTATCAGCATTTTGATCAAAGCAATTCAACTAGTTTCTAGGGAGTTCCAAACTTTCCTACATTTTCCTGTCTTCTTCTCAGCCCTCCAAACTTTTCCAAATTCTGCCTGTTACCCACTTCCAAAGTTGCTTCCACACTTTTGGGTATCTACAGCAGCACCCCACTCTGCTGGTACCAATTTACTGTATTAGTCCATTTTCACACTGCTGATAAAGACATTCCTGAGTCTGGGAAGAAAAAAAGAGGTTTAATGGACTTACAGTTCCATATGGCTGTGGAGGCCTCACAATCATGGCAGAAGGTGAGAAGGAGCAAGTCACATCTCACGTGGATGGCAGCACACAGAAAAGAGAGAGCTTGTGCAGGGAAACTCCCATTTTTAAAACTGTCAGATCTCCTAAAACTCATTCACTATCATGAGAACAGCACAGGAAGACCCACCCCCATAATTCAATCACCTCCTACCAGTTTCCTCCCATGACATGTGGGAATTGTGGGAGTTACAATTCAAGATGAGATTTGGGTGGGGATACAGCCAAATCATGTCAACAGCATATTGACTTTGCTACTTGCATGTTCAGTATCAAAAAACCTATGGACATTTATTTAATTGATGATACAAATCAGAGTTTAGACTGCCTTCTAATATTTGCCAAATGCTCAGTTGAAACATCTGGTATTTGAGTGAGTTAGTCTAAGGGAAAGGTGACTCTTTATATCTCTGGGCTCCACAAGCTTTATCTAAAGTTAGATAATCGGGAAACAGTGTGTCTGGGTCATATGATTTTGGCAAAAATGCTTTTATGGAGTTAGTTGCAATTTGATTTTATGCCCTAATCTTTTAGTGTTGGTCAATAGAAGTTGGTCAAACATTGTTTTCAAAGAATATTTCTGTATCTGGGCAAAACCACAAAGACAACATCTATTATATTACCTACTAGTCCCTAATAATCCCTGGTATAAGGGTTTACACTTTAACTTCCTCCTAAAATTTACTCCCAGTCATCACCATGGTTGCAGCATTGTCTTGGACATGATATGAATGGATCCTGGGTAAATAAGAACATGATTTATAACTTGAATAATCCATCAGGAGTTGACCAAAGAGGGCTTGTATTATTTCTGTTAGAAGCCCTTGTAAGGAAGCAGTCTGCTTTTGAAGCTAGATATGCCAGGAGACCCTTAGTAATGACTTAACTTCTGATAAGGTGTCTTTTTCATGTTGTCTTCAAAACCTACTGCAATCTGGCTTTTACCTGAAAGACAGGACTGACAGCAATAATATTACCAACATGCAAAAGCCTTTGGTCTTCTTTTCTTACTATTTTACAGTTTGGACTGAAAATCTGATTTCTTACTCTGACCTGTCAGACACTGCATAATTTGGCCCCTGCCTTCCTCTCTGACCCAATACATATCCTAGTATTCTCCACTTGCCCACTAAACTTTAGACACATTGACCTTAATATTGATGTTAAAACATTTCAAGCATAAAACATTTCAAACTTTCCTTCACCGTTATTTTTGCATAGAATACAGAACTCTAGGGCTTCATCATTCATGTCTCAGCTCATACATCTGTGACTTAGGCTTTCTTTGACAATCCTACTTGAGGCAGCTTTCAGTCTCAGCATGTAACTCTATCACATTTGGTTATTTTGTCTTATTCCAACAACTTATCAGTATCCAAAATAGTTTTTTACATGTTTGTAATTTGTTCCTCTAACTAAAATAATAGCTCCTCAGAGAGGGACTCCATCTGATACAACACCAATCTGTTGTCTCCATTTCTGTCCCACCTCATTAACCTCTAAGCATCAGTTTTAACCCTTGTCTATCTGGCTCTGTCACTTGTTTAAAGTGTCACTATAATGTTTCTTCTGAGCTCCAACTCACTTTATATCAGCTTGAACACTCACTGATTAACCCATTGTATCATTAATAAACATGTCAAATCTAATTTCAACCTAATCTTTTACATTTCCTATGTCTTCTTAAAACTAACATACAAACTGAAGAACATGTAGAATCTTGACTCTCAAGAACAATGAACTAACACATTTCAATTAAGATCACATGCAGCGGGCACATATTGTGTTGCTTCTCTGCATTCCTCCCTTCCTTTGGGACCTACATCCCTTCCTTCTCGATATTTACTTCACTTCCCATTTTATCCTTGGGCTCCAAATGGGAGCAACCTTCTTTGTACATGACTTTCTCTTTTGGGTCTGGGATTGGTTGAGGGGTAGGTACCTATCCCAAGATGGACCAATCAAAGTGTCTTACTGCCAGGCCAAAGTAATTGGTTTTGGGATACTTGTTTCTTCAACAAGATTTTTATTTGTATCTTCAACAAGGTTTTTATTTGTTTATTTATTTAAGACAGAGTTTCGCTTTTGTCACCCAGGCTGGAGTGCAATGGTGTGATCTTGGCTCACTGCAACCTCCACCTCCCAGGTTTAAGTGATTCTCCTGCCTCAGACTCCTGAGTAGCTGGGATTACAGGCACTCACCACCATGCCTGGCTAATTTTTGTATTTTTAGTAGAGATGGGGTTTCACCATGTAGATCAGGCTGGTCTTGAACTCCCGACCTCACGTGATCCACCTGCTTTGGCCTCCCAAAGTGCTGGGATTACAGGCGTGAGCCACACCCGGCCCAAGATTTATTTTGATTGGACCTGGGAGAGATGACTTCTTTCTTTTTTGGTTATAAAGACGAATGCCTGTGAGTTTAGAGCTGTAGGCAACCAGTCCTTTGGCTTGCAGAAAAGTTACTTTAAGCCAATCAAGCTGCCATCCCCTTTGCCCTCCTCCCCACAACACAGAAGGAAGTGGAGACGAGCTGAAGAGCCTTGAGGGTACTGGTTCCCTGGCATCAATCATCCTGAAGACCATCCACATCTCTTTAGTAATCAATTACATTTCCACTTTTTGATACTCATATATTCCAGCACTATTTTAGGCATTTTTAAAATGCCGATTTTTTAGTTAATTCAATATTTGTTTAATTTTTTTTGAATTTTGAATTAATTTATCTTGTAATGGATCCATATAGTTATATACTGACTTAAAACTTTGAAGTGAAAAGTGATGCACGTATTTTTAGAAAGCATTTTTATATTCCTGTTATACTCAAGAAGAAGAGAAGAGCAGCCAACAAAGCAAGACTTGTGTTAGAAAAATACATTCTACTCTGGTTCACAGTCTTTCTGAAGAACTGGAATTTAAAAAGTCATGTTGAAATTGAAACTGATAATCTCTAGCTTTACATGATGAAACAAAAGATGTGAAGATAAACAAGAAATATTTTCTTTGAAACTAAAATTAAATTGTCAATAAAATGTTGCATTTCTGTCTCTCAAAAAAAAGTGTTGTCCCAAAAGGTCAAGTTCTCGAAAAAAGGAGATGAGATTTTTGAAAATAAAATAGCCAGAAGGAAATATCTGGACTGGCATAGATTCCAAAAGAGGTAGACACTTCTGCTCAAAAATATTCTTACAACATGTTTATTTTATAAGACTGAATTTTATATATGTTCAAATGATATTTTCATTCAAAATGTTTATGATTGATTATTTTTACACTTTTAATAAGATGTTTATTTTAAATGGTGCTTTATTTTATTAATTTTGTTTTCTAATTTATATTAGAATGATAATGTATATTTAACAGTCATATTTTATAAATTTAAATTTTAGTTCACATTACAATTTTGTAATTTTTATATTGGAAATGGATTAAATATTTAGTTTTGTTTATTAGTTTATTTTATGAAATATAAATACTCTGCAAGTTAATTTTATGATCCATTAACCTCCCCCCTTTGCTTTGAGATAGTTTTGTCATTTGTACCTATAGATCCTTGCCTAATACAGTTACTACACTCCATCTCTGAGATAGACAAACACATAGTCAAAGAATAAAATTATAGGCTGGGCGCAGTGGCTCACGCCTATAATCCTAGCACTCTGGGAGGCTGAGGCATGTGGATCACTTGAGGTCAGGAGTTCGAGACCAGCCTGGGCAACATAATGAAACCCCACCTCCACCAAAAAGTACAAAAATTAGCCGGGCGTGGTCGCATGAGCCTGTAGTCCCCAGCTACCCAGGAGGCTGAGGCAGAAGAATTGCTTGAACCTGGAAGGTGGAGGTTGCAGTAAGCTGAGATCACGCCACTGCACTCCAGCCTGGGCGACAGAGTGAGACTCCATCTCAAAAAAAAAAAATCTATCTAACTATCTATCTCTATCTATCTATCTATCTATCTATCTATCTATCTATCTATCATCTATTGTCAGTTAGGATTGCAATAAAAAGTGTTTTTAAAATACTGAGTTAACTAGAAAAATAAGCTCAGAACTTATGCTCTGCTTTAAGCATTTCTATTGATGAAAGTTTTGCTGTATAAACTCCCATTGAACTGAGCTATCCAGCCTGAGAAATGTTTCTGTAGCAGAGTTCATTCATGTTTTGTTTGAAACCTATTAGTACCTGCCTGTTAAAATTTCTACTTGACACAATAACTTTCAGTTATTAGTATGTCAAATCTGTGGGACCCAAACAGGGAGAATATGACAAGATTCAAGAAGAGATTTTTGAAATCAGATACAAAATGTTTAGTATAAATGTTTCAAGTTTGGAACAGGATATTTAGAATTGCAAAAAATTTATCTTATCCACTGTGAAAGGCATTTATATGTCAAGATGAACTGTCAAGGACTGAGGCTGGATGCTTAGATTATTTTCCCCCATCAATAGATGGAAGAGGACAAACCTTATCCTTCAACTGAAGTGTGTTACATGTCTAGGTAATTCCTGCACTTCTGTCTTGTTGTTAGAGGTAAGAAAAAAGCCCTGGTTTTGGGGGAATTTGTGATGACCTTCGTTTTTTAAGTAAGCAGCCCCAACATAATCATAATTCAAGCATGGGATATTTATTACTAAACGAAGTGACTTGAGGATGGGAGAGTAGGCCAAATTGTCTAGGGATCTGGCTGTTCTCCTAAGCCTTGAAATATTTAATCCCTCTCATAATGTCAGGATGTTCCAGAACTCCTAATGAGCTCTGTTCTCTCATTTCAGCATCAGAAAAGTGATATATTTGTATGTGTGTCTTATGACTACACAATTCCTCAAGAAGCAAATATAAGGCAAATCCTTTTGCTTCTCTGTATAGCACTGCCTTCAGGCCCAGAGCAGAGGGGCCTTGCCCTGGGCTCCATGATTTAGAGCAGTGGTTCTCAACCAGGGGTGACTTTGCCCCTAGGGTAGCAATCCCCAACCTTTTTGGCACCAGGGACTGGTTTTGTGGAAGACAATTTTTCCACAGACTGGGATGGGATGGGGGGAATGGTTTTGGCATGATTCAAGCACGTTACATTTATTGTGCACTTTATTTCTATTATTATTACATTATAATATATAATGAAATCATTATACTACTCACCATAATGTTGAATCAGTGGGAAACCTGAGCTTGTTTTCCTGCAACTAGATGGTCCCATCTGAGGGTGATGGGAGACAGTGACAGATCATCAGGCATTTGATTCCCATAAGAAGCACGCAACCCAGATCCCTTGCATGCGCAGTTCACAATAGGATTCACACTCCTGGGAGAATCTAAGGCCACTAATTGGACAGGAGGCGGAGCTCAGGCAGTAATGCCTGTGATGGTGAGCAGCTGTAAACACAGATGAAGCTTTGCTGGCTTGCCCCGCACTCACCTCCTGCTGTGTGGCCTGGTTCCTAACAGGGGCCCTGGGGCTGGGGACCCCTGTCCTAGGGGACATTTGGAATGTCTGTAGACATTATTTTTTAAATTGTAAATCCAGGGTTGATGGGGTCTTACTTGCTAGTGGGTAGAAGCCAGGGATGTTACAAAACATCCTGCAGTGCACAGGAATCACTCTACATAGCAATTAATTAACTGGTATAACTTGTCAATAGCATTTAGGGTGAGAAACCCTGATTTATAGGCACCCTCCGGCCCTCCTCCTCTAGCTCACCCCATGGGGTAAGGACTCTGTTAGCCAAGGAGTTCTGCTCACATGGAGCCTCATCCCTTTTCTAGAGTGATGCTTTCAAAGTGCGGTCTCAGACCAGCATCATCATCATCACCTGTGATCTTGGTAGAGAGACAGATTTTGGGTCCCATCTGAGACTTAACTGAATCAGAAAATCTGGGGATGAGGCCAACAAATCTGTGTTGTAACAGGTCCTCCAGGTGATTCTGATGAATGCTAAAGTTTGAAACCCACTGTTCTCAGGAGTCCAAGAGTTCTGTATTTGAACCTAACAGATGTGTTTGTCAAGAGAGGAGGAGAGAAATTTTCTTTAACAGCTTGATAACTTGATTTATAACTTCTAAATATGTAGACAAATGGCAATTGGGCCTCCACTGGTACTCTTGCCCTAGCTGCTGGATTAGATCATTGCTAAAATTTCCTTCTCCGTGTATGAATCCATAGATGCTATGGAAGCATTTTGAGTCTGTATTACCTGCACAGACTCAGTTAGGATACAGTGACTTTGATGCTTAAATTTTCTCTTTTGCTTTCTACACAACAGGACTTTTTTGTCTTTTCATATAATACAAAACGGTTTCAATTATTTAAGTCAAAAGCAATCCCAATCATCAAACAAAATTTGAGCAGCTCTTAAGTTCCAGCCACCTTTTACGTAAGATGATTTACATAGTTTTAAAAATGGAGAAGTACAGGCACACATATTCTTGATGTGCATGTATATTACTATTATTCTTTGAAATGGAAGTTCATAATACCAATCAAAAATTCAAATTTTGATTCAATGATTTTATTTCTAGGAATTTATTCCAAAATCATACTTTTGCATGTAGGCGAAGGTGAATGTTTACGATATTAACTGCTGCTATTTTATCATACCCCCAAACCTATGTGTGCAGAGATTAGTTAAGTAAATGTATGAACATCCATGTAACAAACACTATGCAGCTATCAAAAGAACATGGTGTGCTGTCAATGGGGGAGAACTGTGTAGGGTTCACACTTTAAGAACTGTACTCTGACATGAGACCATAGGGATTAAATTACCAGCTTTGCCGTCTGCTTGTTTTGTGCCTTGGGCATGTTACTTGTTTTCTCTACCTCAATTTTTTCATCTCCAAAATGGGAAATAATTATAAAGTCTACGTCACAGAGTTGTTGAGATGATTAAATAAAACAAGTTAGTCTTTTAGTGCTTGTCATATAGAAAACAGTTAACACCTGTTAGCTGTTATGGTGGAAAGACTTCTAAGATAAGTCACTAAGTGAAAGTATCAAGACCACACAGAACAACGTGTGTAGCAAAGGAGGGAAATGTATACATGAATTGTAGAAAGAGCTTGACAAAGATACTCAAACACTATTTACAGTGGTTGTTTCTATGCATCTAAGATAGGAAGAAGACAACTTTTTCATTTTATAATTGTTGATATGATAGGAGAAGAAAACAACTTTATCATTTTATAATTGTCGATATATTTTTCTGTGTACAAGTATTACTTTTATAATTTTCAAAGTTATTTAAAAAAACCATATATCCAATGAGGTTAGTATCCAAAATACATAAGGAACTAAAATAATTCAACAGCAAAAAGCCAAATAACCTGATTGAAAAGTGGACTAAGGACCTGAACAGACATTTCTAAAAGGAAGACATAGAATGGCCAACAAATATAAGAAAAGGTGCTCAGCATTACTAATCATCAGGGAAATGCAAATTAAAATCACAATGAAATGTCACCTCATATCTGTTAAAATGGTTATCATCAAAAAGAGAAAACATAAAAAATGTTGGGGAGAAGTGGAGAAGGGGAAACCCTATATATTCTTGGTAGAAATGTTAATTGGTACAGTACTTATGAAAAACAGTATGGAGATTCCTCAAAAAATTTAAAATAGAACTACCTACCATATGATCCATCAATCCCACTTCTGGGTATATATCTAAAGGAAATAATTATCTCAAAAAGACATCTGCACTCTCATGTTAATTGCAGCACTCTTCATAATACCCAAGATATGAAAACAACTTCAGTGTTTGCTGATAAGTGAATGGATAAAGAAAATGTGATGCCACATTTTCTTTACACAATAGAATATATATTTCTTTATACAATAGAAATTTTATGCAAAGAATACACATACACACACTACATTTTCTTTACACAATAGAACACTACTCAGTATTCTTAGAAGGAAATTCTGCCATTTGAGACAACATGGATAAACTTGGAGGACATATTAAGTGAAATACGCCAAGCACAGAAAGACAAACACTGCATGATCTCATTTATATGTGGAATCTAAAAAAGTCAACTTGTAAATGCAGAGAGTAGAATGTTAGTTGCCAAAAACTAGGGGATGGAGAAAATGGGGAGATGGTCAAAGGGTACAAAGATTTGGTAATGTGGAATGAATAAGTTCCGGAGATCTAATGTACAACATGGTGACTATAGTTAACGATGCTAAATTGTATACTTGAAATTTGCTAAGATTCTTGGCCTTAGTGTTCTTAACACACACACACACACACACACACACACACACACACGTAACTATGTGGTGATAGATATGCTTCTTAGCTTGATTGTGGTAGCCATTTCACAAGGTATACATATATCAAACATTACATTACACCCCTTAAATATGTACAATTTTTATTTGTTAAGAATGCCTCAATAAAGCTGGAAAAAAAAGAAAGGGAAATTGAAGTTATGGAGATGCTCAGATTCTGTACGATGGCAGAAATACAACCAAACAAATTCACTGACTTTTTTAAATGGGCCATTGGATGACATTTCTGGTGCTGAAAGTTTATGTTTGTGCATGAGAAACATGCCAGTGTTCAAGAATTTCATGGAAACCTAATTTTCATAATGATACTCCCCTATCCTTGATGATTAATTTCTTAAATTTTCCACTTATAACTGAGAAATTCCATCTAGATTGCCTTTCCTCTTGGAAGCTAATGAATGAAATGCAAAAACATCCTGTGGATGTCTGTGGAGCCCTTCCTCAGGGCAGCTGGGGGCCTTTTGAGTTGAAAGGCTGGTGTTCCTTGCAATGATTTTCCTATCCAGCATCAGTGCACACTCTCTCCTAATTGCACTCCCCATGCAAGTATCTTGTTGCCCTATGAATACCTGATTTAAGAATGACCTGATTAAATAACAAAATCTAAAGTTTATCTTCTTTTGGCTTTACCTGGATTTAGGAGGTCCATAGGTAGTTCTATCGCAGAAGGGAATTCTCAGGATGCAGGTTATCAGGAGAAACACCATGACCAGTATGTGTGGCCTCTGACTTTTATACTTTCCATCTCACTTTGCCTCTGCATTCAGAACTTCTGGAATTGATGGAGAGCCGGATTCATTTTGGCCAAGAAAAAGAAAAATTCTTATTTTTGTAAGAGGTTTTTTTGATATCTTCGGTAATCTAACAGTCAATTCAAATTTCTAAATAAATTTATATCTTAAGCCACTCTTCTTCATTGTGGCTAGGATGTATGACATTTGTTTTAAAATCAAATGTTTATAATTCATTCATTATGAAATACTCTTGTGTTTTTAATCTTTGGCTCTTATTCTATCATCAAGTATTCCCTTTAGAGGGTTCTTCCTTGCCTTTTTAAAAGTATGAGTTAGGGGAAGTTTTTGTCCATTTTCTATTATGTGATTACAATAGTTTAAAAATAATAATCAGATGAGGCCAGGTGCCATGGTTCATGCCTGTAATCCTAGCAGTTTGGGATGCTGAGGTGGGCAGACCACTTGAGGTCAGGAGTTTAAGACCACCCTGGACAACATGGTGAAACCTCATCTCTACTAAAAATATAAAAATTAGCTGGGCGTGATTGCATGTACCTGTGATCCCAGCTACTTGGGAGGCTGAGGCAGGAGAAGCACTTGAACCCTGAGGCAGACGTTGCAGTGAGCCGAGATTGTACCACTGTACCCCAGCCTGGGCAACAGAGCAAGACTTCATCAAAAAAAAAACAACAACAACAACAACAACAACCTACAAACATAGAAATATTACAATTCTTACAACTTTTATGCTGTCTAAATAAATGCTAAATGGCCACTGATTCTCTTTATGTGTTGTTTATTTTATTTTATATTGCTATATTGCAGAATTACAATGGACAAGAAAAGAGGAGGAAAAAAACCTAGCTAGATACATTTTATTTTACTTTTGATCTCTGCCTAAAGTTATTCTTATGTTTTACCTGTTGGAACTTTTGTATCATACACATTATAATCCTAACACCTCATGCAGTTCAAACACAGGTCAGCAGGGAGAATGACTAAAACAGCTCTAACAATTTGTAACAGTCCAAATTCTCCTCTTGAAATGTTGACATGATTTAGTGCTTCTTTTTGAAAGGGAATGAGTGCTAAATAATGATAATGCCTGTTCAAAGATCATTGTACTTTGAATACTTATCCAGTATTTGCCTTGTATCAGAGAACCATCTGTGACCAAATTGATACAGGAACAGGAGAAAGAGCCGCGGTGGCTGACATTACACTCCAACTGGGAGAGCCTCAATGGGACCACTTTACATGAACTTCTAGTAAATGGGTAAGAATGCATTCATAAGAGCTGTGTAGAGTCAGATTACAGAGCAAGAGTTTATCATTGGGCCTTTCTTCCATTTTTTAACTTAAGATAATCCAAATTTGTCATATCAGTAAAGAGTTTCCATAGATTTACTATTGCCTTTACATTTCAACATTGGTTGCTTTTATTTCTTCTTTCTAGACATAGATTTTTTTTCTCTTTTATTCACGATTACAGAAACTATCATGGCGAGGAGAGAGGAACTTGGGTTCTAATCTTGGATTACTTTTAATATCTTATTCAAAATAAACCCTCATGTCTGCATTTCCTGCAGATGCTACATAGAACTAGTAAACAGAGGGAACTGAAGTAATGATAACTAAGAAAACTTGGAATGTCTAAGAGAGGAATAGACACAAAAATGAAATTATAATCAAGTTGCCTTGAAAGTACACTTAAGTTTACCCTAAAAAATCATTGCATCTTAAACAGGGTTGCTTCCCTTGTCTATGGGTGGGGTGTAGGAGGAAGATAAATTGAGGAAATTTACACTTACTAAGTTCTTATTACTTTATAGGCACACAGCTAGGTAATCTTATATACACTGACTCGTTTAAACCTCATAATAGATTTGTGAACCATGGATGATTATCCAATATTTTACAGCTTGAATATTTAAATAACTTGCTCAAATCTCACAGCCCACAGATGCTAAGTGATAGTGTCTGAACTCTAAATAAATATATCTGACTCTGAAGCTCATAAATGTTGCTACTTCTTAAGAATTTTAAAGAGGAAAACTAAAAATGGACCATTTCCTCTTAAAAAGTTCTTGACATTTTCCTCATAAAACAAACTCTGCAGCCAAATTTCTGAATATTTGTCAATTGAAGTACTTCCTCTAAAACAATGACCTAAATCTTTTAACCAAGTGATTTGTTTCCCCAAACCTGTAATTCCAGAAAAAACCTTTCAGGTCAAGTAAATAAATAAATAAATAATGCATTCTAGATTGGGAGTTGGTAAACTTGGTTCTAGTCCTGGTTTACTAACTACAAGTGTTATCTTATATAACTGCAATTTCCACTAAGAAGTTGGATGAATAGTCTTTGATGACTTTTCCTATTCCTAAGAGCTATGTGTTTTCAATCTAACAAATAACAACTAATTATTAAGTATTTCTTTAATGCCAAGTTCAGTATTAGGCTTTGAGGGGATGTAGAAGTGAATGAGGGGAAATGAAGGCCCTCATCTCAGGGAACATACACTATATGGGGGTGAAAATAAAGATTATAAATTAGTAAAAATAATTTTAGGCTTTGGTAAGTGCTGCAAATAAATTTAGAATAATGTAATAGAGAGTAAGGAAGAGAGGATTTTAGACTGTGGGAGGGTAGAAAGCAAATGAGCTTTTCCTGTATTACATAATTTATTGTATGCAAATAATTGCACTTGCCCCTACATAAATTTAGCAAGAAATGAAAATACAGTAAATCTTCAGAAAGGAATGTGGAAATTATATATTTAGGGTTGCATTTTTTTTTTTCAATCTGATAGATCTAGGATTCTAAGTACATCATAGTATTTTTGAAAGTCCCAATATGGATTTTTATTGTCCTTTTTCATTTACATTGAGGTTGTAATGTAAATGTTTCATGGTTGGAAGAGAACTTAGTGATTAAAATTTCTACCCCAAACTGAATTATCTTGTGCCATCACATTGAAAGATCCTTTAACAGGGACCATGTTCTTGCATTCAAAGTTGAATTTAGATTTTAGAAAATTCTTTTCCTGAACCCACAATTCTTGTAAATTGCACCTACTAGTTCTGATCATGTCGTCTAAAGTTATATGAAGCAAATTTAAGCTACTTTTCCTCTTGTCAACTTCTCATATAGCAGAAATTTAACCTTGAGAGTCTTGGTAAGACTCCTTTCCAGTCTAAATATTCCATTTCTTAATCTGTTCTTCAAATTTCTGAAGTCATATTTTACTCATCTTGGAGTATTTCTCAACTTGTTTTGAGCACACACCACTTTGTATAAGCATAAAAATCTGACATGCTGCCTCCTCACCACTGACTCTAAAAAGTACTCCCATCTCCCCTTGAGAACTGTAGTTTGAATTTGCATTGTGGTGGTTCCACCAGCCAAAATGATGTGGGAAATTTTGTTAAAATAGTTTCTTTTCCCACAAATGTGAAATTAAATTATGATGACATTAAATAAACTAAAAAAAGAAGTATATATATTCCATATACTCCTGCCTACAACATGATTAATATCTGACCACACTCCTGCCTTGAGAATTCCTGCACCAAGAGGAATGTGCTTTCCTGTGGTAACACAGGAAATGCTCAGAGAATGTGATTTCTGGTGGTAACAGTTGGAGCTGTCTTGTATTTCACTGGTAAAGTGTTTGAATTGAACAAGAAATATGTAACTTAATGTTATACCATTTTATGTTTCCAAATCCAGGCAGTCTTGTGAGAGCAGAAGTAAAATTTCTCTTCTGTGTACTAAACAAGGTGAGAGAATTAGAGGTGTGGCAATGGGATATGAACTTAATTGAACTGGATTGGCTCAGGGGAAGAGTGATCGCTTGTAAGTGACAGCAAAGAGCTAAGCATTTAGCAAGGTTTGGCATCAACTCACAAACTGTGTCTTCTGCTCCTTGGTAGACTGTGGGCGCCGCCCTGCTGCCCGAATGAACAAAAGGATCCTTGGAGGTCGGACGAGTCGCCCTGGAAGGTGGCCATGGCAGTGTTCTCTGCAGAGTGAACCCAGTGGACATATCTGTGGCTGTGTCCTCATTGCCAAGAAGTGGGTTCTGACAGTTGCCCACTGCTTCGAGGGGTAAGCTGCACCTTTCCTTTTTTCCTTTGCCTGGATTTGATCACTTTGTCACTCGGGAATTCTCAGTGGCATATGTAACTCCATGAAGCCACATCCAGGCGAAAGCCACAGCTAATCTACTTCCCAGGCCTTTATCTTCCTAAAGTTTTCTATCCTTGATGTTGCCATCTAATATGTGGGCTGCTCATTTGTTGGAAATGGCTGCATATTGCTTCCAATTTTTGTCCTAAGAGAGAGAAAGAAGTTTAGAAGACTGACTCTATGCTACTATTAGTCTCTTTTCTAGACCTCTTAAATATATCACATATATAATAACTTAAACAGAAGTGATTTATTTGGATACTACAATGAGGTTTGGATGCAGGCGCAACTGGTGAGTAGTTTGGGAAGCAGAGTTAAAGGTATAATGTGTGTAATATGTGTGCTATTCAGAGAGAGTGTGTGTGTGTGTGTATATATATATATATATATATAGAGAGAGAGAGAGAGAGAGAGAGAGAGGTTATGTTATGCCATTTTATGTTTCCAAATCTAGGCAGCCTTGTCATAGCAGAAGTAAGATTTCTCTTCTGTGTGCTGAACAAGGTGAGAAAATTAGAGGGGTAGCAATGGGAAATGAACTTAATTGAACTGGATTGGCTCCGAGGAAGAGTGATCACTTGAGCCCATCCAAACCAAACCAAACCAAAACACAGACAAAACAATGATGACAAACAAAGGTTTGTTTTGACATAATTGGCTTATGTGATTCTGGAGGCTTGGTGAATCCAAAACCTGATGAGGTAGGTGGCAGGCAGGAAGATCGGGCAAGAGTTGCAGTTCAATCTGCTGGCAGAATTCCTTCTTGCTGGAGAGGTCAGTCCTTGTTCTATTCAACCCCATCAAAAAGTGGGCGAAGGACATGAACAGACACTTCTCAAAAGAAGACATTTATGCAGACAAAAAACACATGAAAAAATGCTCATCATCACTGGCCATCAGAGAAATGCAAATCACAACCACAATGAGATACCATCTCACACCAGTTAGAATGGCAATCATTAAAAAGTCAGGAAACAACAGGTGCTGGAGAGGATGTGGAGAAATAGGAACACTTTTACACTGTTGGTGGGACTGTAAACTAGTTCAACCATTGTGGAAGTCAGTGTGGCGATTCCTCAGGGATCTAGAACTAGAAATACCATTTGACCCAGCCATCCCATTACTGGGTATATACCCAAAGGACTATAAATCATGCTGCTATAAAGACACATGCACACGTATGTTTATTGCGGCATTATTCACAATAGCAAGGACTTGGAACCAACCCAAATGTCCAACAATGATAGACTGGATTAAGAAAATGTAGCACATACACACCATAGAATACTATGCAGCCATAAAAAATGATGAGTTCATGTCCTTTGTAGGGACATGGATGAAATTGGAAATCATCATTCTCAGTAAACTATCGCAAGAACAAAAAACCAAACACCGCATATTCTCACTCATAGGTGGGAATTGAACAATGAGATCACATGGACACAGGAAGGGGAATATCACACTCTGGGGACTGTTGTGGGGTGGGGGGAGGGGGGAGGGATAGCATTGGGAGATATACCTAATGTTAGATGACGAGTTAGTGGGTGCAGTGCACCAGCATGGCACATGTATACATATGTAACTAACCTGCACAATGTGCACATGTACCTTAAAACTTAAAGTATAAAAAAAAAAAAAAGATTTTTATCTGAATGGGTAAGGCCCATCCACATCATGGAATGTCATCGGCTTTACTCAAAGTCCGCTGATTTAAATATTAATCTCATAAAAAAAAACACCTTCACAGAAACATATAGAATAATGTTTGGCCAAATATTTGGGTGCTGTGGCCCAGCCAAATTGATACATAAAATTAACCACCACAATATGCCTAAAGAGAGCAGAAGAATAAAACTAAGGGAAAACCTACCCCAAACTGACGAACATCACTGCAGAATCTCTTCCAGCTATCTGTTGCTATGTAATTTGTAGCAAAACAAAACAAACAAAACCAAACATAAACAAAACAATAACAACAAACAAAAACTCAGACATTTATTATGCTCACTGAAGATTCAGACAAAGTGTAGTTGGCGTAATTTGTCTCTGCTCTGTGATTTCTGGGGCCTCAGCTAGAAGATTCCAAAGCTAGGGAGAGGCTGGCACCATCTGAAGTCTGACAGTAGATGCTGCCTGTTGGCTGGGGCCTCAGTTCCTCTCTGTATGAGACTCACTTCATGGTGGCTGGCATCCTCCAAAGCAAGCTTCCCAAAAAGGAAGCCAGGAAGAAGTTGTATTACCTTTTTTGACTCAGCATCCAAAAGCACAAAATGTTGCTTCTCCTATGTGGTTGCCCAGAGCCATCAGTCACAGGCCCCACCTAATTCAAAGGGAAGAAACACAGACCTCCCACATCAAAGGACTTGAGGACAGGTTTTGAAAACCACCATACTAGCCATTTTATTGTATTTATTTTTAGTAATTTTACTTTATTTAAATGAAGTAATATTAAATAATAGCAAAAATTCGAGGCAAAAAATAATCCACAGGTCTATTACTTAATTAAATGGATACTTTTCATTTGATCTGATTAGTTTCTAGGAAAAAAATGCAATTTCATTTTTTGCCTATTTGCCTGTTATTATTTTGTCTTAGCTTAGCCAATTATTGTGTGACCACTGGCCAGCTCAGTAACTTCTATGGACCACAGTTTTCTGTTATGTGAAATTAAAGAAATAATAATCCCTACCTCACAGAGTTGGTGCGGGCAGGAAGTGAAACAGTCTATGTAGAGCTTTAAGAACTATGCCTGGCATCAACCAGTAAGACACCGAAAGGTAAACTTTTCTTTTAAAAAAACTATTGCTAAAATCATGCATTCTGCATTTTCCCTTAGCATTATGGCATGAGTATTTTTGCATTTTGCTAGCACTATTCTCCCACACTCATTTACCTTAATTCCTGATCATCCTTAAGGTAACCCCTGTTAGTGCATTATGAATATTCTCCCACAATCATAAACACCTATCTTTTTCACAAGCCGTCATTGTTTACTTTTACAATTTGGAATAACACTCTATAATTCCATTTGTTAGTTGCTTTTCTCATGGAGCAATATATCATGGACATCTCTCCAGGTCAACTGATGCAGCTCTAACTCATTTTTTTTAAGCCAAATAATATTCTATCTATAGATTTATTATAAGTTTTAAAATTATTCCCCACTTGATGGACATTTGGTTTAGTTCCAGTTTGCTGCCATTTTAACAATACTGCAATAAATGTTCTTAAAGAAAGCTACTCACCTATTAGTACTCTTGTTTGTAGAGGATACAGTTCCAGCACATACCTGTAGTTTCATAAGGAAGTTACACAGATGGATACATGTTTTGTTCTCTAAGGGGCTAATCTAGTGAGGAGACACACTTTTAAACAAGTAATTAGATTACAGTGTGATAGTGATTATAAAATGGAAATGTGTATATCCAGTTATTTGATTGCTATTTTGGGGGAAATAAAGCATTAAAAAAATCTAACTAGCACCTTCGCTTGAGAGCTTTCAATGTGTAAGATCCAGAATTATTGGAAGAGTCTGCATAGTATGTCAAAAAACACACTGGAATGTTATTGCTTTAGAAGGGGCCAGATGTTTCCAGATGTCTTTTGCAGACCTAATTTGTAACTCCATGGTAATAAGAAGGTTACACTAGCAAGAGTACATTCATCAAGCGATGATTACCTAAATGAATCCAACAGTTTTTTTCAGGGAACAGCACTCTTTATGTGCTAGTTAATTGAGGTTCATATCCCACTTTTGTTATTTCCACATGTGGTATCCAAGTTTCCTCTTTCACTGACAGATCTGTAAAGTTCAGGAGAAATCTTGCAATAGAGAAGAAATATGTGCTTATAATTAAAGGCACGTACATAATATTAAAGGCCTTGGTAAGTTTCATGAAACACTAAATTTAACAAAACTGTGAAGAGAGGCCTAGTCTATCCAGAAGAAGTTAGAAAATGCCCCACTTTAAACAAGCTTTTGCTTGAATGTGGGCTAATAACCCTGATTCTATTTTATAACATCTCCAGGGGAGTAGCAAACTTTTGGGAACTTCTAATTGTATGCCATACTCCCTTTTGGAGCTATCAATTACAGCAATTAATGGGATTTACTTCATATCCTGATCCCATACTTTGATAGGGCCTAGAGTGACCCATTGGTGGGTATCCTCAGCCTGTCTCTTTTTTAATTATATTTATGGGAAAAAGACAAGTTTGTTTTGCTCTGCTATGAAGAGGTAGATAAAAATCCCAAATGAAAATTTAAAATCATGAGATGGTTGACCAGATCAAGCCCCATATGTCCTAGTGACAATTCGCTTTCAAAAGTTCTAAGGAAGAATGGTTTTGACTTTCATGGGTAATTTAGCAAGCAATTTTCCTGCTTTCTTCCACTTCTGAAAGACTTAAGAATGAACTTCCTAGGCTGGCACACAGCTAGTAATGGTCAGAAACATCTGATTCCTCTCCAGGAAACCCACGTGAAAAACTGTCCTCCCACTATATGACCACAACCCATACTCCTGCCATGTCACCCATGTCTTGATTCCCTTCACAGCAGCTCTTCAATCCAACAAGATTTTTGGTTGGTGGCTGCACTTTCTGCCCTAGTATCTCAGTCCAAAGAGTCTCCTTCTTGCCTCCTTTCTTTTTCTTTCTTTTTTTTTTTTGTGAGACAGAGTCTCGCTCTGTGCCCAAGCTAGAGTGCAGCCGCGCGATCTTGGCTCACTGCAAGCTCCGCCTCCTGGGTTCATGCCATTCTCCTGCCTCAGCCTCCCGAGTAGCTGGGACTGCAGGTGCCCACCACCATGCCCGGCTAATTTTTTGTATTTTTAGTAAAGACGGGGTTTCACCATGTTAGCCAGGATGGTCTCGATCTCCTGACCTTGTGATCCGCCCTCCTCGGCCTCCCAAAGTGCTGGGATTACAGGCGTGAGCCACTGCGCCCAGCCCTCGCCTCCTTTCCTTCCCTCAACTTACCTCGTTCCCTGGGTTCATCACTTCTCACTTCAGTCTTTTCACTAGGACCTTAGACTTCTTCCTCCCTAGATTTTTCCAACACACTGGGCAGGCCTCCAAAGTCAAGATCACATTTTTCCTTTCCTTTCCCTTCCTTTCCCTTCCCTTCCCTTTCCTTTCCTTTCCTTTTTTTTTTTTGATGGAGTTTCACTCCTGTTGCCCAAGCTGGAGTGAAGTGGCATGATCTCGTCTCACTGCAACCTCTGCCTCCCGAGTTCAAGCCATTCTCCTGCCTCAGCCTCCCAAGTAGCTGGGATTACAGGTGCCTGCCACCATGCTCAGCTAATTTTGTATTTTTAGTAGAGACGGGATTTCACCATGTTGGTCAGGCTGGTCTCGAACTCCTGACCTCAAGTGATCCACCCACCTCGGCCTCCCAAAGTACTGGGATTACAGGCATGAGCCACTGCGCTCAGCCCACATTTTCTAATCCTATGTCTATGCTCTTCAGGACTGAGGGAGAGCATTACTGAAGAATGCAGATTACTGCCATGCCTGACTTTCAACATCAGTTGGACCCTTAATATTACTCAATAATCTTCCACCTATTTCTAAACATCTCTCTCTCCTATTCCCAAGAACAAAATCTTTGTTCTTGCTTGCCCACCTGCCCTGCTCTGTCAGTCTTTTAATGCACTGAGAAAAGGAAGTGAGAAGTTTGGTTTGACTTTTTATTACTGAGCTCATGCTGTGTCCTTCTGCCTACTTCTTTATCTTCTAGGAGTGTATGAACTGTGCCAGTCACTCACAATTTGTCTTTCTATTCCATCTACTCTAAGGATTTGGCCCATTCCCATCAATAGTAATGTCCACTAAAAGAAAAATTTTCCATTTTAGCTCCATACCTCCCATGGGGTGCTGTTTCTCAGCATCACTGGGGAGTGAGCAAGTGTGGATTTAAAAATCCCTAGGTGACTCTGACCTTACGTCATACTCCCCACTGCCCTGCCCTCTATGGAAATGTTTTCCGTCACCCTCTCCTCTCCACTGGAAAATGTCTGGGTCTAGGATATAGCTAGCAGGTGGCCTAACGTGCAATCCCATTGTTTTGGGGGGCTTTCAGAAACTTGGAGCTCTCTCGTTTTAAATTGTTGTGGTTACTTGCCTGTGTCTTTCAGTCTTGTCACTCCCTAGTCATGTATGTTGCATCTGCACCTGAACACCTGACCCACTTTGGAGAATATCATACACCTGTCTGCTAACTGAGGTCACATAAAATATATGATCATAAACCCCAAATGAGCATCTAACACAATCAGACACTTTCAATATACTTCCACAGTAAAGTCACTTTTCTACTCTGATTGTGAATAGACAACTATTTGACAGCTTATTCTCTGTCTCCAAATCTTTGTCATCCTTTACTGATCTCACCTTATACTTCATGAATAAAATAGATGCCATCATGTCTTTCACCTTGTCTCACCCCCAATTCCAACAAATCACCTGCCTCTTTGGCCACATTCACTGCTTTCCCTTGAGTATGGTGGAGGACATGTCTTTGCTCCCATTTTAAAACAAGCATATCCCCTTTCATCTTTTCAAAGACTTTACTCCTAAAGTTATCATTTTTATTTTGCATCATTAATTTATCTTTTTTTGTTGGATCACTCCCTTCAGCAACCATGCCATGTCTTAATATCACAAACTTGAGCCCCATTCTTTTGAATTCATATCCCTCTTCATCTGTTGCTCCATTCCAGCCACTGTTCACAGAAAAATTCCTAAAAGAGTTTCCTACAGTCACTGTCTACACCTCTCCATGTCCCACATTCTCTTCAGCCCACTCTGGTTGCGTTCTTGTCAAGATCATTACAGAAGTGACGCTTGTTAAAATCTCTAATGACTTCCATCTTGCAGTCCAATGATGTATTTTCAGTTTTCAACCCACTGGAACCCTCTCCAGTATTTTATCACTACATCCTTCTTGAAATACTTTCATTTTCTTCTAAAATAACACAAAAACTCCTTGTTTTCTTCATATGTCAGAGACTAACTCTTTTTCTCTTTTTTCAGCTCATTTTTAGGCTACTGAATGCTTTAGTTCCTAGGGACCAAATTCTTGGCTTTCTTGTATGTCTACACTCACTCATCTCATCACATGGTTTATATACCTGTCCTGATTTGAACAAATACTTGTTCATATTTGAAAAATATGAATATAAGGTATGTGAATATTAATATGAATATAAAGTATGTGAATATTAATATGAATATACTTGAATATCAAATATATGAAATATTTCTTCATAACTTTTAAATTTATATCTCCAGCCCAGCCCAGATTTCCACCCAATCACCACCACCCACCAACTTCACATGAATACATTTAACTGTGAAGATAAGATGTTCATTTGAACATGTAATAAACATCTTACTTTATGTGACCTAAACAAATCTATTGATTTCTCACTTCTCCCACTGAGCAAATAATTGTTGCTTCACAAACTTCCCCCATCTCAGTAAAAGGCATCATCCATCGGTTCGCTAATATACCAAACCTAGGAGTCATCCTTAATTCTTCTCACATTTACTTTATCAGTAAATCCTGTAGAATCTTCTTCCAAAAAAGTGGAAGCCAAGCATCTCTCCCATCCTAATGCTATAATCCTACTCCAAGCCACCATCATCTCACTTCTGGACTATTTATTTCCTAGGGCTGCCATAACAAAGTATCACAAGCTGGGTGATTTGAACCATACAGTTCCGGAGGCTAGAAGTTCAGGATCAAGGTACTGGCAGGGTTTCTTCCTTCTGAGTGTTGAGAGAGAATGCCTGTTGCCTAGATCCCGGTGGTTTCCTGGCAATTTTTGGTATTCCTTGGCCTGTAGAAGCAGGACCCTAATGTCTGCCTTCCTCTTCAGACAGTGTTCTCCTTGTGTGCCTGCCGGCATTATACTGGATGTGGATTAGTCATATTGGATTCAAGCCCATCCTGATGAGGTTATTTTAACTTGATTACCTCCATAAAGTCCCTATTTCCTAATAAAGTTATAATATACTAGGAGTTACAACTTCAACATATAGATTTTAGAGGGACACGACCAATCCATAATGACTACTGAAACAGTTTCCTATTTGGCTTTTTTTGACTACTCTCTTGTTCCCTTATTACCTATTATCCACACAGTAAGATAGTGAACTTTCTAAAATGTAAATCACACCATGTCACTCCCCTGCTTAAAACCCTACATTGGCTTCCCATTATAACAAGAATAAAATCTTTTCATTGGAGCCTATTAAGGTCTAGTCCCAGCACTTTGACTGTGTCTCCTTCTAGTCTCCCATCACTCACTGGGCTCTAACCATGCTAGCTTTCATTCAGCTCCTGAAATCCTCCAAGCTCATTCCTGCCTCAGGACTTTTGTATTTGCTGTTTCTGCAGTTTGGAATACTTTCATAGAGTCATAAAACTACTTCCTTTTCATTGTTCAAGTCTCAATTTGAGTGTCACTTTCTCAAAGACCTTCCCTAACCAACCTAGCCAAAGTGATTGCCCCGTCAAATCTTCTATTACATTACCATAAATATATTTTTTTACTTCTAAGTGCCCGAGATAATCTTATTTGTTTATGTACTTTTTTTTTACTATCTAGTTTAGTGGAATGAAAACTCTATGAAGACATGAACTCCATCTGCCTTCCTCACTCTTGAGTTTTTATTTCTTTCAGCATGGCATACAGCAGCCACTCAATAAATACTTGTTAGTTGACAAGTCAGCCTCTTCTTGGTGTTTCTTAGTAATCATGTCTGTAGTCATTTCAGTATGTAGGGCTGTAATTTGTCTCAAACTAGAAATGTTAACTCTTCTACAGAGAGTCAGTGATCTCACCAGCTCCTCCCATGCCTTGGACCGCACATCAATTCACCATTTCCAATGTATTAAGCACCTGTATGTTTTCATCACATAGATTAATCATCTGGGTATTGTCTGAAGATTATTCTCCTTGAATATAGAAATTGGAGGTAAAGGGCCAAGTATGGTGGCTCACGCCTCTAATCCCAGCACTTTGGGAGGCTGAGGTGGGTGGATCACCTGAGGTCAGGAGTTCGAGACCAGCCTGGATAAAATATGGTGAAACCGCATCTCTACTGAAAATAGAAAAAATTAGCCAGGCATGGTGGTGGGCTCCTGTAATCCCAGCTACTCTGGAGGCTGAGGCAGGCGAATCACTTGAACCCAGGTTGTGGAGGTGGTTGCAGTGAGCTGAGATCATGCCATTGCACTCCAGCCTGGGCAACAAGAGCGAAACTCTGTCTCAAAACAACAACAACAAAAAAAGAAATTGGGGGTAAAGTAAGCTTCAAATCATTCTGCTTTGTCTTACTTATCTACAAACATTTAAATTATCTGCTACAGACAACAATTTTCCTCTTTTCTTGTTCTATTTTGCACATCATTTTGCCAAGAAGCCATTTTTATTTTTCCCACTTTGTTTCTTTTTAGACAAAGCCCTGCTCATTCAATAAGTAAGACTTTTGGACAATTACTTTGATTTCTTTTTTTTTTTTATTATACTTTAAGTTTTAGGGTACATGTGCACATTGTGCAGGTTAGTTACGTACGTGTACATGTGCCATGCTGGTGCGCTGCACCCACTAACTCGTCATCTAGCATTAGGTATATCTCCCAATGCTATCCCTCCCCCCTCCCCCCACCCCACAACAGTCCCCAGAGTGTGATGTTCCCCTTCCTGTGTCCATGTGATCTCATTGTTCAATTCCCACCTATGAGTGAGAACATGCGGTGTTTGGTTTTTTGTTCTTGCGATAGTTTACTGAGAATGATGATTTCCAATTTCATCCATGTCCCTACAAAGGACATGAACTCATCATTTTTTATGGCTGCATAGTATTCCATGGTGTATATGTGCCACATTTTCTTAATCCAGTCTATCATTGTTGGACATTTGGGTTGGTTCCAAGTCTTTGCTATTGTGAATAATGCTGCAATTACTTTGATTTCATGCCTTTCTTTTATGATAGACTTCAAAGCTCTGAGTTTTTTTTCTTTTTTTGAGACGGAGTCTCGCTCTGTTGCTCAGGCTGGAGTGCAATGGCACGGTCTCGGCTCACTGAAACCTCCACCTCCTAGGTTCAAGTGATTCTCCTGCCTCAGCCTCCCAAGTAGCTGGGACTACAGGCACGTGCCACCACACTCGGCTAATTTTTGCATTTTTAGTAGACATGGGGTTTCACTATGTTGGCCAGTCTGGTCTCGTACTCCTGACCTCGTGATCTGCCCGCTTTAGCCTCCCAAAGTGCTGGGATTACAGGTGTAAGCCACTGCACTCACCTGCTCTGAAATCTTTATGTAGTCACATTTACTGTTCAACTGATTCTTCATTTTCTTGCATACTGCAACTATTTGTGATGGTAGTATCAGAATTTGGCACTTAAACTCTCCCAACTTTGTTGAGCCATGACTGCTTTAAGAATCTCTGGACATATTATCATAGCTTTTTCCCCCTGAAACATTCTGAAACTTGATTCTTGAAGGTCTAGAATATGCATGTGACTAAACCCTTCTCTTGCATTTTTTGGAACCTAGCATAATAGAATTGTTCATTTCCTGTAATTTTATCACCGACGGCTAGCTTTCTATCATATTTGAGGGATACATTCAGGAAAGAGCACACATCTTCCTGCTATCTGTCACCTTATGACTCACAAGAGTCTCCATCCATCCTACATGCTTTCCCTCCTGTGCCCAGTACCTAAATCCTTTTTGATGCCTGTGGACCCTTGTCTTTGTTTCAGAGAAGTTTAGTTGTAAGGATGTGGTGTAGCAGGTTCAAAGGACCAGCAAGTTAGTCTGTTACCATCACTTGCTGTCTCTGTGACTTTAGATGAGTTGCTCATCTCCTCTGAGTCACTGATTTCTCTTCTCTAAAATGGAACAATGAATCCCTGTTTACATCTCACAGTCGGTGTGAGGATCATTTGGAATAAAGTGTGTAGAAACACTTGGAAAACTATTGAGATTGTATACTAATGAGACATCCAGGCTGCCAATCTAGTTTGCTTGTTGTATCCATTTTTAAATTTTTAGGTAGCATTTAAAACCACAGATACTTTGCATAAAATCCAGAACTTTGGCTTTCCTTAGACAATTGGAAGGTCAGATTCCACTGAGCATTCCAACATGACAACAATTTTCTGGAGCTGAGAGGCGAATGGCCCTCAGGATGGGCAGGGCTTGTGATGTGACACAGTCTGTACTTACTGAATTTACCCCAGCCACTTCATATATTTACTTTGAAGTCTCTATTCTAAAGTCTATTCACCAGATTTATAGCTGAAATCTACCAAAGGTACAAAGAGGAGCTGGTACCATATCTACCAAAACTATTCCAAAAAATTGAAAAGGAGGTGCTCCTCTCTCACTCATTTTATGAGGCTAGCATCATCCTGATACCAAAACGTGGCAGAAACACAACAAAAGAATAAAACTTCAGGCCAATATCCCTGATAAACATTGATGTTGAAATCCTCAATAAAATACTGGCAAACCAAATCCAGCAGCACATCAAAAAGCTTTTCTACCACGATCAAGTCAGCTTCATCCCTAGGATGCAATGCTGGTTCAATACAAAAAGAACTAGGCGAAAACCACATGATTATCTCAATAGACACACAAAAGGCCTTTGATAAAATTCAACATCCCTTCATATTAAAAAACTCTCAATAAACTAGGTATTGAAGGAACATCCCTTAAATAATAACAGCCACTTATGACAAACTCACAGCCAATATCATGCAGCATAGGCAAAAACTGGAAGCATTCCCCTTGGAAACCAGCACAAGACAAGGATGCCCTCTCTTACCACTCCTATTCAACACAATATTGGAAGTTTTGTCCAGGGCAATCAGCCAAGAGAAAGAAAGAAAGGATATTCAAATAGGAAGAGAGGAAATCAAATTATCTTTGTTTGCAGATGACATGATCCTATATCTAGAAAACCCCATTGTCTTGACCCAAAAGCTTCTTAAACTGATAAGCAACTTTAGCAAAGTCTCAGGATACAAAATCAATGTGCAAAAATTGCTAGCATTTTTATACACCACAACAGGCAAGCACAGAGCCAAATCATGAATGAACTCCCATTCACAATTGCTACAAACAGAATAAAATACCTAAGAATACAGCTAACAAGAGAAGTGAAGACCTCTTCAAGGAGAACTACAAACCGCTGTTTAAGGAAATCAGAGAGGACACAAACAAATGGAAAAAAATTCCATGCTCATGGATAGGAAGAATCAATATTGTGAAAATGGCCATACTGCTCAAAGTAATTTATAGATTCAATGCTATTTCCATTAAACTGCCATTGACATTCTTCACAGAATTAGAAAAAACTATTTTAAAATTCATATGAAACCAAAAAAGAGCCCATATAGCCAAGACAATCCTAAGCAAAAAGAACAAAGCTAGAGGCATCACCCTACCCAACTTCAAACTATACTACAAGACTACAGTAACCAAAAACTGCATGGTACTACTGTACAAGAACAGACACATAGACCAATGGAACAGAATAGAGAACCCAGAAATAAGGCCACACACCTACAACCATCTGATCTTCAACAAACATGACAAAAACAAGCAATGGGGAAAAGATTTCCTATTTAATAAATGGTGCTGGGAGAACTGGCTAGCCATATGCAGAAATTTGAAACTGGACCCCTTCCTTACACCTTATACAAAAATTAACTCAAGATGGATTAAAGACTTAGATGTAAAACCCGAAACTACAAAAACCCTAGAAGAAAACCTAGGGAATACCATTCAGGACATAGGCACAGGGAAAGATTACATGACAAAAATATTGAAAGCAATTGCAACGAAAGGAAAAGTTGACAAATGGGATCTAATTAAACAGTTTCTGCACAGCAAAAGAAGCTATCATCATATTGAATAGACAACCTACAGAATGAGAAAAATAATTGCAATTTATTTATCTGACAAAGGTTTAGTATCTAGAGTCTATAAGGAACTTAAATTTACAAGAAAAAAAAAACCCCATTAAAAAGTGGGCAAAGGACATGAACAGACACTTCTCAAAAGAAGACATTCATGTGGCCAATAAACATACGAGAAAAAGCTCAACATCACTGATCATTACAGAAATGTAAATCAAAACCACAATGAGATACCATTTCACACCAGTCAGAATGGCAATTATTAAAAAGCCAAGAAACAACAGATGCTGGCAAGACTGTGAAGAAAAAGGGATGCTTTTACACCATTGGTGGGAGTGTAAATTAATTCAACCATTGTGGAAGATAGTGTGGCAATTTCTCAAAGATCTAGAAGCAAAAATACCATTTGACCCAGCAATCCCATTACTGGGTATATACCCAAAGGAATATAAGTCATTCTATTATGAAGATACATGCATGCATATGTTCACTGCAGCACTATTCACAATAGCAATGACATAGAATCAACCCAAATGCCCATCGATGATAGACTGGATAAAGAAAATGTGGTACATATACACCATGGAATCCTATGCAGCCATAAAATGGAATGAGATCATGTCATTTGCAGGGACATGGATGAAGCTGGAAGGCTTATCCTCAGCAAACTAACACAGGAACAGAAAATCAAATACCACATGTTCTCACTGATAAGTGGGAGCTGAATGATGAGAACACATGGACACATAGTGGGAGATAACACACACTGAGGCCTGTTGGGGGTAGGGGTGGGTGAGGAAGAGCATCACGGAGAATAGCTAATGGATGCTGGGCTTAATACCTAGGTGATGGGTTGATCTGTGCAGCAAACCACCACGGCACACGTTTACCTATGTAACAAACCTGCACTTTCTGCACATGTATCCCGGAACTTAAAATAACAGTTCAAGAAAAAAAAAATCCGTTTACCTTGCCTGTTACAGATAATTTTTTAAAAATACCAAGGATAGCCGGGTGCGGTGGCTCACACCTATAATCCCAGCACTTTGGAAGGCTGAAGTGGGTGGATCACCTGAGGTCAGGAGTTCAACACCAGATAGGCCAACATGGTGAAACCCTGTCTCTACTAAAAATACAAAAATTAGCCAGGCATGGTGGCGGGTGCCTGTAATCCCAACTACTTAGGAGGCTGAGGCAGGAGAATCGCTTGAACCTCTGAGGCAAAGGTTGCAGTGAGCTGAGATTGCGCCATTGCACTTCAGCCGGGGTGACAAGAGTGAAACTCCATCTCAAAAAAAATAAATAAATAATAAAAATGAAATGCCAAGGACAGAGCACAATATTAAAAGTAAGAGATTCCTAAGATTTGTAGAACAGCAATGATGCCATAGTGTGGTATATCTTTATTTAGTGCAGATTTGGTAACCTTCAGATGATCTCCAAATCACCACTTAGCTATGCTATTTCTGGAGTAAGTCTTGTAAAATAGATAAATTTCTATCATAGTTGTTAATTATAATATTAACTTTATTAAACAGGAAAAATATTAAATATAAGATATTCTAAGCAAAGTCAGAGAGGGTGAGAGAAGGGAAATTTTTCACTCCTAAGAAAAGATAAAGATAGAAATCTTTAAATTTGACTAGCTGAATTGAGTGAAAAATTTCATGTCTAAACTAGAGCTGAGTGTGGCAAATTGCAAACCAAAGAGACTGATTTTTGCCTCCAGAGACATTGTGCCTGCAATTCTGTATAAATTCCTCTGGATGCTATAGTGTGTCTGACATATGTAAGTGGCTGAGTTTTTGTTTTTCTCTAGAGTTAATAATTGAAGAATTGTAAGTTGAAATCATACAAGCTCAATATTGTCTATGAAGTACATTTATTATTAAAACAATAGTGTAAACGTGAAGCAAATTAGACTCTAAATGTGATTTCAAGGAATAAAATACTAACCACAGTGAGGACAAAGAAGAATAAGGTGTTTTAACATCTTCCTCAGTTGTTTTCCCTGGGATTGGTGGATTCTCACCTGGCTTCACCTTGGCCTGCTTCCTTCCTCTCACAGTCTGAAGTTCTTTGCACTTCAGATGTGCCAGCTCTCCTTGCTGCTGCTTTGAGGCTTGACAGCCAAATGGCAAGTAATTCCCTTTAAACTGAAGATTTTCAGCTGCTATACTTGGCTTTCTTTTCTTGGTAGCCTAATTTAGCTCTTTTTTTTTCTTTGGCGATGGAGTTTTGCTCTTGTCACCCAGGCTGGAGTGCAATGGCCGATCTCAGCTCACTGCAGCCTCCAGCTCCCAGGTTCAAGCGATTCTTATGCCTCAGCCTCCTGAGTAGCTGGGGTTACAGGTGCCTGCCATCACACCTAGCTAATTTTTGTATTTTTTGTAGAAATGGGGTTTTGCCATGCTGGCCAGGCTGGCCTTGAACTCCTGACCTCAGGTGAGTCGCCTGCCTCAGCCTCCCAAAGTGCTGTTATTACAGGTGTGAACCACCGCACCTGGCCATAATTTAATGGTTTTTACTAAAATAGTCATATGATCAGAGTCTGTTTCCATGTGTTTCTCCAATGGTACTTTTTTTTTTTTTCTTTTTTTTGAGATGGAGTCTAGCCCTGTAGCCCAGGCTGGAGTGCAGTGGCATGATCTTGGCTCACTGCAACCTCCACCTCTAGGGTTTAAGTGATTCTCCTGCCTCAGCCTCCTGAGTAGCTGGGACTATAGGTGCACGCCACCACATCCGGTTAATTCGTACTTTAGAACTGATACTAAACTCATGTGGCATTCATGTAGCCTGAAATTGTCCTCCTTCTTTTTGCTTCTACCCAGACACAGGGCTGTCTTTGCCATTACTCCTGACTCCTTCTTTTTAGCACTTGCTTGATGTAACAATCACCACGTATGTACATGTCCTTCACCCCAGGAGACTCTTTCAAACAACAGGTTGGGTTTTTTCTTGTTCTGTTTTTGGTTTCTGCCATACCCGGGTTGACAGGAGGGAAGACATCAAAAGAGACATTATTTTTCACAATATACTCATAACAAAAAGAAGAAAAGAACACTGTCATCACTGAATACAAAAAATTATGTGAATTTCCTGTGTACATTTTTTTTCTTTTGGTGGAATTTTTTTTTTTTGAGATGGAGTCTCACTCTGTCGCCCAGGCTGGAGTGCAGTGGCGCGATCTGGGCTCACTGCAAGTTCTGCCTCCCGGGTTCACGCCATTCTCCTGCCTCAGCCTCCCAAATAGCTGGGACTACAGGCACCCGCCACCATGCCGGGCTAATTTTTTGTATTTTTAGTAGAGACGGGGTTTCACCGCGTTAGCCAGGATGGTCTCGGTCTCCTGACCTCGTGATCTGCCTGTCTATACCATAAGGCCAGTAGCTTATGTAACAAGAGACTACTGGGTACAAATTAATGTTCAGCAGTTTTATTGACACTAATTTTTTATAATTAGAATTACATTAATCTCAATACAGTAATTAAGTCCAGAATTTTGATGTTATTCAATTTTGTTACAAATAATTTGGAATGTTCGATTATTCAAAATACTGCTTATGATTTAAGCATGTGGATGAATGTTTTTCACAGCCAAAACTTAGTAACGCTATTCAAGGGCAAGAAGCTATTAAGTAGTCAGAAATTTGAAATAAATTATTGCTTGATTTCAGGTGTCTGAAACAATAGAATCACAAATACATATTGAACTTCTCAGATGGTAATGCACTTATTACTGTTTAGTGAAAAAGGAAGGAACGAGAGAAAGAAGAAAGGAGAGAAGGGAGGAAGAGAAGGAAGAAATAAGGAAAAGAAGGAAAAAAGGAAAGGAAGAAAGAAGTAAAAGAAAGAAGGAAAAAAGGAAAGAAAAAGAAAGGAAGGAAGGAAGGAGGGAAGAAAGGAAGGAGGGAAAGAAGGTAGGAAGGAAGGAAGGATAAGAAAAGCATGTTCTTCTAGTGACGGCTTTATGTAATGAAAAATAATTCTTCTGGGCTGGGCTTGGTGGCCTGCAGTCCTAGCACTTTAGGAGGCCCAAGGCGGGAGGATTGCTTGAGCTCAGGAGTTCAAGACCAGCTTGGGCAACACAGCAAAACCTTATCTCTACTAAAATTCCAAAAAAATTTAGTCAGATATGGTGGTGTGTGTCTGTAGTCTCAGCTACTTGGTGGGGGGCTGAGGCCAGTGGATCGCTTGAGCCTGGGAGATTGAGACTGCAGTGAGCTATCATCATGCCACTGCACTCCAACCTGGGTGACAGAGCAAGACCCTGACTCAAGAAAAGAAAAAAAAAGAAATTATTCTGTAACATTATCTTGTAATGTTCATGTGATAGTACTACCTGCATTTTAATCTAATTGTTTATTTAATTGTCTACCTTCACTCAATTACAATGTTTGTATAGGCAGGGAATCATGCTTTTCTTGCTTATTCTTGTAATCCCTAACACAATGCTTGGCATAGAGAAAATTGCTATATATCTCTATCTCTCTATTCACTGAATGATGTCCGTTCCTCTGATATCCCTGAAATTACTATTTGTTTAATGGAAAAAGGACAACATGCATGACTATATAGAGGGGGTCTGTTAGTAGAGTCTGCCCCAAGTATCCAACAATACTAAAAACCAAGTGAGTGCCTACCTTGGCTCCTCCTTCCTAACTCCCTTGAAATCTCAGCCTTTCGAATCTTTGGCATGCTGATGGTAAAGAAAGGCGTGCCAAGAAAAGAAGGGTTGTGGGTGGGGTTTTGCCTAAGATTCCCTAGAGAGCTCTTAAAAATACAGACTCCCAGGCCCCAGTCCATGAGCTTCTGTTTAGAAGTGACGCCCAGAGAATCACTATTTTAAAGGCTCCCAGAGGATTCAGTGTTCAGCCTGGGTTGAAAAACAATTGGTCTAGCTGGTCAAATCAACCTACTTTAGTTGATTTGATCACAAGCTCCCAAGCAGGAACAGTGGTAGTGTGGCTGACTCACATTACCAGAGTATAAGGAAATGCCCACAATTAAAGCTCTACCCTTGCCCCAACAATGTGGTCCAATAAATGTCCACATTTTTTATCCTGACCACTCTGGTGGAGGAGAGACTGGGAGTGAAGGAAGGGATGGAGGGAGTGATGAAGAACAGACCTTGACTTTGTGGTTAGAGTCAAAAACATTCATTGAGCCATCATTAAATAGGTACTTGTTGAGGACCTACTGTAGGCCAGGTACCAAGCCCTGTGAATAAAGCAGTGAAAAAGACCAGCCAAATCCCTGCCTTCACAGTGATAACTATATTCTAGGGGCCAAGACAGAGAATAGACAAATGGTTATATCAATGTCATTGATATCAATGGATAGTATGAGAAGAAAAGTAAAGCAGTGTCAAGTAGAGTGAAGGGGGCAGAGTAAGGGTGAGACAGGTTGGCTGGGGAAACAGCTCTGAGCAGATGATGCTTGAGTTGAGACCTGGATGAAGAGAAGGAGTAATGGTAGGACCCATGTGAGAGCTGGGGGAACATCAGGGGAAATAGCTCCTGAGTTGAGGATGCTCTTGGCATGTTCAAAATTAGCAAGAAAGTCCTTGGGTTGAGAATGAACATATGGTGTAGGGCCTCAGAGGCCAGGGGAGTCTAGGATTTGTCTCAAGTGTGATACAAAGCTTTTGGAGAATAGTGAGCAGAAGATGGATTGATCTAATTTTTTTTAAATATTGCTCTGACTAATATAGAGGATATAGTCAATATATATCCTGATAGTAAGGAAAATGGACTACAGGGACTAAGATTAGAAGAAGGACCATGATTTGGGAGGCCATTGCATGGTCCATGTAGTTGAGAGTAGCTTAGATTAGGATTATAGCCATGGAGGAGGGAGAAACAGTAAGATGTGGGATATATTTGAAAGCAGGATTGGCAAAGACTTGCTGATGCATTCAGTGTTGGGTGTAAGAAAAAGAGAAGATTCACCTGGGTTGATTATAGTATTAAGTTCCTGTAAACTGAATCCTGAATGATTAAATACTGTGGCATACATGGTAAGCCCTCAATAAATGTTGGCTGAAACATCCAACTGAGAGTGTTAAATAGACCATTGAACATTAAGTCTGCAGCTCAGGGAAAGGACAGAGCTGGAGATATACATTTGGGGTCACCAGCGTATGGTGGGATTTAAAACCATTGGACTAGATGAAATCAAGGGAGTATGGAGTGAGAATAGACAGCTGAGAGTGAAATTCCAGAGCATTTCAACATGGAGACTGAGAGCCAAAGAGGAGAACCCAGAAGAAAAGACTGAGAGGGAAAGGTCCATGAGATTGGAAGAAATTTTGGAGCATGGCAAGACCTGGAAGCCAAGTGAAGAAAGTGTTTTAAGGTGGGAATCGACTAAAATATTGTTGACAAGTATTCAAAAACAGTGGAGTATGGGAATGACCATTGGAGGTCGTGGGTGACCTTTTTAAGCCCTGAGCTGGAAATCTGTAGGAGGTTCCCCTGGCATTTCTTCAAGTCACTTGCTCTTTCTTGGAGGAATCTCTTAGTCTTGGCTTCCTCTTCTTTTTCACTTTTCCTCTTGCTCCTCTCTCTTCTTCATAGCTTTTCATTATCTTGCTCATTCTGTGAAGCAAGTAACTAACTCTGCCTGCCTTTAAAACTGAAGAAGTTTTATGTTAAAGACTAGCCCCATTCAGGAATCATGAGCTATGCTTTCTGCAACAATAATACTTACTTGCTAATCACTCAGGCTATTATATAAATGCCACTTATATGAATACATTGAGAGGTGGGCATGAAAATGGCCATTATTTACATAAATAAAATGTTTTAAAATTACATGTGAATTTCACATGATAAACTAGAGTTTAAGATGCCAATAGCTCTTGAATTATAATTTTAGGAGAGAGAATGCTGCAGTTTGGAAAGTGGTGCTTGGCATCAACAATCTAGACCATCCATCAGTGTTCATGCAGACACGCTTTGTGAAGACCATCATCCTGCATCCCCGCTACAGTCGAGCAGTGGTGGACTATGACATCAGCATCGTTGAGCTGAGTGAAGACATCAGTGAGACTGGCTACGTCCGGCCTGTCTGCTTGCCCAACCCGGAGCAGTGGCTAGAGCCTGACACGTACTGCTATATCACAGGCTGGGGCCACATGGGCAATAAAAGTAAGCCAGTGTATTAGTCCATTCTCATGCTGCTATAAGCACATACCTGAGAGTGGGTAATTTATAAAGGAAAGAAGTTTAATTGATTCACAGTTCTGCAGGGATGGGGAGGCCTCAGGAAACCTACAATCATGGCGGAAGGGGAAGCAAACATGTCCTTCTTCACATGGCAGCAGCAAGGAGAAGTACTGAGCAAAAGGGGGAAAAGCCCCTTATAAAACCATCAGACCTCGTGAGAACTCACTATCAAGAGGGTAACTGCCCCCCATGTTTCAATTACCTCCCACCAGATCCCTCCCATTACACGTGGAGATTATGGGAACTACAATTCAAGATGAGATTTGGGTGGGAACACAGCCAAACCATATCAGCCAGGATCTTCAGGAGCCTGAGAAACATTGTGTTCCTCAGTTGGGAGGCTGAGGTGGGAGGATTTCTTGAGCCTGGAAGGTGGAGGCTGCAGTGAGCCAAGATCTCACCACTGCCTGGGTAACAGAATGAGACCCAGTACCCAGACCCAAAAGCTAGGTAGCTTTTGGCCGTAATTTCCCATTTTCTCTTACAAAAATATAGCCACAAATGGTAAATACTTAGCGATGTGTCACACTTCATCTGCTGTGCAAATCATAGACATTAATAATGAACCATGGCATTTAAAATGGCCAAGCTCAGATGCAATCTCAAAAATCCCTCTCCACACTTCAGAATCTCTCTCTGGGAGCTTACTATTAATGTTTTGGAGCTTCCTTGTGGCAGGAGGAGACCTGTCACTGAACTGTGCTTTGGACTCTCTCTATCTGCCTGCAGATAGCCCAATGATAGAGACAGTCACTGGGAATCTCTGCAGTCAAGCTGCATGGTCATATTTCCAATTCTATGTTGTGATTTGGTCTTATCAACATCTGTAGTACAAACTATAAATCCTTCAAGAAAGTATATTGATTTGCTATTTGACTATTTAAATTGATTAAAATAGTTTGGCTCTGTAGATGACTTAACATATAAAACACATAGAAATTTAAAATGTGTACTCTGTATTTACTCTAAACCCCTATAATGGACTCTCTCATTCAGTTTGACCTACTTTAGAAATAATAATTGTTTGTTTGTTTATTTGTTTGTTTTTGAGACGGAGTCTCACTCTGTCACCCAGGCTGGAATGCAGTGGCACAATCTCGGCTCACTGCAACCTCCACCTCCCAGGTTCAAGTGATTCTCCTGCCTCAGCCTCCCGAGTAGCTGGGATTACAGACATGTGCCATGACGCCTGGCTAATTTTGTTTTTTGTATTTTTAGTGAGACGGGGTTTCACCATGTTGGCCAAGCTAGTTTCAAACTCCTGACCTCAGGTGATCCACCCACCTGAAACTTAAAAAAAAAAAACTGTAAGTGCTGCCTACTCTGTCCATATCAAGTATAATGCCATGGCTTTCAAGAATAATAATGTATATTGGCATTCTGTTATTGGCCTTAGAAATTGTATATTTGAAGGAATTTTTTCTTAAAATTTAGTCAGATAAGGTTTGACTTACATTGAGTTTCTTTTCTATTTCATCAATTACAGAACAGAAAGGAAATTCAATAGGCAGAAGTCAATGACTTTTTCAAAAAAACTCACATGTAACAATTTTGAAGGCAATGTTAGACATGCTGTCACCACTCCTATGCATCTGTTTTTTTTCAAAGCTATGATTAATTCTGTAATTTAAGAGCAGACTATGCTTGATATTGTTTCTGCTTATATTCCTCCTACAATATCCATATTGAACTCAGAGCAATAGTGCAACATAACGCACACTCCACACATGTAGTATAGCATGAATTGAGCCCAGGAGTTCAAGACCAGCCTGGGCAACATGGTGGAACTCTGTCTCTACAAAAAAAAAATTAGCTTGGCATGGGGGTGTGTGCCTGTAGTCCCAGCTACTTGGGAGGCTGAGGTGGGAGGATTTCTTGAGCCTTGAAGGTGGAGGCTGCAGTGAGCCAAGGATTTCTTGAGCCAAGGTGGAGGCTGCAGTAAGCAAGTGACCACTGCCTGGGTGACAGAATGAGACCCTGTCTCAAAAAAAAAAAAAAGATCTGCTGAATTCAGTCAGAAAGACCTGACTGATCTGACTGTATAACTTTCAAGCTTACTATAAAATGGAAAAAAATAGCAACTACCTAACTCACAGGAGTATTGTAAAGATTAAAGGCAATGAGACCCACTAGTGCCCAATAAATGTTAGCTATTGTTCTTATTCTTTTGACAACCTGTGAAACATCCACTGTCTGCATCACATTGATTTTCCTAAAAATGGCTCTTTCTTCCAATAAGGTACCCAGTAGTGCTTCACCATCACTGTTTAAAAGAAGAACAGTGTGTATAATTTTGCAGAATGGCTAAACAGTGAAAGATTCATGCTGTCTTGCTTCAAGAAATCCATTGTCATTCTTCAAGAACTTTTAAGCAAGATGGAATTCACATATTCTCTCTGTCAATACCAAGGGATGGCTTTGTGCTTTTCGATATCTCTCTGTCATATCCTCTAGGATTAGAGGTTCTTACATCAAGTAATGGCTGCTGGGGCACATATTGAGGCATATTCTTTTCATCAAGAATAGGACAACCCTTCCCTGTTAGATTAAACAGGTTTTCTCTACTTTAGCAGAGCAGGACTATCATGCTGAGTTGACGCCGAGCTGGCAGCCTCCTATCTGGCAGCCAGCAGAGCTCTGGCTTGATTTTTTTCTTTTCTTTGTAGTAGCTATTGTTTTGGTTGTAGCATATGGTAAGGATGAACCAACTTACTTAACCAGTCTAGGCCTTGGTTTACCCATTAATAAAATAAAGGAGTTTCACCGGATAATTGCTATGAATGCTTCTAACTAGAAAATTCTGATTCCAAACCAGCCATGTCTTTAAAATGGCATTTCAAGTAAAGAATATGCCTCTCTTGGTATAAAAATATTTATATTATATTTGCATTTCATATTTGGCTAGCCTCACTAGCCTCACTTTTGAGTCATTTTATCATCATATATATATTCTTATTTTTTAAAAATTCAGTGCCATTTAAGCTGCAAGAGGGAGAGGTCCGCATTATTTCTCTGGAACATTGTCAGTCCTACTTTGACATGAAGACCATCACCACTCGGATGATATGTGCTGGCTATGAGTCTGGCACAGTTGATTCATGCATGGTAAGTTGCTTTCTGGTTACCAAGGAGATTCAGTTCAACAATAACTTCAGTGGATTCCTATAAACTCATTATTACGTATGGCCCTTTGGAAACATTTTTTGAAAATCATTTGTTGCCAAATGTTTAATTATTAACAGCACATTTTCCTGCAGCTGGTACACAAGCAATCCCCACAATTACACCCATCCTCTTTATTCAGGGTGCCTTCTACTGTCTCATCTACTATATGGGGAACATCACCCTTGTTCAGCAACAGGAGAAAAACAATTTTTCCTGTTCATCTCATTCAACCATTTTAGTGGCTAGGATAAATGAGGTTCTAAGAGGAGCTAGTAGTAACCATGGCTTCCACCTGGCTGCCCTGGGGAAGCAGGGAAGGCATGAAAGGACATTGTCAGCCATTAGGGTGATGGCAGGAAGCCACACATCAACACCCCAACTTCCAGGGTGTGAGACAGGACTACCTCTGTCTCAGGGGTCATCACACTGGTGTTGTCTGGGCCCTCACTTGATTGCCAGCATGTCCTCAAATGTCACTGAACTCAACCTTTAGATACTCAGGATTCATGGCCATGAGAGTTTGCAGAACATATTAACATAATAGTGTAGAGGTGCCTTTTTATTTTTACTTAATAGACACACATCGAACATTATACTGGACTGGCTCCCAGGAAAGGAGGGAAAAGTGCAAGTGCTCAAATAAGCTTGTAACAAAAACTGGGGAAGACAGTTATTATACTATGCTGCTGTGAAGCACCTTTAATTGGGAGTAAATTGCTCCCTACAGTTTAGTAATGAAGAAAAGATACAACAGTGCTCTTAAGTACTAACTCAATTTAAATAAACTATATTTTTGATGATCCATTTTAGAATGGAAAAATCAGGGTATTGAAAATGGCCCTGTGGTGATTCCTTAGATAGTTGTCATGGGAAAGAGGGAGGCAGACAGCTCCCTTGGCATTTCGCTGAGACCACCCTCCTTTCTGCTTCATGGCCACAAGTCATCCTGCTGACGTGGATGGTGGTAAAGGAATCCCTCCCTTCTCTACAGGAGGACTGGGTTTGATTTCCCAGGCCCAAAATAAAGTGTTGTAGGAGGCAGCATGATGTGGGTGTGGGGCACAGGATTTGAAGCCTGAAATATCTGGGTTGGAATTCATCTCTGCCAGTGAGACCAGTATAACCCGGGGAAGTTATCTAACCTCTCTAGATAGCTTTCTCATGAGTAAAATGGGACTAATTCTGTCCATGAGGATTAACTAAGTGAATGTATTTGGAAGCCCATATCTTTCACATATCTGTATATGATATCTGGCACATACTTAGACATTCAATGAATAGTAATTACACCAATATTAACAGCTATCAATTTAGTGCTTATTATGTTTCGGGCTCTCTGCAAAACGCTTTCTAATAACTCATTTAATTATCACAATCAACCCATATGGCAGTGTCTTTATTTTCCCTAAACAGATCAAGAATACAGGAGGTTAAGTAATTTGCCCCAAATCAGCCAGCATGAAGGTGGTAGACTGAGGACATGAAACCAGTCAGTCTGGCAGCAATGATTAATATAACTACATTTCTTCCTCTCTCCAATGTCATTTGGAGGTTTACCAAAAACTAGCACCTCTTGGCACATGTTCAAGATCATCTCTTGGCAGTTGCTAAAGGAGGGGAAGGGAGATGATTCCTTGACAGAGAGCTGAAGGCCCACAGACACAGGCATGGGCATGTTCTTATCATGATGCCTAATAGGAACCAGGTCTTGCCGACTTCTTTAGTAGTGGGAGTTCAGTGGTGTATACTGAGTTCAGTGGAAGTTCATTTAGTACTGGGTATACTAAATGCATACCAGATATTCTCTAACACAACTTCAGGTAGAAAACCAAACAAAACCTACTTTTTACTATATCAGGAGCAAATTTTTCTACTTAGACCTCTATTATATGACAGATATTATTTTCCTTAATTGTATCAACAGGACATAATGAAGCGTGAGTTACTCCGTGACAATCTATAAACCTGAATACTGAATACTGAAGCCAAATATAAATGTTGGTTTCAAGCCCAATATTACAAAGAGGACCAAAAGAACAGACCAGATCAGTTGTGCCTTTAGCTGTAGTCTCCCTTTCATTTTTAATTGCTTGCTTTTCACCTTTCATTTTGCACTTAATGGGGTGCCTACCTGACTCACTAAGCCTAACTCAAAACCCACATCTCAGGAAGGCATTTTTTATTCCTCTCCACCTGGAAGTCATCACTCATTCCTTTGACCTCCTCTTTCTAGCCATTAGATTTTGCTTTCATGTGGTTATCCTTGTTACCCAAGCTGACTTTTGGCTGTTCTGGGACAAAAACAGTGCCTTATTCGTTTGTTTATACACTAGCACAGAACTTTGCAAAGAGTAGATGCTAAATAATTATTTTACTAAATGTCTGATCTGGAAGTGAAAATGTGCTGACATTCTAAACACATTCCATTTTAATCACCCTCTGACATAATAGTTCCACTTCAATAGCTGAGCATCTTATTTATTTTATATAAGGAGAGATCAAGAATGAAATACCCTATGCATATGAAATGTGTGAAAACAAATTTGTGAAAATAATTTGTGAAATGTTTCCAGGAAATTTTTCTTTTTCGTCTAAGCATTATATACATGTAACAAAGAAATTTTGCTTTAAAAAAATTCAATTAGGCTCTTAGGCAGAAAAATTCAGCTCCTTGCAAGTTCTATGCTTATGATTTTGGCTTAGGGTATTGGAAAGTTACAAATTTAAAGATCATCACTTACACAAAAGCATACAGCACAATCAAAATTTTAATCTCTTTCTTCTTCTTTTTTTTTTTTTTTTGAGATGGAGTTTCACTCTGTCTCCCAGGCTGGAGTGCAGTGGTGTGATCTCAGCTCACTGCAACCTCCAACTCCTGGGTTCAAGGGATTCTCCTGCCTCAGCCTCCAGCGTAGCTGGGATTACAGGTTTCCACAACCACACCTGGCTAATTTTTGTATTTTGAGTAGAGACAGGGTTTCACCATGTTGATCAAGTTGGTCTGGAACTCCTGACCTCAAGTCATCTGCCTGCCTCGGCCTCCCAAAGTGCTGGGATTACAGGTGTGAGCTAGCACGCCGGGCCTAATTTCTCTTTCATAGCAATAATATTCCCTAATATTCCTAAGAAGCAGGGTAGCCTAGTAGTTATAGAGTTGGAATCCTGTTACCAGACTGCCTGGATTCAAATCTAGCCTCTGCCAATGAATAAGTTATTTAACCTGTGCTTCTGTTTCATCATCTCCAAAACAGATATAATAAATAATATAAACTCTTAGGTATTTTGTAAAGATTAAATGAGCTAATATGTGGAAAATGTTTAGAAGAGGATCAGGAAACATTAGTCCTATGTTCTTCAACAATACCAAGTAGGAAGACCATAGATATGCTTCTAATTTTGAAAGTCTTGTAGGTCAAGGAGTATTTGTAACCTTCCACAATGAATTCACGTATTTACTCTTTTATTTTCCATGATATCAGCTCTTCTTTTTTGAGGCAGTGCAGAATACACCTTTGTTTTCAGATGTAGCAAGTATTGCTATCTCTAATGCCATAGCATTTTATCATTAACTATATTTGGGGGAAAAACTGAATATAGTTCAACTGGAATCCTTAAATATCATGAATGAAAATCCCTATATATATGAAATAAAATACAGGCTATTAATGATTCATTATAATTTTAAGTGGTCTTATTTTGTATTCAACTATGCCAAATTAAAAAGTCCTAAGAACTATTAAGAAGTGTAGTAAGGGACCCCAAATTGTGTTATGCTTAATGTATTCATTCACAAAGCAAGAATCTTGAAAATAGATATTTTAGAATATGTTTGCAGTACTGTGTGTGGGGGGGATCTTTATTCCATTTTGGGTACTTTCCACAGTCATAAGTCAAGCTTAAATTAGAATGAGGTCAATTTTGAGGTAATTAGTTCTGATACTTTTTAAAAACTTTATGACATATTTTTATAAGTGCAGAAAATGCCTGAAAAAGGTAATTTCCTGGGGGAAAAATATAATTTCTTCCCAAGCCACTCCACCCTTTTAATGATCAGAGTTTAAGATGTTTATTTGAAAGTTCTGTTTTTACAGTGGAAAGCACAACTCCTCCACAGGCTGACAAGGAAAGCTTTGTTGAAACTTTCCAAGTTGGTTAATCTGGGTTTAGCTTTATAGTATCCTCAGGATAGCATGGACACACATTACTGCCCTGAAATGCCAGTTCCTAACTCCCATCGTTACTTATTGCAGGGTGACAGCGGTGGGCCTCTTGTTTGTGAGAAGCCTGGAGGACGGTGGACATTATTTGGATTAACTTCATGGGGCTCCGTCTGCTTTTCCAAAGTCCTGGGGCCTGGCGTTTATAGTAATGTGTCATATTTCGTCGAATGGATTAAAAGACAGATTTACATCCAGACCTTTCTCCTAAACTAATTATAAGGATGATCAGAGACTTTTGCCAGCTACACTAAAAGAAAATGGCCTTCTTGACTGTGAAGAGCTGCCTGCAGAGAGCTGTACAGAAGCACTTTTCATGGACAGAAATGCTCAATCGTGCACTGCAAATTTGCATGTTTGTTTTGGACTAATTTTTTTCAATTTATTTTTTCACCTTCATTTTTCTCTTATTTCAAGTTCAATGAAAGACTTTACAAAAGCAAACAAAGCAGACTTTGTCCTTTTGCCAGGCCTAACCATGACTGCAGCACAAAATTATCGACTCTGGCGAGATTTAAAATCAGGTGCTACAGTAACAGGTTATGGAATGGTCTCTTTTATCCTATCACAAAAAAAGACATAGATATTTAGGCTGATTAATTATCTCTACCAGTTTTTGTTTCTCAAGCTCAGTGCATAGTGGTAAATTTCAGTGTTAACATTGGAGACTTGCTTTTCTTTTTCTTTTTTTATACCCCACAATTCTTTTTTATTACACTTCGAATTTTAGGGTACACGAGCACAACGTGCAGGTTAGTTACATATGTATACATGTGCCATGTTGGTGTGCTGAACCCAGTAACTCGTCATTTGATTTATTAAAAGCCAAGATAATTTACATGTTTAAAGTATTTACTATTACCCCCTTCTAATGTTTGCATAATTCTGAGAACTGATAAAAGACAGCAATAAAAGACCAGTGTCATCCATTTAGGTAGCAAGACATATTGAATGCAAAGTTCTTTAGATATCAATATTAACACTTGACATTATTGGACCCCCCATTCTGGATGTATATCAAGATCATAATTTTATAGAAGAGTCTCTATAGAACTGTCCTCATAGCTGGGTTTGTTCAGGATATATGAGTTGGCTGATTGAGACTGCAACAACTACATCTATATTTATGGGCAATATTTTGTTTTACTTATGTGGCAAAGAACTGGATATTAAACTTTGCAAAAGAGAATTTAGATGAGAGATGCAATTTTTTAAAAAGAAAATTAATTTGCATCCCTCGTTTAATTAAATTTATTTTTCAGTTTTCTTGCGTTCATCCATACCAACAAAGTCATAAAGAGCATATTTTAGAGCACAGTAAGACTTTGCATGGAGTAAAACATTTTGTAATTTTCCTCAAAAGATGTTTAATATCTGGTTTCTTCTCATTGGTAATTAAAATTTTAGAAATGATTTTTAGCTCTAGGCCACTTTACGCAACTCAATTTCTGAAGCAATTAGTGGTAAAAAGTATTTTTCCCCACTAAAAAACTTTAAAACACAAATCTTCATATATACTTAATTTAATTAGTCAGGCATCCATTTTGCCTTTTAAACAACTAGGATTCCCTACTAACCTCCACCAGCAACCTGGACTGCCTCAGCATTCCAAATAGATACTACCTGCAATTTTATACATGTATTTTTGTATCTTTTCTGTGTGTAAACATAGTTGAAATTCAAAAAGTTGTAGCAATTTCTATACTATTCATCTCCTGTCCTTCAGTTTGTATAAACCTAAGGAGAGTGTGAAATCCAGCAACTGAATTGTGGTCACGATTGTATGAAAGTTCAAGAACATATGTCAGTTTTGTTACAGTTGTAGCTACATACTCAATGTATCAACTTTTAGCCTGCTCAACTTAGGCTCAGTGAAATATATATATTATACTTATTTTAAATAATTCTTAATACAAATAAAATGGTAATGGTCTAATCACCTTTTTTTTTTTTTTGGATGGATATGGGTGGCAAGTCCTAAGAAATTGTTTCTGTCTCTATAACAGCATGCTGGCACCCTGCTTACCAATCACAATTCACCTCCCTTATATCTCACTCTCACAGATACATGCTCTTTTATTTTAGAGGATCAATGGCTCCTTGACTGGTCTGAAATTAGAGGTTGCTAATAGTCTCAAATTGCCCATTAAGTGTCCAGTGAGAACTTTAGTCCTCGTAAGGGCACACAGATCTTTAACATCCAGAGTACATTTTGGGAACCCAATACAATTATTTTATACATCTTTTGTAATAAGATTATATCCCAAAATGTATATATTAATCAATGTTCTTATCTACTGAGAGCAATGATATAATACTTGGTCCCCCCCAAATTTGGTGAAATACACTGAACACCAGATCACATCAACTTGGGTAACTTTATGTAAAAGAGTTATTGACTTGTAAATGTGACCCTTTAAAGGCTTCATACAGATCCCAACCTCTTTAGCCTAAGGTCTAGATTGTGTTTCAGAATTAAAAATTTTCCAAATTTTAAAAAGAAATACAGTTTAGCATTCAGTAATGAAATATATTAATATTTTTGTAGCAAAGTATATGAATGATTACATTAAGCAAAGTACATAAATAGCTTTACATTTGTTCAGGGCATAGAATTTACGCCTAATTTATGAAAAATATTTCAGTTTTCAGAGGTTTGGAGATTTTGGAATTGTGGATATGAGATTGTGGCCCTGTAACATTAGCACTCAGTATTTTCCTCTATTCATATGTACAGATAATTCATTTCTGAAAATTGAAAATTGTTCTTTTTCCTTAGTATTTTTGGATCATTCTTTGTCCTTAGATTCTAACCTTTTTATTTACAAGTGAACATATCTCTAAATTATTGTTTATCAGGAGACGACGATTTCAGGGAATGAATGCCAGCTGCTGTGAGGATAATAAATGATATGACATCAGTGATTTTCCATATAAGAAAAGGCAAAGCAATATTCTGGTAAAAGGCATGCTTTGTGACTTTCCTTCTAAGTTCTGGTACTAATTACAGTTGGATTTGGCAAATGTTTACAAGAGTGATGACAATTTTCCAGTATACATTATTTATGAAACAGTTTATTTATAAAAACAGTCATAAGAAAGCAGAAAGCAACTTCCATTAGCTATGTGAGATTTTGAAAGTTCTCGAAATCAGCTTATGTAAGAGACTATTTCCAATAATAACAGAAGGCTACAAAAATGTCAGACCAAAATAGTAGGCAGAAGGTAGAAAACTAAACCCTGAGAATAATAGTCATTAAGAAGACCTTGATGTAGACATTGCATATGAGCATGGAGATTCAGGAAGGAAATTCTGGATGACTGGTGGCTGACAACTTTCAAATATAATAAATAGAGATAGGACTTCAAAAGAACTTCAACAGGAATATATGATTTTATAGTAGCACCTGGCCTTACTTAGAATAAAATCGTTTGTTACAACTAAAGCCAGCATACATGATTCGCAATAGGAGTAAACTTGCTATAGACATTCCTGTCCTCAAATGATTTTAAAACCAAATTTTTCTAAGAACCTCATAGAAACCTCCAGAGAACAACTTGTATTAGTTTCTGTTTATATCTCATATTTTAGAGGCTCCAACACCTGAAAAGTCTCAGGGTATTGTAAAAACTATGAACCTTCAAGTGGTCTCTGGAAGATTGTTTTGAAATTGATTGTATCACTTTGATCAGGCTACTGTCAGTTTTAAAATACAGGAAATCACCCAATGGGCCACAGGCTGAGCTGATGTCTGCCTGACCTATGGCTTCAGTTTCCTAACTGACAACATCTATACAGAGGCAGATCTCATAAAAGGTCTTCTCTTGATTGGAACCTGACAGAGGAATGCATTCCTGGTCCCTGATGAAACCCTAGAATCCCTCTTTCCCCTTTCCAATGAAGGCTCCACCTCAGGAAAACATTGAAATGAGTGAGAGGTATGCCTACATCTTCAGCCAGAAGACCAAAAGCATCTTCCCATAGGAAATAAAAAGCTATTAATAGGCACTAACTGTATTTTAAGCAGTATAATTATACCCTATTTTAGGTACCTTGTTGTTTAAAAGGCTCTTGGGATTTTATCTGTAAATTAACCATCTACAATGTTTTTTCCGTATTTCCTCTGAGTCCTAACCAATGTATTAAAAACTACTTTTTTCTTAAAAAAATTCCGACTGGAGCCTGACCATTTAAAGCATTTCCCTAGAATATAAGATCTCCTAGTAAAATAAATATATCTCAAATGACTCCCCTTGAAAATACTTGAATTTCTAAGAGAATGAAAATGCTTTTACAAAATCCAAAAAGTTTTACAAAAGCATTTGGTTCTGAATTAAATATTTCACTTCCTTAAACTCTCTCTAGGTCAAACTCTAGCCCTCTATCACAAATGTATATACAAACATACAATAATGCTCATCATGTCAGCTCTTCCAAGCCTAGTAAAATGCTCATGTCCCTTATGGAAAAACAAGTCATTCTTGCTTGGAGAGATACCTCTTCAAAATCCCTCTTCCAACCTTGAAAGAATACTTGCAACTCCAAGGAGGGTATCTAGCTTTCTTTACCTTTGGAGGGTCCAGCCATCTCAAAGGCCTTAGTTTCAGAGTAGCCTTGATCTAAAGCAGTTTCACACAGAGATAAGTTTCCTTGCTCAATAGCACAGGAACTTGCTGACTTCATTGCAAATACAGCAGAAGGGCCAGGCATGGGTCTTCTTCCTGACTTGCCAGCTGATTGGTTAGCATACTTTGATGTCACTTGATTCATCTTTCCAGCCCCTCTCCACTTCTTGAGAGCTTTAGTCCTCTCCTCTGGAGTTAGTCTGTCAAAGTGCTTAGCTCTCAGAATTGGAGATGGAAACAGGGATCCCTGAAGAACTCTGTATACAAACCTAGGTGACAAGGAACATCATTAGAATTAAATTCATCTCAAATGCATTACAGAACCCCCCCCCCCAAATACTAACGAATTAAAAAAGTAAAAGGGTCTGGTGGCCACTTGGCTCCTGAAATAAAGGGGGAGGGTAACCGAACTCTAATACAAAATGGAGATAAAACAATATTAAATAAATTAATATTTGTAAAGCAATTAGAAAATAGTAATTGCCATATAAGTGTTTATTAAAAAGCAAAACTAAATAGCATCTATAAAAGTAGAGATATAAATAGTTGCTACATAGGCTTAATGTTAGGTTAAATGAGACAATACATACAAAGCAGGCAGAGTGTTGACACATAGTAGGTGTTAAAAATGCTATTTGTACCAGTTTCCTATGGCTATTGTAACAAAGTACCACAAACGTGTCCCTTTGTAGGCTAAGCTGGCAGTGTTTCTTCTGGTATAACATTCTCAAAAGTCTTGTGACTCTCCTATGTATGTCACTTGGATTTATGCCACTAAATAGGAGGGGCCACCACAGATCTTTCCTGTATAACCTCATTTCTTTTCCTGGTTACTACTGCAATGGTTGAGGAGATCTAGGAATCACATAACTAATCTCTTCAGCACTAGCAGAAAGGTTGTCCAGCTATGCTCTCAGACTTCTCTCCAGAGCATACTACTAACAGTCAATCTCCTAATTTTAGCAACTTTTGCAATCTGGATAGACTGAGAATTTCCTAAACCAAGTTCCTTGTGGCTTAGCAGTTTTCCCTTCAGTCTCTTTCCTCTCACATTTTACTATAAGCAGTAAATCAGGACACAACTTTGACACTTTGCTTAGAAACCTCCTCTGCCAAATATCCAAGTTCATTCCTTACAAATTCTGCTTTCCATATTACTGTAGAACACAATTTAGCTAATTTTTCTGCCAGTATTTGAAAGATCCACTTCCCTCAAATTCCCAAGCATGTTCCTCATTTTCTTCCGAGTCCTCATCAGTGTACTTGAAAATTCATATTTCTAGCAACTTTCTGTGTATGATGATATATGTATTCTCTGCATCTGATGATACAGGCTTTCTCTGACTTCTTCATTTTCTTCTGAAACCTCACCAACAGTAACTTAATTTTTCAGGAATGCAAGATTGTTTTCATATTATAAAAGCAATTAATGTAATTTACTACACTAACAGTGTGACAAAGAAAATCTTATCTCAATGGATACACAAATTTATATATGTTTTAAATGTGAAAATAAGGAATAGAATGGAACTTCTTTAATCTGGTTAATGGTATAGTCATAAAATTCTATATAAAACATCATAATTAACAGAGAAATATGGAAACCTTTCCTTCTGGGATCAGAAACAAGACAAGCTTCCCTAGCCAGGTCAATGAGAAAAATTAAGTGCCTATGTATTGGAAAGAAAGAAACACACTGGTCATTATTTGCTAATGGCATTACTGTATATGTAGAAAACCTAAAATAAAATATTGGAACTAATAAGTAAATGTAGCTATCAAGATCACTGGTTACAACTTAAATGTCCATATTTCTACCAAGAGCCTGTGTAAGGAAGTCTAGGAGAATTTTTCTATTATGTGCCAAAATTCATCCTGCCTCTGCCCATTATCCAGTTTCAAAGCCACTTCCACAGTTTTAGGCATTTGTTATAGCAGAAACCTATTCTGAGTACCCAAATCTGTATTAGTTTCCTATGACTGCTATACCACGTTATTACAAACTTGGTAGCTTAGAATTACAAAAATTATTCTCTCAATGTTTTCAAGGCAAAAAATTATGAAATTAGCTTCACTGGGCCAAAATCAAGGTATTGGAAAGGGCATGCTCCCTCTGGACCCTCTAGTAGAGAATCTATTCCTTGCCTCTTCCAGCTTCTGGTGGCTTCTGACATTTCTTGGCTTGTGGCTAAGGAATCCATGATCCCATAGTCATAGTACCTTCTCCTCTTCTGTGTCAAATCTCCCTCTGCCTCTTTCTTATAAGGACACTTGTGGTTACATTTAGGATCCACCTGGATAACTAATCTCTTTGTCTCAAGATCCATAATGTAATCACTCATGCAAAGTTCTTTTCTTGCCACATAAGATAAAATTTACAGGTTACAGGGATTAGGACATGGAAATCTTTTAGGGAGTCATTTTTTAGCATACCACGATAATATTAGAACTATACTGTTAAAGGCCCAGAATTTTTAAAGCTAAAACCTTTAAGTAATTGTTTTTTCAGAAATTCTGTAAGTTCATCTTGTCAGTTTTTAATCTGGAAGCTGGCAATAGCAGTGAGCACTATAGAAGTATCTTCGTTTCACAGTGATATTGTTATATATAAGTACCATTGAGTAACTCAGATGGGTTTTTTAATGCATTTCTGGAAGAGACATTCATCAGCAACAAAGGATTGTGTCCACTGTGCCGTATGATACAGCTACAGATCAGAGCGGGCAAACCTTTTCTGTAAAGGGCTGGATAGTAATATTTTAGGCACTGGGAGCCAGACAAACTTTGTTGGAACTATTCAGTTCTGCTGTTGTATTGCATAAGCAGCCATAGATCATATATAAGTGAGTATGGCTATATTCTAACAAAGCTTTATTTACAAAATCAGACAGTAGGCCAAATTTGGCCTGTTTGCCACAGTTTGTTGACGCTGTTATAGAATAACATGAACTTACCATTATGAGTCTCATTTATGTTTAAAAAAGCAGAACAACTATTTGTTATAATATTTTCAACTAAACAGATTTTGTGAAACTGCAGAGATGATGAGTTCTGAGTTCCAAGAATCTATATATTAAAAACCCATGTATTCTTCTTAGTCATTTCCATCCCATACAATACTATAAATCAGATTAAACTAGAACTGGGGGAGTAACTGAACTCAGATAAGGGAGGAAAGTTGAAAAGTGTTCAGTGCTTACAGATTGTAGTAGAGACTGCTACTTGTCCCTCAACACCCAGCCTCCCTTTCTTCCTTTTAGAAACTCCAAGATTTTAGCCACTCAGTTACAATGTACATATGTAGGTTCATGCCACTACATGAAAAACAAACAAACAAACAAAAATATAAAAACAAAGCTGCTTGCCCTCAACTTTCCCATTCCTGTATACAGGGGCAAGCAGGGCTGAGGATCAGCTGAGTAGTCACCTTCTGTCATGAGATGAGGGCTGCTATGGTTGGAATGTTTATTCCCCCCAAAACTCATGTTGAAATTTAGCGGCTGTTTTTACAATATTAAGAGATAGGACCTTTAAGAGGTGATAAGGCAGAGCCCTCCTGAGTGAGATTAATGCCATTATAAGAGGGCGAGTTTGATCCCCTTTTGCCTCTTTGCCCTTCCACCATCTGAAGGTGCAGTGTTCAAGGTGCCATCTTGGAATTGGGATCGTCAAATCTTCTGGTGGCTTGACGTTAGACTTTTCAGCCTCCAAAACTGTGAGCCAATAAATTTCTGTTTATAAATTCCACTGTGGCAGCACGAAATGGACCCAAACAAGGGCCTGACCCTTGGGAGACAGCAAAGTAAAAAGATAGAGAAAAGGATCTAGGTCCTTAGATAACCCTGTGAAGCAAAGCTACCCTATCCCTGTAAACTGTCAACCAGATAAACTTTTTCATGAGAGATAAATCAGTCTCTCGGTTTGCTTAAGCCACTTTTGTTCTCTGATAAAAGAGTTAAAAACCAATATTTTAACTAGGACACAAATTGACTTTCTCACTACTAAACAGGGTGGGCTGCCAACCATTCGTAGTAGTGTAGTTGCTTGAAGGATTCTTAGCCTATGATTCCATTTATTCTCTCAATGATAAAATAAATACCATACCTGGGCAGAAGAGCAATGGACGTCGTGAGGATACAAACTAAGTAGAATACTGGATCCAGCATGTGCTCCTGCATAATCCAGTAAGGGTTGGATGGTGGGTTGCAAGTTACACACATGGCTCCAAAAACTATGGCAAATAAAAAATAAGACAAGATGCTACCAATGATGACCAGCAAGTGAATCCAAGTCTGTAAGACAAGAAGAGCAGAGGAAATGAATGCTCTGTCACTGATACAGTATTGCCACCCGGACAAATCTGCTCCATTAAAGAGACAACACATCTAAGCACTGGATGAATGGTGTAACAAACCTGAATAAACAAAATATAAGATATCAAGGAGATGGGAGTATTTTTTGTGAATGAATTACATCACCATTTGAATTCTGTAAAACTAAATTAAATCAAATGTCAAAAGGGAATTCTGTTGATTAGTTTATTCTATACTATCCATGCACCAAGAGGTGTCTGGATTTTCTCCTTAATTTTTTTCATGTAGTCACTCATTGGTCTGTTTCCTTGTTAACTGGAAACAGGTTCCTCCCAGTGAACCTCAAACTTAAGCCATTCAAATAGGTGTTAGACAGTACTGTTGATCACGAATACTGTCATTCTCCTCCCTGAGTAAGCATTCAGGTGGATCACATTTCCACACTCCCTTGAAATTAAGCATGGCCATATGTCTTGCTTTGACTAATAAAATGTGAGTACAAGGGGTATGTAAAACTTTCCGGTTAGAAGTATGTAAGAGCTTGTCTGCAATTTTCCATGCTGTCTCCTTTCCTTCCATACTGACCAAGAAGTTCTCTGAGAGGATGGTTGCTTCTAGAGCTGTCTGGAATATCAGCCAACTTTATATGAGCAAGAAATAAATGTTTGCGTGTCATACCACAGCCTAGCTACTTTCATATTCATGTATATCTTGCAATATTATTTTTCTTAACATCGGTTCACTAATTAAGTAACTTTATCTAGAAAGAAAAGTACAATGAGATATCATCTCAATCTCACCCCAGTTAAAATGGCTTGTATCCAAAAGACAGGCAATGCCAAACATTGGTTAGGATGTGGATAAAAGGGAACCCTTGTACATTGTTAGTGGGAATGTAAGTTAGTACAGCCACTATGGAGAACAGTTTGGAGGTTCCTCAAAAAACTAAAAATTAAGCTACTGTATGATCCAGCAATCCCACTGCTGGTTGTACACCCAAAAGAAAGGAAATCAGTATATCAAAGAGATATCTGCACTCCTATGCTTGCTGCAGCACTGTTTACAATAGCCAAGGTTTGGAAGCCACCTAAGTGTTCATCAACAGATGAATGGATAAAAAACTGTGGTATATCTACACGATGGAGTACTATTTGGCCACAAAAAAAGAATGAGATTCTATCACTTACAACAACATGGATGGAACTAGAGGTCATTATGTTAAATGAAATAAGGCAGGCACAGAAAGACAAATACTGCATGTTCTCACTTATTTGTGGGATCTAAAAATCAAATCAATTGAACTCATGGACATAGAAAGTAGAAGGATGGTTATCAGAGCCTGGGAAGGGTAGTGGAGGTATCAGGGGAGGTGGGGATGGTTAATGGGTACAAAAGAAAAATAGAAAGAATGACTAAGACCTACTATTTGATAGCATAATGGGATGACTATAGTCAATAATAATTATATATTTTAAAATAACTTAAAGGATCTATTTGGATTGTTTGTAACTCAAAGGATAAATGCTTGAAGGGATGGATACCCCATTCTCCATGATGTGCTTATTTCACATTGCAACCCTGTATCAAAACATCTCATGTACATAATAAATATATACACCTACTATGTACCCACAAAAATTTTAGAAATAAAAAAAGATTTAAATTCAAAAAGGAAGAAAAGTATATGCCTACTTTAAATGTATGAGGTTGGTGCAAAAATAATTGCGTTTTTTTTTTGGCACCAACTTCATAATATTAATATTCTCTGTTATAAAAGAGCTGAGTCTAGGGTTTGATTAATCTTTGTTATAAAGAGAAATTAGCAAGAATTACTGTGATAAAACATAATAGCATCAAATGAGATACCTCTTTGATATAATCGGAAGTATGAAAACAGAATTACCTTCACATTATGTAGTATTTAGTGTTATTTAGTGCAGTATACAGTACTACCTAAAATCATGGTGTGTACTATTGGTGGCACATATCATGCTTTTTAGGGAAACACTGCTTTTATTAATCTCTTTTATTTTCTAGGGCTATAATTTTCAAATAAGATTAGATTTTCTTCTTTTCTCTCCTAATCTTGCAAAGTATTTCCCCATGGCAGATACCTTCACAAGAGTCACACAGACTGCTTATTTTTAAATAAAATGTACAAACAACTAGAAAAATGTTAGCTAACTCCTGGATTAAGATCTTCATGCTGCTAAAACAATAATTCCTTTTTTTTCTTTCTCAAATGTCTTTCCTTCTATTTGAGCCATTTTGCTCCAATTTTTTATCTCTTAAAACATGCTTTGGCCAGGCACAGTGGCTCACGCCTGTAATCCCAGCACTTTGGGAGGCTGAGGTGGGTGGATCACGAGACCAGGAGATCGAGACCATCCTGGCTAAGATGGTGAAACCCTGTCTCTACTAAAAATACAAAAACAAAATTAGCGGGGCGTGGTGGTGGGCGCCTGTAGTCCCAGCTACTCGGGAGGCTGAGGCAGAAGAATGGCATGAACCTGGGAGGCGGAGCTTGCAGTGAGCAGAGATAGTGCCACTGCACTCCAGCCTGGGTGACAGAGCAAGACTCTGTCTCAAAAACAACAACAACAACAAAAACAAACAAAAAACAACAACAAAAAAAACATGCCTTTGGCAAGTGAGATAGTGACTTCATAGAGTTTATACATTTAAGTTAATTGATACAAAGAAGTGAAAGTCAAAGAATACTGGGTAAAAACCAACAGGGAAGTGGGAGGTGGCAATGAGATGGTGAATAAGAGCATGAAGGGAAAGAGTTTTATACTTTCAGAATGGCTGGCTTTTATTAACAAGAGACCTGCAGGGCCAGGATCTCTAGCCATGCATCCTCCAGCATAAGAAACAATTCTCTAATGATGCATCCTTTAAACAGCAGTCTCTGTTTATCTTTGACTCTAGCTTTCACAATGCTGCACTCCAGCATTGTGTGCAGTCTCGGCAAAATATTCCTCCCCTAGCCAAAGCCTGTGACTTAAGCTAGGGAAATAGGATTCCATCACAAGAGAGTAGACTTGGAGCACAATGGGGCAAGAGCAGAAAGAAAATAAATGGAGCCAGTTCAGACCAGAGGACCATCCTGACAAGCCTGACCATTAGTTTCTGCTCTGTGCATCTCCAGAGTCACTCTGGTTTCTCAGATATTTTTGCTTTTCTTTATTTTGTTCTATCATGGTTCTTCATTATATTTTTTAATAACTTTTCTATTTGTTCAGGTTATTCAGATGATATTGCTCATAATCCGTGAACCCAAACTGATACACTTTATGTGTTAAATCCTCTGGCACACTAATAAATGTCAGAACCTTTGGCATTTTCTCAGGTGGCCACCAAAAGTACCAATGCAATTGCTTAAAAATTGAATAGGTATAAAAACAATCCCAAATATTTCAGTTCTAGAATTTCCTTTACTCTACCCATCTGGTATTTGCAGATATTAACCTTTTACTACATTTTAGCTTGTAATATTTTGTTATAGATGATTGTAAGCAAAGCAAATAATGTCCAAAATAATCAGCCCTACTTTAGAAATTGTTATAAATAATTTTGTAATATAACTTCATATATTTTAAACTATAACCTTATTCAGCTATTTCCTATTTAAAATTCATATGTTATCAGGACGGTAAACATAACCCAAAAACTGGTTATTTCATCATTTATTTATCCATTCAAATATTTTTTGAGCACCTGCTGTGTGTCAGTCTTGTCCTTTAACACTGGTATACAGTGGTGAACAAAATAGGCATGAACCCTACCCTCGCAGAGAGCATAGGCTAATGCGGAAGATAAACATGAATAAGATAATCACACTTTTTTGTTTTTAGAGACAAGGTTTCTCTCTGTTTCCCAAGCTGGAGTGCAGTGGCATGATCATAGCTTACTGCAGCCTCCAACTGTTGGGCTCAAGTGAGCCTCCTCCTCAGTCTCCCAAGTGGCCAAGACTGCTGGCAGGTGCCATGACACACAGTTAGTTTTGTTATTTTTTTTAGAGACAGGGTCTCACTATGTTGCCCAGGCTGGTCTTGAACTCTTAGCTTCATGTGATCCACAGCCTCCCAAAGCTCTGGAATTGCAGGTGTGAGTCACTGCACCTGGTCTGAGATAATCACATAATTAAATAAATAATTATAAATTATGATTAGAGTTATGAGTAAGAGCAAGAGAATGGTATTAGAGGATGGATGGTTAGGGAAAGGCTGTTGGGGGAAATTATATTTTTGATGAAATTTAAAATAACATTTGCGCTGGGTGAAGTGCAGGGATGCAAGGGGGAATGCAAATTACCTCCGTTAAAAGATACGCTAAGTGCCAAGATCCTGATGTGGTAATCAGTTCAATGTACTGAAGAAACTGAAAGAGGGATAAGGTGGTTCCAGCCCACGAATATGTGGAAATGAGGTTGAAGAGAGAAGTACAGCATCACTGCACCATCTTAGGGCTTTCATATTTTATTCCAAGTACAATGGGAAACCACTGAAGGGTTTTACCCAAAGGAGAGCCAAAAAAGATTTTTTCTATTATAAGGAAGGCATAAAATCATCCCTAAAGTCACTGTACCAGGATTATGATACAACACCTTTTTTCATTTTCACTAAAAGTAATCAGCTTGGTCTTGAAGAATGAAGGTTAAATATCCCTCCAGTCTGTCTCACATCTCCATGAACCCTCCACCACTGATACTACCAAAGGGAGCAAGGCAGGTGTTTTCCACTATCCCCAGCTACACATCAACCTCAGCATAATGGCATTCAATGATCACCCAGAGTAGCTGTGATCACCCTTCTCCCATAGATTCATTACTCTTCTCATTACCACTTATCTTCAGGGTCACTGCTAATAGAAGACATATCCCCAAGCATAAAAGATTTTAGGCTACTTCAGAGGCAAGAAAACCACTCACCAAACTCTTGCTTTCAATGACCAGATGGAGGAGAACGATGAACAGAGCGGCTGTGTTCAGGGGGTTTCCAAATGCAAAGATGTCAGTATCTGAGCCCTGGTAGGTCTACAAAGAGAGGACATTAGATGATCCTGGAGAGTTGTGCAACTTGGTGTGGGTAACATCACTTTATCTACAGCTCAACCAAGGCTTGAATCCCTTCTACAAGGTCCCTGTGAACTGGCCATATGAAATAAACTTGAACATTTCCACAAGTAAGAGACTGACTCTCTCCCAGACAGGGCATCTAATCTTCAGTTTTTTTCAACTGGAATTCCTCTTTATTCTGAATCATAATTGATCCTCCTGGAACCTTTCACTCACACTTCTAGCTTTTTAAGGTATAGAGAAATTTGTTCTATTTAATAGAGCTACAAATCTTTGAGGCAGCTATTATAACTATCTTTCCTAGGAAAATATACCCTCCTTTCCTATATGTCTTCAAGTCCTTATACTATTCCTCTAATGACACAATTTTCTCATGTTTCACCATCATCTTCATTCTATTCTGAATATACTTCAGATTGCCTTGTTTATATTTCTCCTGAAGTGCAGTATAGCCAGAAAACTCCAGCAAGGCTAATTCAAATGATTTTATTTGAATAAAGAATAAAAATTGTCAATTTAGAAATGATCATCTTTTTCATTCTTAATACTGTGCTTCTATTAACACCACCCATGATAAAACAGGTGTTTTCTTTAGGAGAAGGGTATATGTGGATGAGCAGCTATACAATGCTTCTTTGTGTATCGTGTTAGCCTAAATTTTCTAAAATTAAAGTTTATACTTTTTTTGCTTTGTTACATTTCTTCCATTATTTACCTGTAAAACAGGTTTTATAGTTTTAAAGACATTACTTATGGAATCTCAAATTTAATGCTCTGAATATCATTCGAGTAGAATTAGCCCAGCACTCACTAATAAAAGCTTTCATATTCTGGCATTGCCTCTCTGATTTTTTTAAGACAGGGTCTCACTCTGTTGTCTAGGCTGGAGTGCAGTGGTGCAATCACAGTTCACTGCAGCCTAGACCTCCTGGGCTCAAGCAATCCTCCTACCTCAGCCTCCCAAATAGCTGGGGCCACAGGTCCACACCACTACACTCAGCTAATTTTTAAATTTTTTGTAGAGATGGTGGCCTCACTATGTTGTGCAAGCTGGTTTCAAACTCCTCAACTCAAGCAATCCAACTGCCTCAGCCTCCCAAAATGCTGAGATTACAGGTGTGAGCCACTGTGCCCAGCCTGTCTGATTTTTGACTAATCTAATTATATAGCCAGACATCCAATTTTGTTCAAGTCATTGATAAAAATTTTTAAGCAGTACAGAGTTAACAAGAGGCCTAAGAGGACTCAAACTATGTATGTCTATCTAAATTTAATCCATTACCTAACATATATTTTTGGGGAGATTATAATTTAGTCAGTTAATAATCAACCTGATTATATGAGCAATCTGCCCTCCTTTATGCTGAAATTGGTGGCAAAGTACAAAGAAGCATCATTGATTCATTAATAACAAATATACTGAGTGAACAAAGACTCACAAAATAAGGCACAAAGAAGCAGACCAGGCTTTGATAAAAAGCATCCAATAAGGTGATCCAGAAGGTATGGGGTAAGTATGCCTAGAAATGAAGCAGATAACGGGGAGGTAGTAAGATTAACAAGGGTCCAAGAAAAGAAACAACACAAGCCAGTACTTACATTTGTTTCTCTGAGAGAAAGCTCCATTTCTTCAAGTGGTATTTGTCAACAGAGGTAAAGATAAGGGTAACTGAATGTGATGGGTTCACAAGTAAACATGATGAAAAAAATCCTTGAAGGAACATTTATTCAACTCATGTTGCCTTTATTACAGGATAAATTTTAAATCTAGCTGAAATACAGCCGGTAGTACTAACTTCTCCTTTCCTACTGATCAGAAAGTACTGTTTCAAAACTTCTCCAACTCTATCCATTTCTCTTTCTCTAAATTACTCCCTTCATTCCAATTCACCATCAATTGTCTCTATGAATGGCTGGATAGCCATCTAACTGCCCTCTTTGCTTCCTCCCCTATTCTCAATCCAATCTTCCAAAATCAGCCAGATGGTTTTAAACCCATTTCCCATTTAGAAAAAAAAGGCAGCTTGCTGCCAGCGCAGTATTCCTAAGGCAAATTGGAAATGGACTTAAAAAATGTAAACCAGGTCATGCCATCTCTCTAATTAATCAAATTGACTCCTTCCACTCCCTCCAATGACTTCCCACTGCATTTCCAACACAATCTAAGTTTCTTCTCATGACCTATAAGGTCCTACATGGTTTGCCCACTCAATAGTTCTCCAGGGTTACTTCTTGCCGTTTTGATTCTGCAACATGGACCTTTTTCATTCTTTTCCTCAAATGTGCCAAATCCATTCTTTCCTCAGGGATTCACCTGTGCTAGTCTCTCTGCCAGGAATTCTTTTCCTGGACCTCCTACATGAGCATTTCCTCATTACTTGTATCCTAGCTCAAATATCACTTCCTCATACAGGCACACCAAACCAGTCTAAAAGCTGTGCCCACTCAGGCACTTACTACCATGGAAACCTGAGAAGTATCTCATCACCATCAGGAATAATTCTCTCTGTTTAATAAATGCTCTAGTTCTCTCAGTGGAATGCAAGCTCATAGAATAGAATGTTGACTCTTTTATTCAAGCGACTAAAACAGTGTCTTGTACATACCAGGTGCCCAACAAATATTTATCGGGTTAATAAAGTATTCACATACACGTTTTCATGTACTAAACTGCTTCCTACACAAATCTTAGAGAAAAAAAGAAAGAGTAAGAGACAATAGTCAAATGATTGAAAATGACTTTTCAAACAAGAGCCAACTCTGAAGTTGGATTCTGAGGCTGTGTGAAGGATTCTGAGGCTGCATTCAGATCCAGCAGGAAAGAGTGCTATCACTTATTAGTGATATCTGCCATGAACAAAATTGGAAAAACATGTGTCACATCCCTGAGCTAGTCTTTTCCTAACATGTTCTCAGTCTTGTTTTCTTCCAAATGCAGAGGCTGAAACTTCCTTGAAAATGTCTCACTGTCTCTTAAAGAACAAATCTTTATAAATATACAAATTCTCCATATACATTCTTCCATTCTTTAGAATAATATACTTGGAATTTTTACATCTATCCTTTTTTATCCCTTCGTTCTCTGGAAAATCAAAACAATGAAGATTCATTGTTTCCAGTCCACTTTTCTCTGTATCTTCTTCTATTATTTCCTCATTGGATATGAAGGATATTCTGCCTGCCTTTCTTCCATAAAATCTCAGCAGAAGCCCAATCCAATGGTGGAAGAGAATGTGCCAGAGACAAAGGGGCAAGCAAAATGCCACTGGACAAGAGAGAACCACTTAGGGATAAGTTAAAATATAACTTCATGCATCTGGGGAGAGAGAGGTTGCTCAAAGAACCTAGAGTAAAAGGAAAGAAATACAATTTCCCACAGTCACATGAGGAATAGGACTTACAAAAGTAAAGAGAGAAGGATCATGATTAAGATAAATGAGAGGCTGGAGGGATTAACTCACGGGGTCCACTGGAACCTGAAAGGGGAAAGTCTGGACATGAAGCCAAAGCCAAAAAAGAAGATTGTGGGTGATGAGAGATGGGGGTGAGGCTTCGTGGAAGGGAAGCTTCTGACTGCAGACTTCCAGACTCATCTTTAGAGGAGAGAGATTCTGTAGCTCTGGAGAGTATATTTCATGACACTGAACACAGGAAAACGACCCAAGCATAAAACATAATTTTGTTGGAGGCCAAGTTCAAAGAAAGGACAAATTTTAGAAGGTAAAGTCAATGAAATCAGTTACCTTTTATCAATAGCTACATGCTGGGAAAATCTGCCTGCTGTGATCATGTTTTATATAACTGGCCAGCTCACTAGAACAGCGTGTACAAGGATTGGTGAGAGGATTCAACAACAGGAAACAATGATCTCACGTCTCCCAAGGATAAGGACAAATAACAATCTTTAGTCCATACAAATGGGCTTTTAAAACACAGGCTATAAAAACTTTGACTGAAAATCTCCCTCAACCCTCCTTTCCGAAGTGGATTTGGAATTTCAATTATGCCTGGGGCGTGGGACAAACTTCTCTGACATCAACCACATGTTCTTGCATCCTGGCTTGAACTTTAAGTCAGACTGGACTCCTTTAGGAAAACCCATGTAGTTCCTTGGTCTGAATGGATTGGATGATATTAGAGGATTATAAGGACCCCTTCTTTCCTGAAAGCTGAATCTGTGATTTCTCTGTTGGTTGTTCTAGGTAGTGTAAGGACACTAAATGACTCTCCATTCCAGAAAGGCATTTCAAGTCAGATTAGTTAGACCGATGAAAATAAATGCATTATTTTAAATTTGGGATTTCCTCAAATTTCTGGTTAATTCTGGAGGGTAAAAATGACAACATTGAGAGCTTGCTATGGCTGGAAGTTGTACCGTATTATCTTCCTTAATCCTCACTTCATTCCCATAAAGAACCTGCAGCACAGGCAAGTTAAAAAATTTACCAAGGTCACATACCACAGAACCAGAATTTAAACTCAGAGTAAACATAACCTATTCTTTCTAACATATACCAAACCACTTTTTAGTGGTGGGATTTCTTGAAAAATTACTTAACCCCTTTGAGGTTCAGATTCTTCATCTTAGAATGGGACCAACACTAGGTTCTGTCTCAACGTGTTTTCATGAAGATAAATCAGACGGGGGATGTTAAGTAGTTAGCACAATAGATGGCAATGGGGTTTAGTAAATGTTAGATATTATTGGTTGTAAGATTCAAACTTTAGATTTCTTCTTCTAAGTACATAAGGCCCTTCATAGATTAATCTGTATTTACCTCAAAGTTAAGTAAGTGAATATCTGCCACATAAGTAGAGATCTTTTAAAACAATCAGATATTTCAAACAGTTCTGAGTAGACTGCAATATTTTGCTAACTAAGAAAACACACTGGCTTTGACAATGGATATGCATCCATCCAAGCACTCTTGCTTTAACACCTACCTCTGATTTCTGACCACTTCTGTAAAGTTCAGGCAGTTGCATGAGGGTCTCTGCAGACACATCTTTCTCCAAAACACCATAAATGACAGGAGGGGCAGATGTGAAGAGGAGGTTGAAGAAGATCAAAACCCAGTAATCAGTCATGGATGTTCCTGAAAATCCACAAAAGAACTGGTACCAGAAAAGGAGGTTCACATAGGCCTAGAGACACAAAGAAGGACATTCAGATCTTAGAATCAGTAATGTGTGCTATGATTACACATTCCAAATGCTGCCATTTTGAGCTGGGTGACCTCAGCCTCTCTGTAGTTTTCTTATATAAGATAGGACCACAATTTACCTTGCAGCTTTTTTTGGTAAATATTTTATTAAATTAAAGTGCACACATGTATGTACACACACTCACACCCCACTTATTATGTGGTGCTAGCATTGTTCTAAGTGCTTTAGGAATAATTCATTTAATCATCATAACAACCTGGGAATTACATTGTTGTTGCCATTTTACAGGTCAGGAAATTAAGTGTAATTAACTGAATGTTAATTTAATTAAGTGTAATCAACTGAATGTTAATCCCAAAATTTATATGAAATCCTCTTGAAACAAAACTCCCTCTATCTAAGACCAATGTCCTTTCCTGTGGTCTGCCCTACTTGAGAGCACAGAGCACTATCCCCACTGTGACAGTGTTAGGAGGTGGTACCTTTGGGAGGTGATTAGGCCATGACATTGGAGACCTCATGAATGGAATCAGTTTCTTTATAAAAGGGACCCCACACTTTGGGAGGCCGAGGCGGGTGGATCACGAGGTCAGGAGATCGAGACCATCCCGGCTAAAACGGTGAAACCCCGTCACTACTAAAAATACAAAAAATTAGCCGGGCGTAGTGGCGGGCGCCTGTAGTCCCAGCTACTTGGGAGGCTGAGGCAGGAGAATGGCGTGAACCCGGGAGGCGGAGCTTGCAGTGAGCCGAGATCGCGCCACTGCACTCCAGCCTGGGCGACAGAGCGAGACTCCGTCTCAAAAAAAAAAAAAAAAAAAAAAAAAGGGACCCCAGTGAGCTCTCATCATCTCATCTCTTTTTATGTAAGGATATAATGAGAAATCTACAATCCAGAAGAAAACCCGCACCAGAACCTGACCATTCTGGTACCCTCATCTGGATTTCCAGCCTCCAGAATAGTGGGGAAGAAATGTTGTTTACAAGCCACCTGTCTGTGGTACTTTGTTACAGCAGCCTGAACAGACTAAGATACTGAGGCACAGAGAGACTAAGAAACTTGCCCAAAGCCACATGGCTAATAAGTAGCAGAACCAGTATTCAAACTGAAGGATTCAACACTAGATGAAGAGAATCTAGCCCAGTGCCTGGCACAGACATGGAGTAGGCACAGCACAAATGTCCATTTTCTTGCCTTCTGGGTTCATAAATACATAGCGGTGAAATGGAATGGTGCCAGCAGAGTGGTCAGCCATCCCAGCTTGCTTGGGACTGAGGGGTTTCCCAGGCCTTGGGATGCCCAGTGCTAAAACCGGGACACTCTCAGGAAAACCAGGATAGTTGGTGACCCTAGAGTCCAGGCACAGGCATTCTACATGGTTTCCTGTAGTATTTTGTCTCAGACAAACTAAGTTCACTATAAAAAGCTCTGTGCTCCCAAGGAGGGCAGGCCACAGGAAAGGACATTGGACTTAGAGAGAGTTTTGTCTCAAGGCTGGGGGATACTTCTAATTGATTCTTTGCCTTTAGGTCATTGCCCTAACCACCCTGAATTATTATTTCCTCCTCTGTAAAATGAGAGTTATACTACCTTAGGGCTTAGTATCAAGATCAAGTTAGAAAATGGTCATCATCGGCCGGATGCAGTGGCTTATGCCTGTAATCCCAGCACTTTGGGAGGCCAAGGTGGGCAGATCACTTGAGGTCAGGAGTTCAAGACCATCCTAGCCAACATGGTGAAATCCTGTCTCTCCCCCCGCAAAAAAAACCAAACCAAACAGAAATTAGCTAAGTATGGTGGCGCGTGCCTTTAGGCCCAGCTTCTCAGGAGGCTGAGGCGGGAGGTTAGCTTGACCTCGGGAGGCAGAGGTTGCAGTGAGCTGATATCATGCCACTGCACTCCAGCCTGGGGGACAGAGTGAGATCCTGTCTCAAAAATCAAACACACAAACAAGAAAGTAGTCATGATCTGTAAAGTGTCTCATTAAAAAAAAAAATTATTGTCATCATAGATACACTAGAACCTCAGGACAAGGGCCACAATCCTTAGACTAGATTTTGAATTTCTTGATCTCTTGACCTCGTGATCTATCTGCTTCGGCCTCCCAAAGTGCTGGGCTTACAGGCGTGAGCCACCGCACCTGGCCAGAATAGATTTTCTTAGTCTAGCATCTATGGACATGGATCAGGACCAGTTTCTGAAAATGTATTGTTTGTGGTTTGGGGTGCTATTCTGGGGGAATGAATCCATAGTCTTCACTGGCACCTCAAAGGTTGTCCAACATCCAAGAACCATGGTCTCAGAAAGATAAGCTACTCTAATGGCTTCTGGTCCAAGACCTTTGCATAGCACATAAAATATGCATTGTTTAGCTAGGTAAATAAGAGATATCAATTAAGTCTGGAGATTATCAGTATGAATGGCCACTCAAGGATTATAGAGCAGGAAGATCACCGAGGTCCTGATTCTGTCTACTAACCAACACTCCCTCTCTTCGAGAGTGTATACCATATCCTCCTAATACTAGTATTTCTTTACTGTTGGATTCAATCTGGAGTTAAAAGGAGGTGAGGAGGTGAATGGATATTGCCACAATAGGGGAGAAGGTGAACAAATGCAAAGGTTTAAAATAAAAACTTGGGAGAGGGGCTTCTCTTTAAAAGCCATTGACCACTAAGTTCTAGAATTGTAAATTACAAGCTGCAGTTTTCCCTAGAAGCACATACTCAGGCAGAGATTTTATACATTTCAAATATTTTCCTAAAGTATCTGAGTTTTACTGAACTTTGACTAACTGCACTAATTCTAATCAGTAAAGTCTTGAGAGATTCCTGAAAAGTGTACTGTGCTATAGGAAAAAAAAAAATGTTCCTACTGATGGACATACATGTGCACACAGAGTTCTAAATTACACATTTGGGATCTCCTAAAAATGGCTTTTTTTCCCCTAAAAATGGTATTTTAATAGAGTGACATCAACCCATGTCTACTACTAACATACTACATATGGACTTTAAAGACTAAGAGTGAATTTGGCCTAAAATTCATGATATTTACATAATTACCCCACTTAGAAGATACTTACGTCTGATTACGTATGATTTTATAAAAAAAGGAAACTGAAATTGAAATAGCAGGCTGAAGATTAGAGGCCTGGATTTCTAATCAAATTCTGCCCTTTTAGGAATTATAGAATCAAAATCTAGTTCCTTTATCATTAAATAACTACTGAGCACAAATACATTTTATAGGTTGGCTAGAGAATTCTTGCATCTGTGAGCAACAGCCAGCTACACGCTAAGACATACTAGGTTTTCATCTGTATCTGTGTCTTTATTATAACACATGGGGCATTAATTTGGAAGAGCTGATATTTTTTGGTATTTCCAGTAAAACGGATGCAAACCTTTTCTTTCTGTACTGACAGCATTAAACATTTCATAATTCTTCTTGTCACAGCCTTTTTTATGGAAGGTCAAAAACTGGATTTTAAATGAAACAGACAGGACTTAATTTAAATGCACAGGGAGTAGAAAATGTTAGCAGATGGACAAGCCTGGCAATTTGCTGTCAGCAGCTGAAACATAGCACATTCCCAGCTTAGTTCTGGAAAGACAGCAAGACCAGTCCTGGCTGTTCCCAATACATCAATAAGGAAAGTGAGCTTAGCATAGGACACTTCGTCTTCATCCCTGATGCAACAGTCTTGGAAGGTACGAAGGGAAAAGGGACAAATTCTCTGGGGTTACATACCACATTCTTATAGAAAAAATAGAGAATCATGTTGGAAAGCCGTGTATAACACCAGTGTCCATGGACAAGAAGGAGCTTGCTGAGATGTTTGAACTGAGAAACGGCAAAGTCACTGGCCATCACAGCCTGCAGATGCAATGGGGAGAGAATGCCATCCTGAGTGATCAAACATGTTAGAACAGACACAGCACAATTCTTGGGAAACCCTAGGCCTCATATTCTACCTTCTTCTGACCGCATTTGTTCCATACATGAATGAAAATCAGTTTTTTGGATTATGAGCTTTTATCTGAATTTTGTGCCTAAAATACCATCCAACACACACACACACACACACACACACACACACACACGTGCGCACAAATAGGACACTCCCACTTCCTTCCTTCTCCTCTCATTTCCTCTTCTTTCCCTTTTTTTCCCTCGGTCTCCTGCCTCAAGATCTTTAGGTCCTTCATTCAAATCCTTAGTAGCTTCTTCAGAGTCAGAATTTACGCAGCCATTGCAGGACTAAAATATATATTCCTGTGATTTTAGATAAGCTCTATTTTTAACAAGTGAATAATACAGCTAAAATTACCCAGGAAAATGCCATAATACTCACCTAGTAAAAAAAAATCAATGAATAGATAGGTAAACTTCCTGTCTCCCACTCCTCAGCTAGCCACACACAGCCTCACTCTGCCACAGAGAATTTACCATGGAGAATGCTGCCTTTGGATGGGCAGGTCAAGGCCACAGAACTTGGGTGCACAATATCCACTCACCTGCATGCCTTCTTGACCTGAGACCCCTATCCCAATGTCTGCCACTTGTATCATGCTAACATCATTGGCACCATCACCTTCATGAGGCAGAAAAAAAGGAGAGAAACATATGAGGAGTAAAGAAAGGGTGTAAATGTTGCAAATCAATAGGGGCAGCTCAAGTGAACAAATAAATCCTTCAAAGTTCATCCCGTTCTCCAAGTTTCCTGGAAGTAAGTGAAACAGAAATGAAGTGGCATCCCACTGCCATCAGGAAGAATTCCAAACTCAACACCGCTTTAAACTCCTTCACGCTATGGCACCTACCCAGACTGATCTTGTTTTTCATGTCATTCATGCTACTTTCAACTCTCCAGATACACCCTTCTCCCTGTAGCCACGCACATGATAACAACACTGTCCTGATCACCCCCAGCTCATTTTTCTGGATTTCAATTTTTCTTGCTCTCAGCTTAGATGTCATTTCCTCTGGGAAATCCTTCTCATACTTTTTTTAAAGATCAGATGCCCTTTCATAAGGCTTCAGCACCACCCTATGTATCTCTAGCACACCTATCACACAGTATCATGGTTGCATACAGACTTACTGGTCTCCCCCAACACAGGAAGCTTCTTAGGAGGAGGTACCACATTCCTGCTGGTAATGAACAACTGATCACCAACAATTCACCTGTTTTTCAGTAAAGGTATACTGGTTTTCCTTGGAAATTCTTAGTTTATGTGGTTTGTTAGGGTGAACCCAAACCTCCATATTTATAGGTAAGCAAGTGTCCCAGATCTGTACAATCAGCATCTTCTATTCCCTGGCCTCAGTAATTGGTTCAGAAATGGACATATGACTCCAATTAATTAATATTATTATAAGTTATAATATAATTGTTATATATTACATAATGCATGATATAAATTATAAGTATTATATATAATGTATATGATAAATATAATTATAATGTAATAAATTATAATATAATTATGTTATAATTATGTTATCTATAATTATAAATCCAGGAGTTTTTGCTTTGGAAACATCTGGATCCATAAGCTTGAATAATTCATTTATTTATCTGTTTATTCAACAAGATAATTGAACAAAATTCCACCTTAATCCTGAAACTTTACTGCAGCAATCTGAAAAGTGATGCTATCTTTTCACCCAAGTTGTTAATAGGATAGGATGGAAACCCAGGAGTTTTAGTGGCTACATCACCACCCTGAGGGGAAAATTTACCTGAGACTGGAAGCAGTCCAGAGGGAAAACAGACATAGAAAGAGAGAGCTGATATGCCAAGTCCTCAGTTTAACACTGGAGTCTCTGAGATCTTAATCTCATACTACAATTCTCTTCAGTTATACTCATTCTTTGGTGTCAAGGCTTTGATATCCACTAGACTCTTTTTTTCTTTTCTTTTATTTCTCTTTTTTTTTTTTGAGACAGAATCTTGCTCTGTCTCCTAGGCTGTAATTCAGTGGCATAATCTCAGCTCACTGCAACCTCCGCTTCCCGGGTGCAAGTGACTATTTGCCTCAGCTTCCCTAGCAGCTGGGATTACAGGATCCCACCACCAGGCCTGGCCAAGTTTCGTGTTTGTAGTAGAGGTGGAGTTTCACCATGTTGGCCAGGCTGATCTCGAACTCCTGACCTCAAGTGATCCACCCACCTCAGCCTCCCAAAGTGCTGGGATTACAGGCGTGAGCCACTGTACCTGGCCTGATACCCACTAGACTTCTGATTCTCAAATTTATATCTCTAGCCAATTTCTTATTCCTAAATTCCAGACTTTTATTCTCACTTCCTACCTGACATCACTGCTTAGATATTTAATGGCCTTTTCAAACTTCACATGAGTAAGACCCAATTCCCAATTTCCCCTGCCTCTATCTCAGTAAATGGCAGCTCTGTTCTTTCTGTTCTTAGACATAACTTTGGCGTTCCCTATGACAACTCTTTCTCTCATATAACATATCCAATATGCCAGCAAATGTCTCTGGGTCTTTTTTCAGACCATGCCCATTTTTCATCTGACCACGTCCCAACCCTTCCTTTGCTCCCAGCTGTGCCCAAGCTGCCATCATCTCTTGCTGAATTATTCCAACTGATTTCATATGTCTTTGCAGTCCAACAATTACTCTGACAGAACAGCCAACATGATCATTTTAAATTTAAGGCAAATCATGTCCCACTCCAGCTCAAAATCCTTCAATGGCTCCCTAATTTTATAATGTCCTCTAAGACCCTATGTGATCTGGCCCTCTGCTGCTTCTCTGGCCTTTAATAACCCGCAGAAAACACCTCCCTTTGCTTAATCGGCTTTGTCCTCCGACACACCAAACACGGTTCCCCTCATGGCTTTCATTTTCACTGTCTTCTCTTCCAGAAATGTTCTTCTCCATGTCTCCCATGGCCCCTTTATGATTTCCTTCACATCTCTGCTCACAGTCAACCTTAGCAGTGAGACCTTCTTTGAAAATCGTATTTAAAAGAGCAGCCCCAGCCCATCTCCAGTGCTCTACGTGTCCTCATTCCACTTTATTTTTTCAATAGTACTTATCACTACCTGATACCTTACAGATTTATGCTTTGTTTTACTGCATGCCTTCCTACTAGATGTAAGTTCCTTGTAAAAAGGTAGTTTGCCAATTTTATATACTCTTGTATCTCCATTCCTTAGAAAAATGCCTGGTACAAAAAAGGCACTTGATAAATACTTGTGGAATGGATAAAGAAATGAATTCTCATGTCCTTGAATTTAGCTTTCCTGAAGGTAGAACACATGGATTTTTCAGTTCTGTGATTCAGTTTATTACTTGATTTAAGCTTGTTGATTTGGGGGTCTGACACTGAACTAAGAAGTCTGGACTACTGTATTGTTTACCATGTCACATCCCTATTACCTGGTTCACAGAAGGTGCTCAAATAGGTGATGGAGGAAGGTGCTCAAATAGGTGATGGGAAGGCATGAATGTGGTAGAGAAAAAGGGAGGAGGAAAATGGAAGGAACAGTGGGAGAAGAAAGAGACAGAAGGATCGGTGTCTGGTGTGGTGTGAAAGGGAGAAGAGCAGGACTCAGATTCATCCTCACTCACCAATAGCAAGGGTCATCACCTGGAGATGGCTGCGGACCAATTTCACCACTTCACTTTTCTGCAGCGGTGTGGCTCGGCAGCAGACCACAGCTTGACACCAAGATGTCAGTTCCAGGAACTGCTTTTGCAGACTTTCTTGCAGGGCAAACTCCAGGGTCTTCCCAGTGATAATGAGTCCAGCTCGTAACCCTGAGTCCCGGGGGACAGGAGGCTGAAGTAAATCTTCACTTAATGACACTTGCTCTGGCAGGGCTTGAGTTTTCTTCTGAAGTTCTTTCAAAATTGTGCTCATCAGCATCCCACAGGCATCCTTGAAACAAGAGGCAAAGGTGGTTAGCCTCCAGGCGCCCTTGGTGTCAGAACCAGTTACATTTTTTATTGTCATTTTTTAGCAATTGCTGAATCAAGAAAACCTCAAATAATGAATAACTGATTATTTTCAAAGATTTTACGAGTCTTCCACAGAGAGTTCTGTGTGTATGTGGGGATGGGTTAAAAGGAGGGGGAACATCTCACCAGTATTTCTTATAAAGAAATAGCTGTGAAATTTCTTCATGTGTGCAATTTGCCTTCTTGAACAGTGAATCCCAAGAGTCCTCTGGTCTCATTCTGCCAATTATTAGCTGCTTGACCTTGGGCAAACTATGTAACCTCTCTAAGCCTTAACTTTCTCATTAAAAATATGCAAATATTATTTCCATCATAATCTTGTTGTGAGGATTAAGCAAAATAATACAGGCAAAACTCCTAGTGTAAGGCATGACACATGGCAGGCATTTGAAATAGTAATTATTGCTTTTATCTTCTTTTTGATTCAACGTATTCATTCACTCACTAACTATTTAATGAGAAACTATATATTAGAAAACATTCTAAGAGCTGGAGCTACACCAATAAACATGAAAATTCCTGCCCTCATGGCACTTGCATTCTGGCCAGGATGTTCTTTGTGGTACTTATCACGTCTCCTTTGCATACATCCTCACTCCACACTAGTTAGGAAGTTCTTTAAAGGCAGTTATCACTTTTAATTTACTTTTGAAGTCTTCATGAGGCTTAAAAGAGGATCACATCAGGTACTCAGTAAACATTCACTGAATGAATTCTACTCAAGAAGATGAACAATAAGCTTATCCAGAAATTACTGTGTCAAGTGATCACTAAGAACAAATTCCAAATCCAGAGCAGTGAATTTAAGTTTAGTTTATACACTAAGTCTGAAATAGTTTATTCGTGAAAGAGCTCTCACTCAAAGCTTGTTTGCTTTGATTTTAAATGCTGTTTTATCAAGCATTTCTCAACCTACAACAAAATAAGAAAAGCAAGGAAGAAGTAGATATGGACATGTGCACATGAAACAGCACAAAAACTATAAACACTCTTGTGGAGTGTTCACAGGGCTCCATTTTAGGAATGAATTTGATCCCATACACCTCCAAAGCCCTTAAGGCAAAGTATACAAAGATGAATCAGATATGCTCATACAGCTCATTACATCATAGTAAAAATTATTTTTAAAACTCTTTTGGAGTTTGGTTAAATTAAAATGGCACATTTAGAAAGTAACATGCCTCGCAATCATTGAAAACATTAACATCAGATTGTGTTTAAGGTATTGTAATTGAAAGAATACAGCTGCAATACCATACAATAACATAAATATAGTCTTTGTGGCACCAATATGCTTACAGTATACAGAATACAGTCTGTGTGGATATTCTCCAAAATATGATTTTAAATTGTAGTTTTATGATTATAAATTGATTATAAAGGGTTTTGTACTCTTCTATTTATTTGAGTATGTGTTTAGGTTTTACAAATTAACTATTTTTTTCATTATAAAAATAACAGAAGTATGCATACACACACACAGCTAATCTTCATTATCTGTGGATTCCACATTTGTGAATTCTCCTACTTGATAAAATTTATCTGTAATTTCACAATACTTGAGATGTTTTTGTGGTTACATGTCATAGAGTGACATTTGAGTGTCACATGCATAGAGTGACATTTAAGTCATGTGATATGCCCATTCCCAGCTGAAGCTGAACACCATGATGCCTTCTTTTGCCAGTTCTCAAACTGTAGCAAAGTCTTCTTTTCATGGGCTATTTGGTGCCATATTTTTTGCATCTTTCTGCTTTTTGTCAGTGATTTTGCTGTTTAAAATGACTCCCAATCATGGGCTGCAGTGTTTCCAAGCAAAAAAGGCTGTGATGTGTCCTATGGGGGGAACTTACCCATGTTAGATAAGCTTTGTTTGGGTATAAGTTACAGTCTGTTGGCAATGCATTTAACGTTAATGAATCATTAATATGCATATTAAATAAGGTACATTTCAGAAGAAACAAGGTCATGTATTGATTGTTGACAGTATGTTGTAATCAGAGGAAGCTAACTTTGTATCTCCTCTAAAAGCAGTGGTCAGTGTTTGCTAATTCAGAGCTCGGGGCAACTACATAAACTATAACTCTACAAATAAGGAGAATCAACTGTATATATGTAATATGTAATATATAATTAGAAAATATACTGTAATGGGAATCAGAAAATTTAAAGTTTAGTAATCAGCTGTACTTAGAGAAATCACAAGCATTTGGAGTCTCAGGTTATAAAACAGATAATTTATCTTCTATGTCTATTTGTTGTAATTGTCAAATGAGATCAGGTATGGAAAGCCTTTTTGTAGATTCTAATATAAATTATGAAGATAGAAAGTTACCAATCTGAGGAGAAAAATTTAAATGAAATTACAAAAATAAAACTTAAAAAATTAAATGACCAATCCTGAAAGGCCTTTGTATATTCCAATGCAGTAACTAGTTACAAACAGGATATGACTATATTAAAACAAATGAAGAAAAAAAACTTTTATGAGAGTAAAAGGTAAAGTTTGCAACTGGCAACACTTATAATCTAATTTGTAAATTGAAGAACAACGTTGATGGAAATTTGTAAAGATGACACAAAAGTAACTTCAGACATTCCACTGGCTGCCACATTGCCTGCTTAGAATGTTATAGGAGCAATTCCTTCACTAAGTGACACACTGGGCTCCATGATCTTCAAGTCCTTTTAAACTCTTAGTGATTCCTGAGGGACTAGGAGTGGGAGGTGGAAAGAAAAGAGTTAAATACTAGTGACTGAGCCCATACTATGTGCCTGGCTTTTTATCTTGAGTTGTGATAAAACTAAATTATGTTTGTTGTATTCTGTTTAGTTATTTGGAAAATTCACACATGTGGAATAGCTATCGATAGCAAAAAAATTATAGGTACTCAGTAAATACTTCTTGAATCGATAGTTTTAAATGCCTTTAAACATAAGATAAATTGTGTATTTATAAATAATTTTTTTATTTATATAAATTTAAGGGTATAAGTGTAATTTTTTTATATGGATATATTGCATTATAAATGAATTTCACAGTCCTAAAGATTTTACTGTTCACAACAATCTCTATTTTTCTTTTTTAATGCTTACTGAACCCCTCTCATCTGATAGGCACCGCATTAAACAATTTATATTTTTTCATTTAATGCTCACAAAAACCCCATTAAACAGTCATTACTCTCCCATTATGAGTAAAGAAAAAGCGGCACAGGAGGGTAAGTAACTCCCTAAGGCCACATACTCAGTCAGCGGCAGGCCAAGCATTTGATCCCTAGTCTTACCAGCCACCTAGGCTACATTCTTTTGGTGACTGAAATGACTAAGCATTTTCTTCTGTTCTGCCCCCTGCAGCTACTGGGAGTTGGCTGGTGGTTGTGGTTATGGGTCACTGGGCCACCGTAAAGGGGAACCCACTCTATTTTTCCCTTTTCTCAAAATGTACCATTTAGCTGAGTGCTGGTTGAGGTCTGACCATAAAAACATGCTAACCAGGCCGGGCGCGGTGGCTCACGCCTGTAATCCCAGCACTTTGGGAGGCCGAGGCGGGCGGATCACGAGGTCAGGAGGTCGAGACCATCCTGGCTAACACGGTGAAACCCCGTCTCTACTAAAAATACACAAAAAATTAGCCGGGCGTGGTGTCGGGAGCCTGTAGTCCCAGCTACTCGGGAGGCTGAGGCAGGAGAATGGCGTGAACCCGGGAGGCGGAGCTTGCAGTGAGCCGAGATCGCGCCATAGCGCTCCAGCCTGGGCTGCCTCAAAACAAACAAACAAACAAACAAATAAACAAACGAAAACATGTTAACCAATCATGGCAGCCTTGAGCAGGCAAAGCTCAAGAAGTGATCCTGAAGAAAAGCTCCACAAGATTTCAAAGAAGGCAGACTGCAGTGATGGGATTGATATCACTGGTTAAGTCTGACTGCTGAAGAAGAATGGGAGGAAGTTTTTCAAGAAAAATAAACAATGTGCACAAATCTTGGAGGGGATCACTATACTGGAAGGCTTCTGAGAAAAATAAAACCCTTATTTATCTGATTAAACATTGGTGTTAGAGATTAGCGGGAGGCAAAAATAGAAAAAACTGGGCTGAGTCTAAGCCTCCTAAATTTCCTTCTTTTTTAAAAAATGACATTTTCCTCTTCCCTTAAACAGTTCTTCAAACTTATGATATTCTCGGGAGCACTACCTAGGAATTACCACAAGAGGGCACGATTTCCCTGAGTCTATTTTTAGAATTGCCATAAAATATTTAATAATTTATTCACCTGATTTCAATAAAAACTATCACTTTTTCTTATCTTAAAAGGGAGGTAGATTCCTGTACCAGGACTTGATATATTTTCTCATTTTGGGCTAAGTCCTGTCAGATCCCTGGTAATCCAGTGTGGAGGGGGGAAAGCAAATAAAAAAAAAAAACTTTCTTCTAATGCCTTTATTCAGCAATGATTCCTCTGAATCATTATAATTTTCCATCAGGCCTTTAGAAGAATAGACATCCTTCCAAGCACAAGGTAGGTTTCTGGATAGAAAAAATTATCAAGAAGCTAATGGTTGCTGGCCAGGGCACAGTGGCTCACCCCGTAATCCCAGCACTTTGGGAGGCCAAAGCTGGCGGATCACTTGAGGTCAAGAGTTCAAGATCAGCCTGGCCAACAAGGTGAAACCCCGTCTCTACTAAAAATACAAAAATTAGCCAGGCGTGGTGGCAGATGCCTGTAATCCCAGCTACTTGAGAGGCTGAAGCAGAATTGCTTGAATCTGGGAGGTGGAGGTTGCAGTGAGCCAAGATATTGCACCACTGCACTCCAGCCTGGGTGACAGAGCAAGATTCCGTCTCAAAAAAACCAAAACAAACAAACAAACAACAAAAAAAGCTAACGGTTGCTGTTTTGTTTTTTTTTTAATCCTTGCATACATCAAATCTCAAATGTTCCAATGCCTTTGAAAATACAGAAGAACAGATTTAATCTCAATATACGCACTTTACTTTGGGTATTGAGGATAAAAAGCTTGTCATCTGGCTCCAGTAGTTTGCATGCATAAGCTATGTTGACAGCTGTCTCCTGCTTGTCCCCTGTCAGCATCCAGATCTTGATGCCCGCTTTGTGAAGAGCTTCTATAGATTCAGGGACTCCCTCCTGCAGACGGTCTTCAATGCCAGTAGCACCTAAAAAATAACCAAAGTGCAATAGGACTTGTAAGAAACCAAAGCCAGCTGAAGCTCAGCTAGTCTACAGTTGAATCATATCTGTTAGCCAACTCAACCCTACACTACATAAACTGCCCAGCTGCTCAGGAGAGTCAAAGGAGGTTTGACGACCCAGACCAAAATTATATGCAATGTAATATTTTGGGAAGGAAGCCTCAGGGATCAATGGATTTATCAAACTTACTCGTTCTCCTTTTGGCTAGATTTCTTATCTGTAAATTGAAGGGATTTGAGTCAATTATTTATGCAACCTTACACTACAATTTTATAATTCTATGATATTCCCAAGGATAAGGGTGGGATTTTATTTTTATTATTATAGACTTAGGGGGCACAAACGCAGTTTTGTTACACTGATATATTGTGTAGGGGTGAAATCTGGGCTCTCAGTGTAACCATCATGCAAATAGTGTAAATTGTACCTGTTAGGTAATTTCTCATCCCTTGCTCCCCGACCTATCCTCCCACTTTTCTGAGTCTCCAATGTCTACTATTTCATTTTCCATGTCCATGTGTACATGTTATTTAGCTCTCACTTATAAGTGAGAACGTGTGGTACTTGACTTTCTGTTTCTGGGTTATTTCACTTAAGATAATGGCATCCAGTTTCATCCATGTTGCTGCAAAAGACACAATTTCATTCTTTTTTATGGCTGAGTGGGATTCCATTGTGTATATATGTGTGTGTGTGTGTATATATATATATTATATCACATTTTCTTTAATCGTTTGTTGGTGGACACTTAGAAATCTGATTCTGTGACTTTGCTATTGTGAACAGTGCTGTGATAAGCCTATGATTGCAGGTACTTTTTTGATATAATGATTTCTTTTCCTTTGGGTAGATACCCAGTAGTGGGATTGTTGGATTGAACGGTAATTCCATTTTCAGTTCTTTGAGAATCTCCACACTGTTTTCCATAGAGGTTGTACTAATTTACATTCCAACCAGCAGTATATAAGCGTTCCCTTTTCTCTGCATCCTTGCCAACATCTGTTGTCTTCTGACGTTTTAACAGACATTCTGACTGGTGTAAGATGGTATCTCATTGTGGTTTTAATTTGCATTTGTCTGCATCTGATAACTAGTGATGTTGAGCATTTTTTCATGTTTGTTGGCCACTTGTTGTTGTCTTCTTTAGAAAAATGTCTGTTCATGTCCTTTAAAGGGCAGGCTTTTAAAGAATGCTCCTGCCAGTAAGATACAATGTCTATTTGCAGTGTTCTTTCATGGGTCTACAGTTCCCTTTTCTGAAACAATTGGGGCCATATGTGTTTTGGAATTCAAACATTTTTCAGATATTAAAAAAGTAATATGGTGCATATACCATATTCTATAATACTTGTTAATCAAGCATATTAATATTTCTGCAGGAAAACTGACAAATGTTCACCTAAATTAGGATAATAACTATAAATAGTCTTATATCAAATCAGGTATGATTTTTCTGCCAAATGAGTTTTGGCACTAAACCCATGGAGCATTTTTGATTTTGGAATCACAGATGAGGAAATGTGGACCTATACTACTTACACTGTCACAGAGAAATCACTTAGGGTAGGCATCATTGCTCTATTTGCTAGATACTAAGTTAGGTCAATGTTTTCCTCCTAAATAGAGGAATGGAGCTCAGAAGCTGGTATCTTGGTATATCAGAGCTTATATTAGAATCTAGATCTCCAGACTCTAAGACAGTGGTTCTCAAACTTGACCGCCTTTAGCATCACTTTAGGGAGCTTTAAAAAATTCCAATGCCCAAGCCACACAACAGATCACTTGAATCAGAATCTCAGGGGATAGGATGCAGGCATCAATATTTTTTAAAGTGCTTCAGATAATTCTAAGATGCAGTTTAATCCAAGACAAGAGGGGTCAGTTGTGCAATTTTAGTTGAAATCAGGAAGAGAAGAAAAATAAATTTCCTTAGTCCAGTAGCAGGTGCAGGATAAAAAGCTTGGAGCCAGGCAAACATGAGCTCCATGTTTGGTTAATGAGTAACTGTCAGCTACTGGCATGTGACCTTGAACAAGTCATTGAACTGCTCTGTGCCCCAAATTTCCTCTACATAAGATAGAGATTTGTTGTGAGAATTCAAAAAAAAGATAACACGTATTAAGCACCTTATCCAATGCCTGACAAGAAACTCTATTCTTGATATTTATCTTGATTTGAACCAAGATATTTATTGGAACATTTACTTGGCTTTGTAGTCTATGTTAAGTGTTGGATTTTACATGATCTTCTTGGGGTGACCATCCTGACCCCATCACAAGTGAAGTCTAGTTCACTGCAGTGGACAACAGAATAGAATGGATTGGAAGTTGGATAGAGATCAGACTGGACAGGGTAGGCAGAACCATATATGTTTATTAGATAACAATGGAAGAAAATAACCCTTATTCAAAGATATCCAGTGTTTTTCAAAATCCTCCATTCAGGCAATACAAACATAATTCACCTACCAAGTAATGTAAGTTTGTTCTCCAACCTCATGGCAGATTCAAGTAGTAATTCTTCCCTGTTGTCAATGCTGGTTTCAGCTAAAAAATGATTCCTCAGCCACTCTGCATATTCAGTGTCACTCATGACCTACGGGAAGAATTAAAAGAGAGGTATGAAGCAAGCCATATGATCTTGTGGGAATACCAGGACTGACCTCTGGCAAAATATCAAACCATCAACTTGTTTTACATATTCCTCCCTCTGGGCACAGCCATGTCAGATCCATATCCTCACACCACCTGGACACTAGCTTCCCAAACTCTGTGGTCAGACTAGTGCAACACTGATGATGGATGACCCTTTAACTCAGCATCTCTGGAAATTCTAGGCACCATATATGATGACAGTGGGTTAATGTCTTTAATTAAATCAGAAAGTATGCAGTTGGGAGTGGTCTCCAATTGACAGTTAAATCCAGTTTGATTCTAATGGTGCAGTTGAGAAAGTGGTATCAGGACTGTTTAGTTCGAAGGATTCTGTAACCAGCAGCACCTTTCATACCTTTTGATGTTTTTTTTGTTTGTTTGTTTTGTTTTGTTTTTGTTTTTGAGACAGAGTCTCGCTCTGGCCCAGGCTGGAGTGCAGTGGCCTGATCTCGGCTCACTACAAGCTCCGCCTCCCAGGTTCACGCCATTCTCCTTTGATGGTTATTTTATGTGGTTAATGAATGGTAAAAAGAGAAGGGCCCTATGGGTGAAACAAGTCTTATTCCAAAGAAAAATTGAATGAAATTCCTGGGGAAGTGATCAATAATATATTTTCCTTTGTCTTTAGGTTGCCATAGAAAGAGAAATCTACATTTCAGTTTTTATAAAGCAGAGTGGAGTAAAGCAGGTGAGGCAATTCCCCTCTCTGCCTACTTATTCTTGGCCACAGGTCATTCGATTTGAGAGAATCTGACACCTGTTGGGCTACATTTTAATCAAGGGTAGGATCATTCAATTGAAAAGGCAGAGTTGGTTTGATCTTGAACTCTCCATTCTTCCTTTAACTGTGTGTGGGGCAGGCTTTTTGTTTTTGGTTTTGTTTTTGTTTTGAGATGGAGTTTTGCTCTGTCGTCCAGGCTGGAGTGCAGTGGCGCAATCTCAGTTCACTGCAACCTCTGCCTCCCAGGTTCAAGCAATTCTCCTGTCTCAGCCTCCTGAGTAGCTGGGATTACAGGCATGCACCACCAGATCCGGCTAATTTTTGTGTTTTTAGTAGAGACGGGGTTTCACCATGTTAGCCAGGCTGATCTTGAACTCCTGACCTCAGGTGATCCACCTGCCTCAGCCTCCTGATTACAGGCGTGAGCTACTGTGCCCAGCCATCAGACTTTTGATTCCTTATGCAGCTGGTTGACTGAGTTCCTTGGGGTCTACAACAGATCCCACTTTCCCTAATGCAGCTCCCATGAACTAAACCTTGGGTAAGAAATGAAAAGTTCCGGTGAGAACATCTCTCAAATAATTTATTGGAGCTCCATCTTCTTTCTTGCTAAACTTTTGTTTAGAAAGGATATGCATTCTCAATAAAGAATAATCAATACTGAGATAATATCTAGGATATTTACCTGGATTTACATATAAATACTTACGGGCACATAAGAAAAGAGTATTAAGAGCTTATTATGAAAAAATTAAGGCTCATCTGTGCCCTCATTCTTTCCAAAGCAGATTTAATGCTGTAAGACAGAGAGATCAACATTTTCAAAGTCCTGGGGGAAAGAAAGTAAGATCCAGAGATTTTTATTCCCAGCCAAACAACTGTTTACATATAAAGTCACTCACGGACATATTGAAACATACAAGAACTTAGAGACTATAAGTTTTAGGGATCCTTGTAGCAAAATACTTTGAACAAACTTCAACCAACCAATATATGGAATAGAGAAGGTAAAAAGAGAGCCAGTGTCCAGGGGACTTTCCCCAGCATCTGGATTAGGGTTTGCTACACGCTGGTTTTCAGTCAGTGATAGCTAAACAAGGGAAAAAACAAAAAAGATGGAGCGCACTAAGCAGTCTCACCTTCTTTGCTATACATAAAGTACGAAGGCCTTGTTTGGCATAGTCATCCAAGTGCTTCTGGGTTTTCTCCCTTACTATCATCTGTTGTTTCTCCAGACTTGCTCCATCTGAAATAATGGACAAGATGCTTGAGTTCCTACCAGTCTGCCAAATTACAGAAATACTTTTTAAAACAATAGTAGTTTTATCCACACTAAAAAAACAAATAAAAAAGCCTTCTGGTTTTGAATCCCAAATGGGTATCTGTAAAAGGGACCACTCAGAATAAATCTTTCCCTCGTTTCTTTCCCCTTGGGCAGAGGAAAGTACAAGAACCTGATACAAACACTGTTCCCAAATCATCAATAACAACAGTAACATAACTATAATGCTGCTAGCTGACATTTATTGGGCACTTTCCATTTGCTAGGCACTTGGCCAAAGGCTCTTCATACATTGCATATAGTATGTCATTAAACCTTTCAGGAACCTATAAAGGAGGTACTCTAAGACCCATTGAGTTGAAGACTTAGGCACAGAATAGTTAGCTAACTTTATCAAGACCCACCTAATGATGGAGTTCACATTTGAACTCAGATCTGGGTAGCCCCAAAACTTACTTGCTTTCCCATCAAATCCTAGGCAGCTTCCCCCTACTTCACCAAATGTGATTAGTCCCCAGATAGCTGTTTCTTTGCCTTTATAAAGCCATCAAGTATGGTCTTTTAATCTCCGAGCTTTTCAAATCACTACTATTTCACTTTTGTATAAACTTACCTGGGGAAGCCACCGACAGTAACTCCATGATCACAGAATCAGCGCCTTTCGTATACACCACAACTTGATTGGAAAGAGGGTGTCGGACCACAACAGACATTCTTTTTCTTACTGAGTCAAAGGGCAGGATGTGTAGGAGTTGAAATGTTAATGGTCCCAAAGCAGCAAAGTCCACCATGACCTGCTCTGGTGTCCGAGACCGTAAAGTGCATTGGTAAGCCCTGGCGGCATACACTAAGGCCGCTTCGTCTGGGCTCTCGGCCTCATAACACAGGTTGCAGGCCAATGGCTGTCCAGGGAGGGACTCTGCCTTGCCATTCAGGAGGCCTGCATCACCGTGTTGTTTCTCTGTTTCTGTGCAGCAAGCTGAGCTACTGGAGCACTGGGGGCTCTCACACACCTGGGAGACCTCTTCCTCCACAGGTGAAGCTGGTTTCATTCGACTAAAGAGAGGGAGTCTGCTCACAAAGGCGTTTGGAACTCCAGAAGATGGCTCTTTCCCACTGTTAAGCGATGGAGAACTTGATCTTCGGACAGACCATCTCTGGAAAAGACTTTTAATCTCTTCCAAAGACTTAATGGGCAACCCCCCCAGTGAAGGGTGTCTGATCTATGAAAGACAATTTAGAAAGGTCTCAATACAGTCAAAAGCAGTTTCTAACAACTTTGAAGGCAAACTGGAAATAAATTAGATATAAAAAGAGTTACCACTCACTTAAATGGCTAGCAGCCCATTCTCTATTTACGACCGCCATGGAAAATATTAATACAAATAAAAATTTGTTTTTTAATAACTATTCAGATAATTTGATTTTTATTAATATTTTTAATATTTATGTAATACTTTGCTAATATTTTAATAATATTAAAATGAATGACATACATTTCTACAACCATTTAGAAAGAAATTTGACAACTGATAATAAAAGACATAAAATGTTAATATTGCTAGCAGTGGGCATCCTTCAGCAATTTTTTTTCTAAAGAAATAACTTGAAATACAGGAATTCCATGATCTTATCTGTGTGTATCCTAACCATAACAATTTTAAAATTATAAGCAAATTAAGTATTCAGTAACAGCAAAATAGACACATCTTGAAATGTTATATAATATTTAAAAATGAAGCTTATAAAGTCTATAGGGCAATACTGAAAAAGCTATGAGACTAGTATAAAAAAAGTAACAAGTAATAATATACATAACAAAAACACCAGAAGAAAGCAAATCAAAAGATTAACAAAATGTATTTTTCTCTTTTATTTTCCAGATTCTACAAGTTTGTTACTTTGAATTTTCTTTTAAATGGACCAGTAAGCAAAGTAGCTTCATCAAGAAGAGTTATCAATATCATAATGTGGATTTGAATTTCTATTTTCATAGAACTTTTTCTTATTTGTACCCTGGTTTCTCTTAAATCTTAACTTTTATCAGTGACTAAACTGAGAAATTCACATTAATCATGGAAGGCCAATTAATTGGATGGAAAAATTTTCTCATTCAGAAATGCTCAATAAATGAAAAAGTTTTCCCCTAAAAATAACTAATTTTATAATAATTTGAAGGTCTTATGCTGGTTGATTTTCAAACTTATCAGCAACTCAGAAATGAAGAGTAAAACACAATCACAGATGAGGTTTCTGTATCTCACATGAATGCTGATTAGCTACTTATTCACTGCCCTTCTATCATTACTTTGAAATACCATGAGGCTTAGACTCTTATATGCTTCAGAGATTTTCTTTCAAGCAGTAGAATATTATATTCTTTAAGAATAACCAATAATATTTCTTAAAAGGAAAACACCAAAAGATGCTTACTTTGGGAACAGATTTATTAGAAAAATATTTTTTGGGGAAAAGAACAGCCTTTATTCTGTAACTGCATAATCACGTTTTCAAAGAGCAACTTCCTAGGCAAAGCCTTGTAAAAATACAGATCCTGATGAAGCTCAACTTAATTGGAAGGAAATTGTTTTTATGTTAAAGTTGACCACCTCTGAAGCTGCCAAAAGAAAATGATCTGATGGAAAATTAAATTGAATTGGGTTGTGCTGCAAATTGAATTTTAAGTGAGTAAAAGGTGAGAGAGTTACACACAAGGAGGCTAGCACAGCAAATGGTGAATCACCAGCCCGTTAAACAAGTTTTCCTCCGCATTGAAAATGAATTTTCCATGAATTCTAAGCTACAAATAGACTTTAAAAATCTAGCTTTTTTTGGTCAGGTGTGGTGGCTCATGCCTGTAATCCCAGCACTCTGGGAGGCCAAGGCAGGTGGATCGCCTGAGGTCAGGAGTTTGAGACCAGCCTGGCCAACATGGTGAAACCCTGTCTCTACTAAAACTACAAAAATTAGCCAGGCGTGGTTGTGGGTGCCTATAATCCCAGCAACTCAGGAGGCTGAGGCAGAAGAATTGCTTGAACCTGGGAGGTGGAGGGTGCAGTGAGCTGAGATCACGCCACTGCGCTCCAGCCTGGGAGACAGGGTAAGACTGTCTCCAAGAAAAAAAAAAAGGAAGAAAAAAATATTATTAAACATGATATTGAATCCAATACGGTATATTTTGCCTGATATAATACATACGATGTTGGAGGTCTCAGAAGTCTCAAAGAAAGCTTCAATTTGGCACATAAACTAAAGCAAAATGAATTGCTCTCATCACTACCCTCTTAGAGGCAAATAATATAGTAGCACCGAGCTGTATTTCCTAGGTTCAAATCCCACCTCCCCAACAAACCAGTTTTGTGACCCTGGGTAAATTACTTAGCCTCATCTGTAAAATGGAGAATAGTAGGGTAATAGCTTCTAACTCATAGGATTGTTAGGAGGATTCAACTTGTTAATACCAATAAATCACTTAGACCAGCGGTCCTCAACCTTTTTGGCACCAGGGACCAGTTTTGTGAAGACAATTTTCCACAGACGGGTTGGGTGGGACCTCAGATCATCAGGTATTAGATTCTCTGGGTATTAGATTCTCATACGGAGGGCACAACCTAGATCCCTTGCATATGCAGTTCATAATAGGGTTCGCGTTCCTATGAGAATCTAATGCTGCCCCTGATCTGACAGGAGGCGGGGCTCAGGCAGTAATGCTCACTGGCCCTCTCCTCCCCTCCTGCTGTGCAGACTGGTTCCTAACAGGCCACAGACTGTTACCGGTCTGCAACCAAGGGGGTTGGGGACCCATGACATAGACCATGGTAAGTGCAGAGCACAGAACAAATGCTGAATCAGTGTTATACAGCTACTATTATTTATCATTTTTATCCATATATCAAGCTCAGTACAGATACATTTAAACCCAAAATTCTCTTCTGGAAAGTGACCCTTGTTTGCATTAGAGAACTTACTCACCTTTTGTCGGGGTTGGTTAGGAGCAGAAACCACTACTGTGTTGCAAATTGCCAATGCAATGAAAAAGTCGATAATGTACAAAGTTTCCATTGGTGGATTTTGGATGGTCTCATCTAGTGGCATAAAGAGCCGAGGTGTAATCTGACTAAATTTGTCTAAAAGCCTGGTGTCTGGTACCACGTCTGTTTCCTGAAGATCCAATAAGACAGTGTGTTGTTATAAGAAGTATATAAAAATTAGTTTTAAATCAACATGAGAAATAACTTGTATAGCCAGGATCTAAATGAATCATGAGATGGTAAACTTTATTTTTCTAAAAACAATTGTAATGTATATCGTGTCATGGGAAGTGAGAATAGGAAAATAAAAGATATAAAAACAAATGGATAATCCAGAATGCACCTCATCAATGGAGACTCTCTTAACTATTAAACTAAACAGGAGTTTAGTTTTCACCAAATCTAGTTGAGTGTTTTCTCATTTTGAAATACATAATAGCAGAGGTAGATTTTATTGAGCCCAGAATTCTACCTCGGTCATAGATTTATTCACCATCACTTGATGAATACTAACTCTTAAACTTTGGGCATTATTCATACCATGTTATTGAAACAAAGTATTTTATGGTTCAAGTTACTGCTATTGTAAAAAACAACTCTCCAAAAATAAAAATGATTATAAGCAGGCTAACATATTTTATCAGCATTTTCAAGTAATACAAGACATTAATAAGGGTTCTTCCAGATTTCTGATCACCACATACATTTGGCAACTATACTTTCTTCTCAGTACAGGTTTGCTCTAAGAAGTTGTTATTGAAAAAATGTACTCCATTTTGTTTGACACAATGCTTCTCACACGTGAGAGTACGAGTTTTGACAAAATAATGTTGTAGTAGAAATCTAAGTATAATCCAGTAACATATAGTTAACTGCTTTAGAAATTTTTCAGCTGAGTCAAAGGAGGAACCACATGCTCAAAATCAAGGTTGTACAAAAGCACCATTGTATTCTAAGAGTCCTAGAGGCAGCTGGCCTGCAAAGCACAGTGACTGCAGGAAAGCCAGGAGAGGAGATTTAGAGAAAAGAGTAAAATATAAGGATGTATGACATGGACTCAGAAGATTATGGTTTGCACTTATGCTTAAAAGTTTGGTGAGAGTTAGCATAGGTTTAATAAGAAGAGAGCATGGGATGGAAACCATATGGGTTTAGGTTCAGGTCTTAGCTCCACTGCATACTAACTGGAGGTCTTGGGCAGCTTACTTAACCTCCTTTTCCTCTTCTACCTAATGGTAAAAATAACACTTACCTCCCAGGTGGCTGTATAAAGTAAATGAGATAATGACTAAGATGAGACCAGTAGAACAGGAACCTAAGTCATTTAATGTTCCTTTTCCTTCTTTCTTTCTCAAATGACACACTCACCTTCAGACAGGTTAGCAGTCTCACCTGGCTTCCAGACTCACCAAGTTACCTGCTGTCAAAAAGCATTGCTAAGTTTCTATCTAAATTCATTAATTCTACTGGCTTGTGCTATTTGACTTAGCAAAATTTGAATCTTGTTCAGTTTGATGGAGTTCATAGCCATTCATGAGCTGATGGCTGTTAATTAGTAAGTTGGTCACATTCTCTCATGAGTCTCACATATATAGTAGCTCTGAGCTGGCACTTGTGCTAGACCCTCAGTTACTCAGGGAACAACCCTGGCCTTAAGGACCTCCTTGCCAAAGTCAATAGAAGAAAGTGGTAAAGTTGGAGAGACTTTTTTATTTGGTCAATGAAGAGATGCCTGGGAAATTTGTTGCATGGTATTTTACCAAGGCCTATGATTATGCTCTTGTCTAGTGCTTATGAGATTCCACAGGTCAGGGCAATATTTCCAATGGCATCCTTCTCTGAATGTTAACATGGAATAAGCAAAAAATTAACAAAGAGTTCTATACTGAAATAAGTTTAAGAAAAGTTTAAACAAGTTTTTTAATTTCAGCATTTCTCAGAGAGTTTAATGGGTATTAGGAATCTCCAAGAAGAGGCTAGTATGTGCAGGCTTTCCAAATTCTATTTTTTAGAGACTTCTTTTATAGAAGACATTTGGGACTGAGTCAGAGACCATAGAAGCTAATAGTGATTTCATTGTATCAATGATCTCAGCAATTATTTGACTAATAATTGGTTCAGAACATAAGGATTATCTTGCATTCTGAAGTCAATCTAACATTGATGAAAGGTTTGCAACTTCTGCATTTGTGACAAATGCTATTTACTACGGTCTAAATGTTTGTGTCTCCCCAAAATTTGTATGCTGAAATCCTAACCTGCAAGGTGATGGTATTAGGAAGTAGGGCTCTTTGGGGATAATTAGGTTAAGAGGGCAGTGACTTCATGAATGGGATTAAAGTCCTTATAAAACAGGTCCAAGGGAGCTTGTCCACCATATGAAGACACAGTAAAGAAGGAACTGTTTTTATGAACCAGGAAGCAGGCCCTCACCAGACCCCAAATCTGCTGGCTCCTTGAACTTGGACTTTCCAGCCTCCAGATCTGTGAAAAATAAATTTCTGTTGTTTCTAAGCTACCCAGTTTATGGTATTTTGTTCTGGCAGCCTGAATGGACTAAGACACTATTTATGTAGTCAACGTAATATGCCATTCAGGGAATCCGATGGCTGCATGACTGAAAGGCTGTGCTGTGGCCACGAGAACAGAAGTAATACTGAAGTTGGCCCAAGCTGGAGGTGAGTGGGAACAGTGTGTGAAAGTGGGGTTGTGTGGCTTTGGTCAGCAAAACTGTGCTGAGAAGTATTGCCAAAATAAAGTGGGAAAAATCTAGAAAGTCAGGACCATAGAAGACCTTGAAAAGCACTATAAAACAACATACATAAAAGAGCCCAGAAGATTTAAGGAAAGGTCTACATACAAAGAAGCTTCAGGCATGCTCATTCTTCTACTTTAGTTTGTCCCACTAAAATAAGTTAATTTCTAGTGACTAAGAAGTTAGTCACTGAATTAAGGTGAAGATATAGAGTCACCACATGCAATTCTTATCTGCATGACTGTATCCATAGCTGTTTCTCCCAAGATCCAAATCTTCCTTATTGAGACCCAGGATTACATTATTAGCTTTTGCTCTCTTGTCAGTGATGGGTGGCTTCTGCCTTCTCTGGATGCCTGCTAACTTCAGAACCAGACTCAAACCATCTTGCTTTAAATAATTCCTTACATAGGTATGGAATCTCTCCCCAGAGAATCTGGAAGGCCCATTAAAGTAAGGACCATATCTTATTGATCTTTGGATCCCTAACTCAGTACTTGACACATGGGTAAGCAATAAAAGTGTATTGTCATATGTTACTATAATTTGCTAATCTCATATCCTATAAGGAAAGAGAGGGAGAAACAACCAGAGGAAAAAGATGTCACTCTTTGGAAAATAAACACATATTACCTCCCACTGGGCTCAAGTAGATATCTTTTTAAAATTCAAGAAAATTTTTACTTCACAAGAGAGCACAGATTACAGAGTATGATGTAGACAGCTTCCTATAATGTAAACAAAGCCTTATTTGGTTTCCTGGTGAGAGTCTAGTATCTTTGTCCCAATCTTGCATGGTATCTGCCTATCTCAAATTTTAGATTTACCCTCATAATTCCTATTATGCCTTCCTACTGAGAGACAGGACTAGCTGGATTTCCTAGGCCGACTAAGAATCCCTAAGCCTAGCTGGGAAGGTGACTGCTTCCACCTTTAAACACGGGGCTTGCAACTTTGCTCACACCCGACCAATCAGATAGTAAGGAGAGCTCACTAAAATGCTAATTAGGCAAAAAACAGGAGGTAAACAAATAGCCAATCATCTGTTGCCTGAGAGGACAGCGGGAGGGACAAGGATAGGGATATAAACCCAGGCATTGGAGCCGGCAACGGCTACCCTCTTTGGGTTCCCTCCCTTTGTATGGGAGCTCTATTTCACTCTATTAAATCTTGCAACTGCACTCTTCTGGTCCGTGTTTGTTATGGCTCGAGCTGAGCTTTCGCTCGCTGTCCACCACTGCTGCTTGCCACCATCGCAGACCCGCCGCTGACTTCCACCCCTGCGGATCTGGCAGGGTGTCTGCTGTGCTCCTGATCCAGTGAGGCACCCATTGCCACTTGCCATTGTTCCTGCATGGCTAAGTGCCTGGGTTCATCCTAATTGAGTTGAACACTAGTCAGGGGTTCCATGGTTCTCTTCCGTGACCCATGGCTTCTAATAGAGCTATAACACTCACGGCATGGCCCAAGATTCCATTCCTTGGAATCCGTGAGGCCAAGAACCCCAGGTCAGAGAACACGAGGCTTGCCACCATCTTGGAAGTGGCCCGCCACCATTTTGGAAGCCACACGCCACCATCTTGGGAGCTCTGGGAGCAAGGACCGCCCCCCCCAACCCCATGACATTACTAAGTTGTAGATTTCACATTCAGGTTTACTCCTTCCTTTTTTTTCTCTCTCTCCTCTATTTAAATTCAAATTAACAAGTAAAAACTGGCCAAAACTCCCTTTGCCCTCTAATAGTGTTGGTTGAATCTTTTGAACGGCTTTCATATAATTTAAATGTTAAATTTGTTTTAAATTTCATATAATTTAAATGTTAAATTTGTTTTAAAACAGAGAGAAGCAGCAGCCCACTATAATTGTTTATGCAAAACTTTAAAAACCCACGGTTTAGTAGTGGACAAAGACACTCTAGATGGGACATAAAGTTGACCAAGGAGCTCTAATACTGTTCTTCACTCCTCCCCTAGTTCCACCTCTACCCAAGGTTTTTCATTTCATTGCTGGATGCCACTCTACTCATTTTAAGCGTTCACCATTCCACCACTGCAACTTTGGCTTAAGAGTGGACGCAAATATCTTCTATTGCCACCACCCCCTCCCCACTGATTCCTAAACAACACAGTCCTGAAAAAAAAAAAAAAAAAGACAAAGGTGAATAACCACATGCTGACAATTCCTCCTGCACACCATGTTCTCCCTTGGCCCTGTGGTTCTGAACGTCTGCACGTACCACGTGCTGTCAGCTCCAAATGCCTTTCCTTCCTTTTCCAATCTGTGAACCTCTCTCTACTCATTAGTTTAATCCTAACTCAAGTTGTAGCTCTTCCGGGCAGCCTTTCTTGATCCTTCTTCACTCCCTTAGAGGTGATCATTCCCTTCTTTGTGACCTTACTATACTTTGGATTAACTACTATGACTACATCTTTAATACAGGTTTATAATTATTCATTTATATGTCTCTCTTCTCTATCTAGAACAAAACTGAAGGCTGAGGCCACGTCTTATTCACTTTATATCCCCATGTCCAGTATTGTGCCATGCCTTCCATTAATTCATTAATAAATTCATTATCCCATAAATATTTATTGCTAATCTATGGTGCCAGGCACCCCTGAAGGTAAGAGGAGTGCATAGAACAGACAGGATCCTGGCTTCCAGGGAACTCACATTCTACCTGGGGGAGACAATAGATCCAAAACTATCCCAACAGCAAATAAATAAGATGCCTTTATATTGAGACAGAGAGAGACAAGGGAGAGATGGAATGTACTTGGAACTGGGTGACAGAGAAAGCTTCACTGAGAAGGTATTTGAGCTGAGGCTCAATGACAGAAAGGAGACAGCTATACAAAGATCTAAGAGAAGAGCATTTCGTGTAGAATAAACAGTATGCTTGTTGAATGAAAAACTCCAGAAGATTAAAGATGCATAAACATACTGGCTTACAAAGCAGAGGTTTCTATTTCTAAAATAGGTACTATGAACCCAGGACTCATGGGCCTCAGTGACATTCTAATGCCCAAAGGCTGGTACATCTTCATCAGCACCCTGCCTAGCATCCTCACTTGCTGGCTCGTAACTCGCCTCCTTTGAAGGGTGCCATCTTACAACCTTCCACTTGTAGACATCACAACTCTCAGAATGCCCTCAAGCTGGCATTCTTAACCTGGGCTCCACAGATGGGCTTTTAGAATTTTATATGATATATTTGCAGATGCTCATTTTTCAGATCAAATATTATGTAGTTTTCTCAAAATAATCTTTAGTCTTCAAAAAGATAAAATCAACTTGTTTAGACCAAGATTGAGAAATAATCTTATACATTGAGGAAGACCATAACCTAGTTATTCTATATATTAGGGGTATGGTTTTGCAAAACACAAACAAAACAAGGACAACAGTAACAGCAGCACAAGAGCATCCACATAATCAGCAATGACATTGGAGTATAAGGCAAATGAAAAGAAAATGGCCCAGATGAAAAGACAGCCTGGTAAGTAGCTTCCTTCAACAACCTTTAAAAATACTTTATTGAGAATGGACATGCCAGCCTTTGTGCTAGATGTTGATTCAAGATGGATAAATCCTTCTCTCAGGGAGTTAATGGTGGATTGCCAGAGGCAGAAATAAGACCAATGCCATGTGGATGAAGGGACGGAGGGACGGAGGGACGGTGTAAACAGAGCTCGGATGCTGAAAGAAGAGAATCTGAGAGGTCTTCAGAAAAAGGTGATATTTTTAATTTAGTTCTTAAAGAAATAAATATTTCACCAGATTTGATGGATAGAGGTAGTATATGAAGAGAGAATATATTTTAGATGAGGTAAATTTATCTATAAAGGGACAAAGACTTTAAACTAAGAAATAACCAATCATTTGTTCCACGAATAGGGTGAGGTTTGATCAAGAAACCAATAAGGTGTGGCACAGATCCACCTTATTACCAAACTGTGCTGCTTCTGTCTAAACAAGAGCCAACATGTTCTTACTTTCAGGTGGATGGAAAATGAAAAGTTCAATACAAGGATAGATAAAAAGATAAAATAGAAGAAAATATATCGATAGAAAAATAGAAGAAAAATATATTTCCGATATGGGCTTATAATGAGTACACAGAATGAACTGTGTACATTCTTCTTCCATTTCAAAAGTTGGAGAAATATTAAGTCTTGGAATCACTTGACATATGGCTAAGATATAATATAATAGTTTTTATATTAGTGCCACAGAAATGAGCTGGACTAAAATGATCACTCCAGTTGCTGTAATTATGCATTTGTTGACAATTTGAGAAGAGCCAGGATCCTGGGAAGTTCGAGGCCTTCCCAGGACAAATGAGACCCCAGGGGTCTACTCATATCATGTCTCTACTGTGAAAACCATATGATAAATTCAATGTAGAAACATAAAGCTTCCCCAAAGCTGGTTTATTCTTGTTGTCACCTATTTTGTAGGTATTATCAGTCTGATGGCTGGGAAATCCTCATTTTGGTAAAACACAAGACTTAATAAAATGTAAAAGGCAAAGAAGGAAATTGAACTTTTATACAGGTAATTTTAAATACAGCAAAAATTTCTAATTTTTTTCACACAGCACCTTTCCCTCTTTTCCCCATCATCTACATGGTCCTCTAGTTTTTCTGGAGTAAAATGGATTTGTTAATGGATGTGACTAGACAGTTCCTGACACTTCCCACTGGAACTCATGAACACATTCTGTTGAGCTCTGAAATTGATATATTAGAAAATGACCTTCTGGAGCCAGGAATAGGGAAAAACCACAAGTTTGGTGGGATTTGGGAGATTACAGAGCAATAAAAAGGCCTTCAATGTACCACATGGCCTATGAATGTCCCTATAAATTACACTTGCTTATCTGACTACGAGATAACTCTGGTAAGCTTTGCTGGTTCTAAGAGTGAGCCATGATTCTTAAACCAAGGCAGCCTTCTTCAGGCTCACACATAATCAGCCCTGGCCAGAAATATTCTCCTTTTTTTTTTTCAGAAATGGTATACTACCTCTCAACATTGAGTTATTTTTTAAAAGTAGACTAGTGTGATATTGTTTGTTTATACTTCTAATTATGTGTGGTGATCTTGCTGAGCTGCAATCATGTAGTCTCTTCTAAGGTAGAAAAGACAACAGAGTTTGACTCTATCATAATTACAAGGCTGTTCTCTCATCATACATTGTGGATGTGCAAGACTCTAGTCATGCATTCATACTTACAATGGGGCTACTGAAAGCAGCCTGTCTGGAATGAGGCACTTCACTGGCTCCTTCTCCACTTCCTAGAGTAAAAGAGCTCCCAGCAAGATGATTTGAGGGCTTATTTCCCAAAGGCCCATTATGAACTGTCCTGCAGCTGGGGGCTCTCGGTTTTGCCATATTGCTGAGGGAACCACTGACTGTGTCTATAAAATCTTCATCTTCAGAGACAGCTTCCTGATAGGACTCCAACCTCCTGGCTGTGGGATAAAAAGCACACTGAGTCAATGTCTGAGAAGAGCCACTTGTAAGTTGAATATATCAGGCAGTTACTTAAGCAGCTATTTCACACCATCTCCTCCCCTTTCAAACCTGGCTGCCAAGGCCTACCTCCCATAGCCTTGGTCAATGAACTTACCTTATACCTCACTGAGAAGCAATCAGATCAAAATTCCCTTCTTTTTCCATCGTCAAATCTACCTACTTATCTGCATTGGTACTCATACTCTCGGCCTTTCCTCCTCCTACTGTGGACAAAGCATCTCTGTTTCAGACACCAAATTCTCCACTTGTCATCTGAATCTCACCTCCCTGAACTCAATGACTTCACCCTTACAATTCTTCCCTCTTTCACTGACACCAATCTTTCTTTAAGTAATTTCATGGCTTTCTGTCCCCATCTCTCCACTGACATTGCTGTTGTCAAGGTCACCAATGAGCTCCATGTTGTCAAATCCAATGATCACGTCCATCCTTATCTTATGTGAACCCTTAGTAATATCCAACAGACTTGACCATTTTTTCCTTCTTGAAATGTCTCTTTTGGTTTCTCTAACATCACACTTAACTGTTTTTCCTCCTACTTCAATGACTGTTTCTTCTTAGTTTCTCCTGCTGTCTCTTCTTTTTAGTCCTCAAATACTGGAGAGCTGCAGAAGCACCTTCCTTCTCTACCTGCATCTTCCTTGGTGATCTCAACTGGTCCCATCTTTGAAATGACCTCACTGGGAAGTGAAGACTTCCCAGATCTGACCACACAATTTATAATAGATCCTATGCCAAGACCTACCACCATCTACACATATATATCTTATTTATTTTATTTTTTGAATCATCCAGTAGAATACAATCTCCAAAAGGTCAGAGAATTCTGTCTGTTTTGCCAATATGATAATCTCAGACTTCAAAGCAGCAGTTGATAGGTACTATCTTTGTAAATCAAACTTAACGACTTACACAGTTACTTAAGCCAGAAATCTAGAATCCTCCTAATTTCCTATCTTCTTTCTTATTTTCAAAGTATAACTAACATCTGTCCTCCATACATCCAAAAAATATCTCAAATAACTCTACTTCTCTCCATATCCATTACCTTAGTCCAAGCCACCATCATCTCTCAACTGGACCAGTGCAATAGTCTCATAACTGGTCTCCTTGCCCCTCTGCAATCCATTTTTCAAATAGTAGCTAGAGTGATCTTCCTAAAAGATAAAGCAGATCAGATCACTTCCTGCATAAAACACTCCAGTAGCTTTACAATTCACTTAGAATAAAATCTGGACTCCCTATCCTGGCTTAAATAACTCAAGATGATCAGAGCCCTGCTGACCTATCTAACTTCACTTCTCTTTCTACATGCCCACTAAAATCCAGACTCACTGGCCTTCTTTCTTTACTTTGAAAAGTAACAAGCTCACCCTTGCCTGAGGGCTTCTTTACTAGATGTTCCTTCTGACTGGAAGCCTTTCCTACGGAATTTCAAGATTATGTCATTCAGATCTAAGCCCCATGTCCCACTTAGAGAGGCCTTGCCTGACCCTCCAGTTCAAAGTGGCCATCCAATCATTTTATATTATACCACCTTATTTTAATTTTCTACCAAGTACTTATCGCTAATTTTTTTCTTGATTTAAAAAAGTAATATATTTGTGAATATTTTCTCTAATAGAAACTCTATGAGAGCAGGGGCCTTATGTGAATTGTTCAGCATTGTATCCAGTGTCTGGAATATAGACCATCGATAAATAGGTGCTTGTTGGATTGCCAGTCTTCTCTATTTAGCTATAGGATAAAGTATGGCTTTGGGTAAGTTATTCTATGAAGTGAAGAATGTTTGCACATTCTATTTTTTTGTAATAGTTTTTGTCTGTATTCTTTAAGGACAAGGAGAGGCTAAGGGTCTATGTGGTGATCCTAGGTTCCAGTACCAACTTTTTCAAAGACTAAGTGGCTTTCAGCAAAATCACTTGCTGTTTCTGGGCCTTTGTTTTCAGAATGAAACATTTCAGAATGAACGATTTGGATTCGGTGACTTTAAGATCTTTCCCAGCTCTGCAAGTCTCATCATATAATCTGCCTAAACAACACGGAATGTTTCCCAGTATGACCTTCCAGCTTCAAAAACTGGTTTACATATTGTGTCCCAGAGATTCTGATCTCCTCCATTTTCATCTATGCCTTTGCTTGAAATATTCATTTGCGTCCTTTCTATTTACATAAATACTGAACATCTTTAGAAGTTTAGTTCAAATGCCAGCTCCTCCACAAAGACCTCTGTAGCTATACTGACTCTTACTCATACCACTCATTGGGAATTTATAGATTACATGTGCAGAATGTACCAGGCATTTGCTTATGTACCAGGCACTTGCCTCATTTAATCATTATATCTCAGCAGATGCTATTAATACCAGCATTTTACAAATAAATAAACTTAAGTAATTTGCCCCATCTCACAAAAATGGTACAAATTAGTCTTAAAATCAGTTCTATTAAACTCCACAGCCCCATGCTTTACTGTTTCTGAATCTACCTATATATGTTAACAGGGCCAATTTTTAACACATGGCCAATATCCCCTGCTTAATTTCAATGAGTCCATGTTTTTTCATTTAAATAAAAATTTATTAAATGAATAATAAATGAATGAATCAATAGACATGTCAATGAAATATCCCTAGTATTAAGGGAAAGTTGTGGGGTAGGAAGTTAATATTTTTTGAGATCCTCCTTTTTTCATGCATATATATATGTGTGTGTGTGTGTGTACATAATATATATGTATACCTATTTCCTTTTTATCTTCAAAATAATGCCATCAGGTAGAAACTATCACTGCCCACTCTGCAGCTGAGGAGATTAAGACCCAGAGAGATTAAGCAGTTCAACCATGATTAAACAGCTAGTTGTGGGTGGAGCTGGAAATTCGATTTAGGTCTTCTGCCTCCAAAGCCAGCACACTACCCACTATATTATAGCTCCTCAGCAGTGATTTGTATATAATAAGTTGGCTCAGTGGTTCTCCACATGGGGTGAATTTGTCCCCTGGGGGTTTGGCAATGGCTGTAGATACTTTTGCTTGTTATAACTGGGTGAAGTGTGCTGCTGGCATTCAGTGGGTGGAGGCCAAGGATACTTCTAAACATCTTACAATGCTCAGGACAGCCCCCAACAACAAAGATTAATCTAGCCCAAATAGTGCTGAGACTGATAAATCCTTGAGTAGCTCAAGGAATTTATTGATGACGTAACACCATTTAAAAAATATTTTAAAAATACAGAAGTTTCCCCTTTTTCACAGGGGATATGTTCCAAGACCCCCAGTGGATGTCTGAAACCACGGATAGTATTGAACCCTAAATATACTATGTTTATTCATATACATACATACCTATGATAAATGTTAACTTATAAATTAGGCATAGTAAAAGATTAACAACAATAACTAATAATAAAATAGAATAATTATAACAATATACTGTAGTAAAACTTATGTGAATGTGATCTCTCTTTTTCTCTCTCAAAATATCTTATTTTACTATACCAAAGGTAATTGAAACTGTGGAAAGTAAAACCACAGATAAGGGGGTAATACTGTACTTCAAAACACATATAAACATGGAGGCTATATTTAATGATCGTGTAACTCCTAGCCATCATTAGGGAAATCAGTCGTCATGCAACTATATAATTAGTATAGTTCCAGGTAGCTCAGCTATTACTGTAGGGAAAACTTGTTCAGTCAGTACAATTGCAAAAGTGGAATCAAGAAGATATGAAGTGACTCAACCTTTAATCATTTTGTGGAAGCTATGAAAAGGAAATAGGCCAGGCCCGGTGGCTCAGGCCTGCAATCCCAGCACTTTGGGAGGCCGAGGTGGGTGGATCACCTGAGGTCAGGAGTTTGAGACCAGCCTGGCCAACATGGCGAAACCCCATCTCTACTAAAAATACACAAAATTAGCTGGGTGTGGTGGCGGGCACCTGTAATCCCAGCTACTAGGGAGGCTGAGGCAGGAGAGCTGCTTAAACCCAAGGGGCAGGGGTTGCAGTGAGCCAAGATCGCACCACTTCACTGCAACCTGGCGAGACTAGACTCCTTCTCAAAAAAGGAAATAGACCAGTAAAGTTACAATGTGATTCAGAAAACAAAGCTACTGGAGCTATAATTCCAGGCTCAGTGAGAATTTTATAAAAATTAGGTGTGAAGCCAGGTGTGGTGGCTTACACCTGTAGTCCCAGCACTTTGGGAGGCCGAGGCTGGCAGATAGCTTGAGCCCAGGAGTTCGAGACCAGCCTGGGAAACATGGCGAAATCCTGCCTCTACAAAAAATACAAAAATTAGCCATGCGTGGTGGCATGTGCCCATAGTCCCAACTACTTGTGAGGCTAAGGTGGTAGGATCACTTGAGCCCAGAGGGTTGAGGCTGCAGTGAGCTGAGATCATGCCACTGCACTCCAGCCTGGGTAACAGAGTGAGACCCTGTGTTAAAAAAATATATTGTATGAGAAACAAAGGTTTATTATAATATTGATAAAACTTATCCAAATCGTTATGACTTTTAATATTTCTTAGTATTTCTTTAATATTTCTTAATACTTACCTTAAGGTAGACTCCAAAATAGTTACATGAATGCCTCAAAGCAGGGCAGGAATTCTTACTTTTTGCTTCATAAGAAAAAACTTACAAAGTCTATTCTTTCCTTTGTCTGAAGGTAGATATTGAGATAGGTACCAAATTGTCTACTTTATTTCTCTTCATTATTTAATCCCCGATCTGTCTTTTCTTCCCATTCCCCTCTTCAAATACCCAGTAATCTTCCTATAGCCTGTTACTTGCATCAATTTGATATATGGAAGAAGTGGGCATGAGTCTACAGAACAAAAAGTTTATCATACTTTCAATGTGCTCTCCAAAGGGCCCGAAACAAAGGTGAACAGCATTCAGATGAGCTTCCTTCAATTGTATCATCAATCCTCCATCAACCCTTTCACTATGAACTAAATCTGCAAACATTTCCAGCATTCCAACTTTTGCCTGCTTGTAAATAACACACTCAGCTAAACCTCCTCCAACTGTATCACCCATATATCCTTGATATATAAACCTTTGTTCTAAACAAATTCCCCATACAATTCCAGCATCGTAAGAACATCCAGTATCTTGGCTTCAACATCCCAAGCCTTAATCAGTGCAAAATCCACCTCCAATACTGACTGCCTGAAAATCAAAACAAAATGGAACAAGAACACTGACTTTATATCTTATGACAATGAACATGATAATTTATGTTTACATATCTGCCTCCCACATCGGACCATGAGCTCCTTAAGAGATAGGCCTATTTCTTATTTTAACAATATTTACAACAACAACAACAGTAACAACAGCTATATTTATAGAGAACTCATTTTGTGCCATTTGCTGTTCTAAATTCTTTATGTGAATTATCTTCTCTCATTCTCTTAACCATCCAATGAGATAGATAGTGTCATTGATCCTTTTTATTGAGGCACAGAGAAATTAGATAGTTGTTAAGGGCCACACAGCTTGTAGGTAGTGGAAATGGGATGCAGACTCAGGAGGCCTGATTCCAAAATCCTTGTTCTTGAAAAGTGTTCAATGCTACTGCCTCCATGTAAATCAGATTCACAAATTGTGCATCATAAATGTATACTCTGGACAAGCCCAAATTGATGGACATTCTACAAAATCCCAGAATAATGCCACTCAAAACTGCTAAGTTTATCAAAAGGAAAGAAAATCTGAGAAACTGTCACCTAGAGAAACCAAAATGATGGCTGTTATGCAGCATCCTAGCTAGGATCCTGGGACAGAGAAAGAACATTAGGTAAAAATGAAGGAAGTCCAAATAAAATATGGGTTTCAATTAATAATAATGTATCAGCATTTGTTCATTACTTATCTCAAATATATCATATGACTAATGCAAGATGATAACAGCAGGGGAAACGGCATGAGGGCATGCTGGAACCCTCCAGGATATTTTTGTAACTTTTCTGTAAATCTAAAATTATCCTAAATTTAAAAGTTTATTTTTAAGAAAGTCATTCTCTTTAAAGTCTTTTAAAGGAGTGGCTTGTTAAAATTTTAATATGCATATTAATCACCTGGGGATATTATTAAAATGCATTTAATTGAAGCTCTGAAGAGGGGTCTGAGTTTCTGCAATTTAAAAGCATGCCCGGGTGTTGCTGATGCTGCCAGTACATGGAACACATTTCGAAGCTAGAAGGTTTTAAAATATACAATGGTGTTGTCAGGTGTGTTTAGTGCAATTCCATGTGTGAGAGGTTGTTTCCAAGCAGCAATATTCTTCACCAAATTGTCTCCTAGGCAACACTTTTGCAGAAAACCCTAAAGGACTAGCCATTAAAACACAGATACACTGTTAAAATAGTTTTCACTTCAGTGAAAATATGCCTCAGAATTAATTTCTAGAGAGAACTGGTCTCCACTAGTTTGTGTGTGTGTGTATACACATGTGTTTAATTTTAAACCACTGCATAAAAAAGACCAGAAGCTCTAGGTGTGTCTATGGTAGAGAAGTGGTCAAAGGCAAAGTTAGTACCTCTAGAACTTTGGTTCCCAAACAGGTAGCTTATCAATTACAGTTCAGTCAGGATAGCATTTGATTCCCAGTCACTTGGTATCTTTTCTGTGTGAGGAGGCATAAACGAAAAATACTCACTTGGGCAGGGATATGTATGTTCAGTGACTAGAGTGGAGGAGGGCTAGTATTAGCTCTTTGAAATGTTATGAACACAAAATTTTGTGTTATAAATACAAAAAAATAAAGCAGTGCTTCTCACTGTATATTTTATGAAACATTGTTGCTGCAAGACAGTTCCTAAAAATGGGGATCTGTGGTCAAATAATTCAGGAAAACACTAACCTCACAAATGCACTATAGAGGTTTAGCGTAGCATTATTAATGTGGTTCCATTTTATGGAATAATGAATGATGAAGTCTTAAGAAAAATGGTTATAAAAGTAAAATCACACTGCGATGCCATTTCTGTTTTAAAGACAAAAACATAAATGTGTGTGCGTGCAAATGCATATCTTAAAAACAAAAACATATACATATGTGTTAAAAAAAAGACCCCAAAAGTGCATTAAAATGCTAACAGTGATCTATTCTGTTTGATGGGGGTTAGTGATGGCTTTTAAATTTTACTATAAGATGAAACATAATGCAGAGTGTCATCATATTCAATATGATTAGCTATATTTTACATTTGCATGGTGATTACATAATAAACACTTAACATTTTACCCCTTACACTCACAGGTTACCAAAGTTGACTTAAAAATACATGTACCTAGAAGAAAATATAGTATATTTTTTAACAATACCAGGTATGATGGGTTGTCTGAGCTCAACACTACCATCAGAAATCATAATATTCATAATAATTGACAAATTTATATAACAAAGATATAAACCTTTTGATAAGAAGAGACACTGGAAGCACAGTTTAGAGACTGTGGTAGGCAGAATTCTAAGATGGCCCTGAATAGTCCTGTCCCCCGTGGTAGATGCACCTTGTGACTATGCTATGATTAAATTATGCTGTGTGGCAGAAGTGGAAGGATTTTGCAGATGTAATTAATCAGCTGACTTCGAGTAATTTGAAAGAAGACTATCCTTGGTGGACATGATCTCATTAGGTTAGTCCTTTAAAAAGGATTCAGGACTTCCCTGATGTCAGAAAGATTCAAAATGAGAAATTCTGTTGCTGGCCTTGAAGAAGCAAACTGCTCTGCTGTTGTGAGGCTGTTTGGCAGGAAACAGCAAGCAACCTCTTGGAGCTGCGAATAGTTGGGGATGACAGCAGCAAGAATGCAAGGACCTCAGTCCTAAAACTTCAGTACACTGAATTCTGCGAAATACCAGTGAGCTAAGCATAGGATGAGGTCATCAATAAGATCACAGTCTCAGCAGACACCTCTATTTCAACCTGGTGGGAGACCCTGAGCAGAGGAGGCACTTATCCTATACCCAGAGTCCTGACTTAGAGATACTGTGAGACAGCATATTTGTGTTGGTTTAAGCCATTATGGTTTGTGGTGATTTGTTATGCAGTGATAGAAAACTAATAAGTGATAAATAATGAAACAGAAAAATATTTGTCACATATAGAAGAAAAGGATAATATAACATCAGGGTTGATATCCTAAGTATTTAAGAACTTGTTTTAAATGAGTGCACAAATGAACATCAGCGCTGGCCACAAACAATCTAGACTAAGCATACAAGCTGAACATTAACCCTGACCTTACATAAAAGCTCTCCCACAGACTAACAAGAACAAAGAAACCCCATTTAAAAAACAGGGAAATAATTCAATTAATTTACCAAGGAAATTCAGATGACTGAAAAACATATAAAAAGGTAAAAATCTCATCACTAAGCAGAGACAAATTAAGACAATGAAGTGCTAACTTGTCTGTAAAAATCACACAGATTAAAAAGTGTAACTTCATTACATTATGGCTGGGTGTGAAAAAGAAGCATTATTTTTCTGGGTTGTAGGAATGTAAATTAGCATGATATTTTAGAGGAAAATGTGTCTTATAAAAACAATTGAATAAATATATATGTACCAAGATGCATAATGAATGCTGAATTTTATTTATCATAATTTTAATCTTGTTTATCTATCTTCTTGTCATAAATCTAAATTACATGCAATCAGGGACTCATGCCACATATTGGGAGCTCACAAAATGTTTGGTGAATGAATAAGTGACGTTAACTACAAGTGCTTTTATATTAACAAACTAAGTGGCCACCATTAAGCATAGCAAACTAAGTTTGACCACATATAGTAGAAAACTATATTCTTAATTTTAAGTTATGAACTGACTTAGGAAAAATTTCATAAGACATTGTTGAATAAAATAAACAATTTACAAAAATAGTACTATTACATGTTCTAACTCATAAAAGGGAAAATGTGTAAATATATGTTCACATATAGAGAAATATGCATAAAGAAATAGCTGGTTACATATTCACCAAATTGTTAATGGTGGTTAACCTTGGGAGAGTAGGGCTTTTAATTTGTTTTGTTCACTTCAATGAATTATCTTCAAAGGAGCACATATTTCTTTTATAAACTGCAAAATTAATAAAGTTCAACTCTTTAAAGAATTTTGTAAACTTGGAATTTACAAATTTATTTCTTTAGAGTCAGAAGTTCAGCTCATTTTGCTTAAACTAGTTATTCTTAATCAAGCACCAATGGATACCTAGGGGCCAAACAATGAGGCTAGAAGGAGCCTGTAATGCCTTTGGAATTATTTCCAAAATATTTTTCAAAGAAATGGCCCATAGTTTCATCAGCTTTTCGAAAGTATTTATAGTACAGTATCATTGTCATCCCTCCAATTCCCACCCTTTACTTCCACTAGTAATTTACTTCACTTTTAAAGAAACCATGGCAGTAGACTCCTTGACTTTAACCTACTAGCTTTTGAAGGAACAACAATGAAGTTTAAAGGCCATCTGGAAGCATTAAGTACTCAATGATTAAATAAACCACTTCTATGTCAGAATTGTCAGACATCCAACACTTAAGTGGTTTCAAAAAAAGACCAATGCTAAGGTTGGTTTTCACGGAAATCCAACACTCACCATTTTCTTCATGGCAGTAATCAAATCCTGCCACACTACATCTTCGAAAAACCATCTTATTCTCAGTGAGGGTTCCTGTCTTATCGGAAAAGAGGTACTGAATCTGTCCCAGATCCTCGGCGATGTTCAGGGCTCGGCACTGAACAATAGAATCCATTTTTTCATTGTAGAAATCCACATCACTTTGAATGAAATATATTTGTCCAAGCTTCACAATTTCGATGGAAACATAGAGAGAAATAGGAATCAAGACCTAAGAAGATCCAAACAAGTTTTAAAATGTTAACGTAGGTTAAAAAAGGATGTGAAACTGAACATAGCTGGATAAGCAGCAAAGATGTTAAAATTCTACCATAAGCTTGATAAAAAATTACCTGTAACAAAATGATCATGGTCCAAAACATATAAAATCCTGCCAACAGTGGTGATATGATATGTCCATCAGGCTCGGGAACATTGAAAAAATGCATCTTTTCATACCTGCTCAGCCAGATTCCATGACCTTTCAAAAAATACACAGACATCAAAAGGATGCTAAATATATGGCATGCAAACAAAAAATTTTATTCCTAAAGGAGAAGGAATGAGAGTATTCATTTTGGTTGGACATCAACTGTTTGTTTTTGGAAACAAAATTCAAATTCAAAAGGCTATACATTCTCTCTCTCTCTCTCTCTTTCTTTAAGTCACTCTCCAGGTTTCTTCAGTACTATGGCAAAACGTAAATGGATAGAGTCAATATTAATATTTTTCAGGCTAAAGGATGAAAGAGACAAGGATATGAGGTAAAACACTACTGACAAAATCCACCTTACCAAAGTCAAATATTCACAGATATAATTTTGAAATAAAATACTTTAATATCTTGCTGAAAAGATGTCAGCAAATAATCAAATTTTACCTACCTACTGCGCCAGTTAAGCACATTATGACCAGAAGCATGACACACCAGAGGACATCTGTGTTTGCTCTTCTTTCTAATTTGCTGCGCTTATACCGTGGCCCACTGTTGTTCAGCATTGCTTTGGTTTCATGGCCTATGAAGGATGTGCAGTATGATAGAAAATGTACAAATTAAAGCCAAGAAGCGAATACCATATTTAAAAATCTCTCTTGCAGACAATTTAATAAAACACAGTTACATGATCTATTTTGTCAGTTCAATCTGCTTTTGTGATCCATTTAGAAAAACAGAGACCAATAATTAAGTTTATCAGGCAAAATTTCCTTTCTGCTTCAACAGATTGCATTTTTGAGTAAATGAAAAATGTTAACTTGTAGAAAAGCACAGAGTAGACAATGAAAATTAGAAACATAACCGACCTGCATAAACCACAATGCCCACAACAGCCTCTGTGTTTCTAATGGTGCATCCTCTAAGCAACAAATTTTCTTTACTGAGACCCACGCGTTCTTTGTTGGAATGTTCTCTATAAGAAAGACAGCATATAAATTCACTTTTAAACAGCAAAAGTGGGGATATAAAAATAAATCTCATGGCCCTTGAATGTTTTTGACTTGGAGTAAAAAGGCATTTCACAAGAAAGTTTTCAAATCTCTGGCCCATTTACTTTGGTTATTGCAGTTACTTGCTTTGTTTTTTGTTTCTTTTTTTTTTTTTAGACTTTTAGGTTCAGGTGGTACACGTGCAGGTTTACTATGTAGGTAAATTGTGTGTTGCAGGGCTTTGGTGTACAGATTTCTTTACCCAGGTGATAAGCATCATGCTTAAGAGGTGGTTTTTTGAACCTCATGCTCCTCTTACCATCCACCTTCAATTAGGCCCTGGTGTCTATTATTCTTATCTTTGTGTCTATATGTACTAAATGTTTAGCTCCCACTTATAAGTGAGAACATGTCATATTTGGTTTTCTTTTCCAGCATTAGTTCATTTAGGATAATGGCCTTCAGCTCCATCCACATTGCTACAAAGGACATGATCTCATTCCTTTTTATGGCTGCATAGTATTCCATGGTGTGTACATAAGTCACATTTTCTTTATCCATTCTACCGCTGATGGGGATTTGGGTTGATTCTGTGTCTTTGCTATTGTGAATCAGTTACTACTTTGTCTAGGAAAAGATGCAACAAGTTTCCAACTATCATTATTTTCAATGGTAGTCATTGTTTGACAACTTCTATTACTATAAAAAAATATTCCAAGCAAGAATCCTGCTTTTCTAGTATAAACTGTATTTAGGATAACTTAGTAATTGATGAGGGAAGAAATCCTGATAGAATTTAAAAATTATCATTTTCGACTTGGATGAAATCAAGAATCATTCTAGGCAATGATAAGCGATGGCTGCTAAAATCAATGGTTAAAAAGGCTGATGGGAACTTTATAATAATAGGATAAGGCTGATAACACTAATCTTACAATGGGACAAGGAGACATCGTGGGCCTCATGATTTATGGGAAAGAAAGTCATGGCCCTACAGGCGCTTAATCAAACCTCTATTAGGCATTTCAGTCTGGGGTCTGTGGCTTCAGAGGATCTGTGAAGCCTTTGAAATTGTATGCAATATTTTGTGTGTGTATGTATGTATCTGTGTATACATGTTTGCTATTTTCCAGGGAGAGACTCTGTTTGTTTCATCAGATTCTTTAAATGTCCCTTGATGGTTTACAGAGAATAAGATGGCCAGAGAAACATGTTAAACATCACCACAAGAATGCAGTTGGCCAGTTCTAAAACGTGGTAAATTCTGCAGGCAAAATGACCTGGTTTATTCAGAAAATGAACGATGGAGGGGAAGCCCAACCCAAGGAGGGGGAAGTCACCTCAATCTAGAATGTGATCAATTCTGTAAGCTCAATGACTCAATTTATTGGGAGAGGAAATGTAGAGACATACCAACCAGATGCAAAGTGTAGACCTTGTTTTGATCCTGGTTAGAATAAGACAACTATTAGAAAACATTTTTCAGACAATTGTAGATATTTGAACAAAAGCTTGGTATTACATGATATTATGGAATGGTTAAGTTTTGTCAGGTGTGATAATGGTATTGTGGTTGTGACTCATTTAAGTCCTTATCTGCTATAAGTATATAGTAAAGTATTTACAGTGAAATTACACAGTGGAGGGGTAGGAAAGGAAGTGGAAGTGGAAACAAAGATGGAAAAACTGAAATAGCTCAGGCTGAGTGACGCCACATGGGTGTTCGTTATACTTTTCTTTCTACTTTTTTGTGTTTGAAAATTTCTGTAATAAATAATTTAAAAATTATTGAAGTAATTACTTGACTAAATTGCTACAGTGGCAAAAATACAGAGCAACAGTAATGGTTTTCACATATTTTGAAACTGTCCTTTTAATTTCAGTATGAAAATTAGGTTGTTTTCTAGCAATAAACTTCAATTTACAAGTCACTGCTTGTTCCTTACATATATAAAAGTTGTTAATATAACCTTGCTATATGAAATTACAATTAAAATAAAATAAAAATTATTCAAATAAGGTTTCATACTACAAAGAAAGAGAAAGACAGATTTATCATTTCACTCCCATACATTGTAAAGCACTTTCTTCTAACAGATATATGTTTATATTCCTGCACATGCACAGGCCTGTGTACGAAGAGATGGTAAAAGCCAGATGCATCCTTGAGTTTAAGCTAATTCAGCTTTTTCGTTTTACAGATGAGGAAATGAAGTCTCAACATTCACATTTGCATATTAGCATTCCCAAGTAAGCACCAGCCAGTCCTCAGCAATGTGGCATTTTTTTTTTCTTATCCCTAGAGTCCTTATAGGAAAGAATTTAACACATGAAATCATCAATTCCAAAGTTCCTCAGAAAGTATTAAGATTTTTTCCCCTGAAATCCTTATTTTTCACCATTAAATCACTTTGAGGTACCACCATTAGACAAAGTTCAGCTTCTATATTAATTGCACTTACTGCAAATTCCAAAAATGTCCTGTATTTTACCTGTGTCTGATAATTGGCACTTACGGTATGGTACCTTCAGAGTTTTGTATGAGGCACTGGCTGTCACATACAGCTTCCATGAAACATCTATCTACTATGTGCCCAGCGCTCCAACCCAGATGCTAGAAATAGAAAAACAAACATGCAGTCTGGACTCCCGTGGTCTAAGAGGAGGTAATACAGGTAGAAACATGTAAGAGTAGTAAAAATATGATAGTATGATACGAATCTGATATTCAGCATACAGTGTAGTCACAAATAGGGAGGATGTCAGTTCTACCTTAGAGCATGAAGATCAAAGAAGGTGTCATATAGACAGGTAGCTTAAGCATCTCAATTTGTGCTTAATTTTTGAAAACAGGCCACAAAGCAGGAAAAGAATAAGGAGCCAGTTTAGTGTATTAAAATAATTCCACAGAAAATCACTGTATCTACCTAGGCTGATTCTCTTATTAAATGCTTCCCTGCCAATGGCTGAGGCCAGCTCTCAGGATGGACATGAATAGAGTAGACAAAAGCCCCTCCAATCACTAGTGAAGGCAGAATCTGAGGATTCCAGAAGGGAGGCCACTTTGGCAGTCAGGTCATGATAGTCAGAAAATAAAGCAGCAAATTTCAAAGCAAACGGATATCAGAGGAGCCATCACAAGTGGGAATCAAAGGGCAGGGAAACATGTTGCCCAGAAACCTAGGGAAAAGTGACAATTTGGATAGGCAGAAAGCTAATAGGGCCTTGGAACTAGGTAAGTGCTCTGAACAAGACTCAGTGCCCAGCACAGCAAATGATGCTCGAATGTGTCTATTAAGAAGAACCATATCCAAAGGGTGAAAAGAGAGGCTGACAAAAGTAGGCCATGGCTCCACTCCCAGAAATTTTGAACTACTTGTCAAGATGATACAGGAGCAAACAGTTCTGAGGTAGCAAGAGCCGGAGTCTCAGACACTAGACAAACTATCAGAATTGGGACACAGGATCAGAATTTCTGTGGCAACAGTGTTCTCATACAGTTTTTTAAAAATCTAACTACATGCACTGGGCCAGATTCTTTGCAGAGTGCTATATGCTCCAGACCACAGAGTGTAGACTAGAGTTCCTTCCTGTTCTCTCCACCGCATAAACCAAATACATCCTGCTAGGGGCAAGTCTGAGCTCATCAGGGAGTCAGCGTGCCCAGCTGTGGGAAGAGGACAGCTGAATAGGCTGCACCCTAAGACAGATCTGACCTCAGGTGAAAAAATGGCAGCCCCTGATTCTGACATTTACAAGAGGAAACTTTATTCACAGTCAGCAGCTAGAGGAAATGATCCTTGAAAAGGACTCATCCTAAGAGATGGCTTATGAGAATGTTTCTGATGAGAGAGGGGCAGCTGCCTAACTTCTTTTCATGAAGACCATCTAAAATTTCCATGGAAGGACTTTTCTAATACTAACCCCAATAACTTCAGGATAAATGTTTCTTTTTAACAAAATACACAAGGCCCTTCAGGCTCTGGCCTCTTCATGATCTGCCTTATTGCTCACCTACATTCCAGACATACTTAGCCACATAGAACAATACAAATACACTGTAGTCTTGGGCCTCTGTGCTCTTGCCTATGTTGCTCCCTCAGCCTGAAATGCCAGCCATTCTTTTCACTTTATTGTTTGCCTAGCATCTTCTCATTCTTGAAGATTTAATTCCAGCATTATCTCCTGATTAAGACTAAGCCTTTCCCTCTTTCCACTGCATGGTTCCCTCCCTGTCCCTACCCTATCAGATGTCTGTATCCAGTGCTACTTACAGATGCTATGGAATCCTGAACAGACCAATAACAAGAAATGAAATTGAATCATTAATAAAAGACCTACCAACAACAAAAAGCCCAGGGCCAGATGGATTTATAGTCAAATTTTCTCATCAGTGCAAAAAAAAATAGCTGATACCCATCTTACGGAAACTATTCCAACAAGTCAGAGGAGTCAGATTAGGGGCTCCCTAACTCATTCCATGAAGCCAGCATCACCATGATACCCAAATCTGGCAAGGACACAACAACAACAAAAAAGAAAGCTTCAGGCTAATATCCCTGATGAATACAGATGCAAAAATCTTCAATAAAATATTAGCAAACCAAAGCCAATAGCACATCAAAAAGATAATCCATCATGATCACATGGTTTTATTCCAGAGACAGAAGGATAGTTTAACATATACAAATCAATAAATGTGATTCACCACATAGACAGAATTAAAAACTAAAACTAGGCTGGGCGCAGTGGCTCATGCCTGTAATACCAGCACTTTGGGAGGCCAAGGCAGGCAGATCACCTGAGGCCAGGAGTTAGAGACCAGACTGGTCAACATGGCAAAACCTCATCTCTACTAAAAATACAAAAATTACCCAGGCATGGTGGCACGTGTCTATAATCCCAGCTACTCAGGAGGCTGAGGCACAACAGTTGCTTGAACCAGGAGGTGGAGGTTGCAGTGAACTGAGATCGCACCACTCTGCTCTAGCCTGGGAAATAGAGTGAGACTGTCTCGAAAAACAAACAAACAAACAAACAAACAAAAAGAACAACAACAGCAACAACAACAAAAACCCACATAATCATTTCAATAGATGTAGAAAAAACACTCGATAAAAACCAATATCCTTTCATGATAAAAATCCTCAACAAACTAGGTGTCAAAGGAACAAACCTCAAAATAACAAGAATCATGTATGACAAATTCACAGCCAATATCATAAAAAAAGGGGGAAAGTTGAAAGCATTCCCCCTAATAACCGTTGTTCCGGTTCGACAAGAGGCCTACTCTCACCACTTTTGTTCAACATAGTACTTGGAGTCCCAACCAGAGCAATCAGGCAAGAGGAAAAAAAATAAAAGGCATTCAAATTGGAAAATAGGAAGTCAAATTATCTTTGTTTACTGATGACATGTTCTTATACCTAGAAAACCCTAAAGAGTCCTCCAAAAGACTCCTATACTTGATAAGCAACTTTGGTAAAGTTTCAAAACACAAAATCAATGCACAAAATCAGTAGCATTTCTATATACCAATAACATTCTAACTGAGAACCAAATAAAGAACTCAATCTCATTTACAGTAGCCACACACACACAAAATAAAATACTTAGAAATACGTTTAACCAAGGAGGTGAAAGATCTCTACAAGGAGAAGTACAAAACACTGATTAAAGAAGCTGTAGATGACACAAATAAATGAAAAAAGATCCCATGCTCATGGATTGGAAGAATCAATATTGTTAAAAATGTCCACACTGCCCAAAGAAATCTACAGATTCAACGTAATTCCTATAAAATATCAACGTCATTTTTCACAGAATTAGAAAAAAGAATTCTAAAATCATAAGGAACCAAAAAAAAGTCACAATAGCCAAAACAATCCAGAACAACAACAAAAAAAGCTGGAGGTACCACATGACCTGACTTCAAACTATACTACAAGGCTACAGTAACCAAAACAGCATGGTACTGCTACAAAAACATAGACACATAGATCAGTGGAAAAGAATAGAGCACCCAGAATTGAAGCCACATGTCTACAACCAACTGATATTTGACAAAGTTGACAAAAATAAGCAATGGGGAAAGGACACCCTACTCAATAAATGGCGCTGGGAAAATTGGCTAGGCATATGTAGAAGAATAAACTAAATCCCTACCTCTCACCATCTACAAAAATTAACTCAAGATGGATTAAAGACTCAAATGTAAGACCTGAAACTATGAAAATCTTAGAAGAAAACCCAGAAAAAACTCTTCTGGACATTGGCCTAACCAAAGAATTTATGATTAAGACTTCGAAAGCAAATGCAACAAAACAAAAATAGACAAATCATATTTAATTGAAATAAATGGCTTCTACATAGCAAAAGAAACAATCAAGAGAGTAAACAGACAATGTACAGAATGGGAGGAAATATTTGCAAACTATGTATCTAACAAAGAACCAATATCCAGAATCTACAAGGAACTCAAACAAATCAACAACTACAAAACAGTAGACAAAAGACATCAACAGACATTTCTCAAACGAAGACATACAAGAGGCCAACAAGCATAAGAAAAAATGGTCAGCATCACGAGTCATCAGAGAAATGCCAATTAAAACCACAATGAGATACCATCTCACACCAGTCAGAATGACTATTACTAAAAAGTAAAAAAATAACAGATGTTGGCAAGGATGCAGAGAAAAAGGAATGCTTATACACTGTTGGTGTGTATGTAAATTAGTATAACCCCTGTGGATAACAGTATGAAGACCTCTCAACGAACTAAAAATAGAACTACCATTTGTCCCAGCAATCCCACTACTGGGTATCTACCCAAAGGAAAAGAAAATGTTATATTAAGAACACACCCACACTTATGTGTTTCTTATCATGCTATTCACAACAGTGAAGTAATGAAATCAACCTAAGTGTCCATCAATGGATGATTAAAGACAATGTGGTGTGTATATATATATATATACACACACACACACACACACACACACACACACACACACACACACACACACACACACCATGGACTACTATTCAGCTATAAAAAACAATGAAATCATGACTTTTGCAGCAACATGGATGGAGCTTGAGACCATTGTCCTAAGTGAACTAACTCAAAACGAGAAAATCAATACTGCATGTTCTCACTCATAAGTGAGAGCTAAAGAATGGGTATACATGGACACATGGAGGGAAATAATAGACACTGGGGACTCCAAAAGAAAGGAGGGTGGGAGGGGCATGAGGGTTGAAAAATTACCTATTAGAAACAACGTTCACCATTCGGGAGATGGGTACACTAGGCACCCAAACCTCACCATTGCACAACATATCCATGTAATAAATCTGCACAAAGACCATTGAACCTATAAAAATAAAATTAAAAGATGCTACTATTATATTCTACATTTCCTTCCATCGCACTGTTACTTTTCCTAGAATTTTAACAAACTTCATTGAGTTGTTTATCCATTTATCTGTTGATGAACATTTGGGTTTCTGCCAGTTTTTGGCTATTACAAATAAAGCTGCTATGAGCATTGTATACAGGTCATAGAATGGACAAATATTTTCATTTTTCTTGGGTAATTGTCTAGGAGTGGGATGGCCATGTTATATAATGGGCATATGCTTAGCTTTTTCCAAAATTTCCAAATTGTTTTCCAAAGTGGTTGTACTATTTTACATTCCCACCAGTAGCATATGAGTGTTCAAGTTCCTCTACATCCTTGCCAACACTTGGTACACTTGATCTTTTTAATTGTAGCAGGTAAAGCTCTGTGGTTTAACCTGCATCTTTTCACAAAATTATTTGCCATTCATATGTCAAATACATCAGTTCAAAGTCTTTTGACCATTTTTAAAGTTGTATTGTTTGTTTTATTACTGGGTTTCGAGATTCCTTTATATATTATGAATATAAGTCCTATAGGAAATACATGGATTGCAAATATTTTCTTCCTGTCTGTGACTTGTCTTTTCATTGTAAAAACAGTATCATTGGAGGAGCAAAATTTTAAATTTTGATGAGTTCTTTTATTTTTCTTTAATGGATTGTGATTTTGGTGTTGTATCTAAGAAATCTTTGCATAATACAAAGTAAAAAGATTTCCACCATTTTTTTTCTGAAAGTTTTCATAACTGTAGATGTACATTTAAGTCTAGGATTCACTTTCAGTTAATTTTTGTAAATGGTGAGAGGTATGGATTGGAGTTCACGTTTGAAAATATAAATACCCCATTGTTGCAGTACTGTTTGTTGAAACGATAACCTTTCTCCATCTATGTGTCTTTGCACCTTTGTTAAAAACCAGTTGTCCATAAATGTGTCAGTCTATTTCTAGACTCTATAATCTCTTCCATTGATCTCCTGATCTATCTTTATGCCAAAATGACACTGGCCTGATTATTATACCTTTCTGATAAATCTTGCAATCATGTGGTTTTAGCCTTCTAGCTTTTTTCTTGTTTTTTCAAAATTGCTTTAGTTATTTCGCATCTCCACTTAAATTTTAAAATAAGATTGTCAATTTCTTAAAGACCTTGCTGAGATTTTGATTGGGATTTCACTGACTCTATAGATAAATCTGGGGGGAAACTGATTTCCAATTAAGTAGCTCTTCAATTTTGTTTCACTAGTGTTTAGTGGTCCAGTGTACAGGTAGCTCACATTTTTTGTCAGATTTATACTTAAGCATTCCATTTTTCTGATGCTATAATAAATTGTATGTTTAAAAATTTCAATATCTGCTAATTATTAGCATATTAAAATACAATCGATTTTTGTATCTGGATCTTGTTTTCTACAACATTGCTAAACTCATTATTTCTAGTAGTTTTTTGGAGATTTCATCAGATTTTCTACAAAGAACATTATACCATCTGTGAATAAAAGATAGTTTTACTTCTTTCTTGTTTGATATCTTTCATTTCCTTTTCTTGCCTGACTACACTAGCTAGACCTTCCAGTGTAAGCTTGTCTTGTTCCTGATCTCAGGGGAGAAGTATTTCATGATTAAATATGCTGCTGGCTCTAGGTTTTTCATGGGTGCCTTTTATCAGATTAAGTTCCCTTCTACTTCTAGTTTGCAGGAATGAAAGTTAGATTTTGTAAGATGCTTTTTCTACATCTATGAGATGACCACCTAGTTTTTCCCTTTTGATTTGTTTAATATGGTTTGTTAATATAGTACCAGAATGGTGAATTACATTGTATTATTTTCTAATGTTAAACCAAACCTGATTTTTGGGGAATAAGTCCCACTGGGTCATAATATATTATCATTTTCATACATAGCTGGATTTGATTTGTTATAATTTTGTGTGGAATTTTTGCATCTATGCTCATGTAGGATATTGGTCTTCTATTAAATGTCTTTATATGCTTTTGGTATCAAGGTAATAGTATCAGGATAATTCTCATTTCAAAAAATGATTTGGGAACTTTGCTCTTCTCACACTGTGAAGTAGGTCTAATTGTCTTCTCTTAAAAATCAGGAAACTGAGGATCAAAGTGGGTAGATAACTTGGCTCAAGGCCATAGAGCATTCATGGGCTGATGCCTGAAATTAGGTAAGGACCCCAAATTCTAGCTGCCCTGGCAAAGGGGATATGGATGCCACAAGATACCTCCAGAATGAATATTATATGTGTATGTGTGTGTGTATAAATACTTATTAAATAATTAAAATAAGCCAAACTATTTTAGTAGGTGGCTAAAGTTACGACCTTTAGTGATTTAACAAGGGTATAAGCACAGAAACACTTTATCAAATTAAGTACGATTGCAACACACAATTCCACTTACACCCACAAATGTTCATCATGTATTACTCACAGGAAGCCTCGGAATCTGCTGAGGTCATTGTTTGGGCTTTCACATTCTATCCTACTGGAAAACTTCTCAGGATCAACTTCAGAGTCCTAAAAATATTTTTTGAATCACAAAATAAGAATTCAAGGTTAAACCCTTAATATTGAAGTGTTTTATCACTTTCATCAATTCTTAAAATAATGCTAAGCCTTTTTGCAATGAAGTTCATATCATGAATTTCCCAAAGGAAGGAAAGTAGAGGCATAATCATGTGATCCATATTTGGGATCAGAATGGTCCTAGGGCATTATTAAACATCTGCAGGTGATGGGAATGACTGAGTCATTTACCGAAATCCACACAGGACTCCCCAGAAGAGAGCTTATACTTATAAACACCTTTTTATCAATAAAGCACTGAAAAACTGAAAATACTTTTGTTGTTGGTCTTTAATCACATAAGTGGTTTTTGAGATTAAATGTATATGTGAACACTCCGAGAATATATGCATTTGATCTCAGCCAAATTTTATAAATAAAACATTTAAAAATAAACTAGACATCAATATCTATAATATTTTCTAATGGATCAGACAGATAATTTCAGAATTCTTTATGAAAACAATGAACAAATAAGCAAAGTGCCTTTGTAGGACATAGCTCCTTTAAGGTATGGATTCCCCTGAAACAAGCCACATCAACCTTATTTCATTACTTTTATTTTCATATCCATTTGACCAGTAAGATAAATGCTATTGATATTGATATATCATAATTAATAAGTATATAATAGGAAACATGAAAATGTGAATTATATGATATGATTTATTTTCTAATGAGCAATATCCATGGAGTTCTTTCGACGCACTAAAATCTATTATGCACTTTAAATATATTAGCTAATTTCTTCTTCACAACTCCATGAGGTAGGTACTAAAATAATTGGGTCTAATTAACAGATGAGGAAAGAGACACAAAGAGGATCAGTAATTTGCCAAAGTTCTCAAAACAAGAAAGTGTTTAGAGCAGGATTACAATCGAGGTCACCAGATTCACCCTTAATGAATGCACAGTGTGCTGATTAGTATTAGACTGGTGCAAAAGTAGTCATGCTTTTTGCCATTACTTTTAATGCAAATATTAATTGCTGATTAATACTCATAGTGGGTGTGTAGTGGTACAACAGAACGTTAAGTAGTGCAGGATTTTTACCAATGTCTTTGGTACCAGACTACTTACAGAAGTGACAATGACAGTAGTCTAGGAGGCATATCAATCACAGAGGATCTAAATGAAATCCATAGGTAGAGAGGTGGGCCCAATATGACAAGATGAAATTTACCAAAGATAAAGGTATTAGTAGGCTAAACCACTTTTTTTGGTTTCTAAGTGTAAGACGGAGTAACCCTGACTTAACAGTAGTTTGGGTTAAAAAAAAAATAGACCGAGCGCAGTGGCTCACTCTTGTAATCCCAGCACTTTGGGAGGCCGAGGCACATGGATCACGAGGTGAGGAGATCAAGACCATCCTGGCTAACACGGTCAAACCGTGTCTCTACTAAAAATACAAAAAATTAGCCGGGCATGGTGGCACGTGCCTGTAGTCTCAGCTACTCAGGAGGCTGAGGCAGGAGTATCATTTGAACACAGGAGGCGGTGGTTGCAGTGAGCAGAGATTGCGCCACTGCACTCCAGCCTGGGCTATAGAGCGAGACTCTGTCTCAAAACAACAACAACAACAAAAATCATTAAATTGTAAAATACTTCATCTCAAATGCTTCCAGAGAAAGGGGAGGGAAACTATTTAGACACTATATATGCTGTTTTCATACATAGTGAAATTCAAATAATACATATGAAAACATATGTACTATTTCATTTGAATCCTACAACAATGCTATAGAGTAGATACCATCATTTTCATTTTAAGATAATAAAACTGAGGCATAAAGTGTTTAAATGACTTGTCCAAAGTCTCACAGTAAATTAATAGCAGAGTTGTGATTCATTTAAACCTATGTCAATATAACTTCAAGGTTTCTGTTTCCGTCTGCACAATACTGAGAAGCGTCTAAAAGCTATGTAGCATGAAAAGCTGCTAAAGTTTTAAGCTTTGGTATATAAGTAATTACAGATTTTAGAAATAATGATAACTAAAAATAAGATACAAAGTCTAAGTTTAAGAAAAATAATTCTGTTAGGTTCCTTTAATTCCATTCTCAAAAATATGAGTGCTACACTAAAGTGTGTAAATTCTGAAGTCATTTTATCCTCTTATCTAGAAAAGAGTATACTTCCACTCATATCTGGAAGTGAATGAAACCTTCTGGGATTCTATTTCATCCTGGTGAAAATGAATTAAAAATCTCTTTATCTGTAATGTGAAAATGAGCTCAGTCATCTTCTGAAAAAAAATGTTAATAAGCCACTAACTGAGAACATATGACTTACCTGTTCTGCATATCCCCGAACCACCTGCCTCTGTTTTAAATTGCTCTCTCCATCAAGACCAGAAGTCTCAATGTGACAGATTCCATCTGGATCAGTGGAAAAGAGTAGTACCATGTCTGCAGGGATGACCTCGTTGCAGGAGAGGCGAATAAAGTCCCCAACAGTAACGTCTTTCCAGCATCGGTCAATGTATTTTTTCTCTTTCCTGTAATTAAAAAAAAGTTAAAAAAAAAAAAGAATATCAAGTGAAAAATACATACAATGTTTTTTTTAAAAAATTTTTTAGCGTATAATTTAAAGTATATATTAAGTATTAGGGTAAATTTTAATCTATTAAATGCTCAAAGGGGCCAGGCAAGTTGGCTCACGCCTGTAATCCCAGAACTTTGGGAGGCCGAGATGGGTGGATCGCCTGAGGTCAGGAGTTCCAGACCAGCCTGGCCAACATGGTGAAACCCTGTCTCTACTAAAATACAAAAATCAGCTGGGCATGGTGGCACGCACTTGCAATCCCAGCTACTTGGGAGGCTGAGACGGGAGAATCGCTTGAACCCAGGAGGTGGAGGCTCCAGTGAGCCTAGATCACACCACTGCACTCCAGCTTGGGCGACAGAGCTGTCTCAAACAAACAAAAACAAACAAACAAAATGCTAAAAGGGAAGCCGCAGAATTGGCAACCCCTAAATTCCACAAATGCTTCACCTGAAAATTTAGTTACTGAGCCACTGAAACATATTTCTCAGCTCTTTCTTCCTGTGGGATTTTGAACCATTATGCTGTTTGAGTCTAACTCTGGAATAAAATTACAATCAACATTTGATGGGCTCATTCAGATACAAAGTAATTCCTTCATGCTGCTCTGTGGTCAGATACCAAGGATCTGAAGATGCATAAGACACATCATCTGCTCACAGCACTTCCCATCAGGCAGATAGGATGGGTTACCATTATGCTCCACGATACATTTTCGTTAGGGTAGAATGAGGACGTTTGTATAGTAGAATGTCATTTTCCCTAGGGTAAAATGAGGACATTTGTATAGTAGAATGTCATGTGTCATGTTAGCTAGTTAGGTGGCATTTCACATATGATGCCACCAACAAAAGTTAACAAGGTCTGTCTTATTCCTTCATTGTCTCCCAAATATCCATAAAAAACTAATATTTGTGACAAATATAACAAAATACACTTATTTTATTTCATCAGATTAAATAGCAATCACACCTTACACAAATACTTTAACAAATTCTGCCATACAGAATTATATCAGCTCTTTCAAGAAATATTTAGCTTAAAAGGCTACCTAAGAAGTACATTTTCAGGACATACCAAATGCACAAGGTTGAAACCAACAAAGGAAATCTTTGATTATCTGAAGGGTTTATTGGTCCATGGAGAAAGGCAAATCAACAGTTTATTTTGTCTTTTCCAAACTTTTCCCTAGTGTCTGTGCATATCAGTTCATTCTTCCATAGAGGCAGGTAACAGAGCAAAGATAAAAAAGGTAGGCAGGGGTATTATTTTGACAGTTCGGTCCTCCATGCCATATCTAGGAGTAGGAATTTCATTCCATAGGAAATGGAGAGTAACTAAAGGTCCAGACAAAGAAGGATGTGACCATACTTCTGTTTGCCAACTCCTGAGACAGAGTAATGAATGGATTTTTGGATGGCAGTTTATTTAGGAGTATGGCCAAAAGACCAACGGTAAGTTATTGAAATAATTCAGGGGAGGAATGAAGATGGTCAGAATTAAGGCAGTAGCGACACAGATACATAAAAGATGAAATCAAGACATATTAGGTACCGGAAACAAGTTTTTGGACTTACTACAGGTAAAGGAATTATCCAGGGTGACACTATGGTTCCTAACGTGTACTATGAGGTGATGGATGGTGCTGTCACAGGTCTCAGATTTTAGAAGCAACTGGTTGTATCACAGGTGAGATAACTTCAGTTTGAAAAGCTTTTATTTGAAGTATCTGCCCAGCAGTTTGAGGGTCCTGATCTGGAGATCATGAGTAAAGATTTGGAAGTCCTAGGTACATAGATGGCAGTTGATTCCAGGTAAGGATAAGGTTTCTCAGGGAGTCTTCAAAGTGATAGTAAGGTGAAAGAAGACCCGAGATAAGTGGTGTCTCAGAAATCAAGGAAGAAGGAAATTTATAAGAGGGAGTCACAATAGTTGAAAGCCACAGAGGAGTCCTGTATAATAAAGACCCAGCTGCCTACAGTATTTGGCTGTTAGGTCTGGTGGCCTTGGAGAAAGTTGATAACGTGAAATTGTTGATTGGAAGAGTGAAGAAGAAAGTGTAATCTCTGTGAATCAGGGAGTAATTAGAAGTTACAGAGGCCGGGCACGGTGGCTCATGCCAGTAATCCCAGCACTTTGGGAGGCCGAGGGGGGCGGATCACAGGGTCAGAAGATTGAGACCATTCTGACCAATATGGTGAAACCCTGTCTCTACTAAAATACAAAAAATTAGCCGGGTATGATGGTGCATGCCTGTAATACCAGCTACTCGGGAGGCTGAGGCAGGGGAATCGCTTGAACCCGGGAGGTGGAGGTTGCAGTGAGCCAAGGTTGCGCCACTGCACTCCAACCTGTTTTTGAGACAGAGCAAGACTCTGTCTCAAAAAACAAAACAAAACAAAAAAGAAGTTACCGAAGTAGAATATTTCCTGAAGGTTACCTATGAAAAGAATAAGGGGTGAAGGTAGCCACTGCCAGGGAAGGTAAGTCAAAGGACAGTAAAGACGAGCGAACTGGGCATGCACATAGGATGCAGGGGAGAAGCCAATGCAGAAGGCAAGGTGGAAGAAAAAGGAGGGAGAGGAGATGCTGGTTGAAGCTAGAGAGAAGCAACAGGAATGAGATGAAAAATACAGATGGAAGGATTACTGTTACAAGAAAGGGAATTCCCTCTTCATCTAAGGTCAGAAGAAAGTAGGTAAAGACAGATGGTATAATTTGAGGTACATAATTCATGCTTACTGCTCTCTACTTTCTATCTGAAGAAAGCCAGGAGGAAATTTGCTGAGAACTCGTGAAGGCCCAAAGAGAGACAGATTTTGACATTTGGGTTAGGAATTTCATATTCTTGCAAATATAAGAAGTAACATTGCTCTAAGGAACAAGTTTCTTTCTCTATATTAGAAGAAAACTCAAATGAAGTCACTTTCACATTCAAATTCACTTCATTTTTCCCCATTTGTAGCATGTACCAAGATTTAAACAAAACAAAACACTAGCTAATTTTCCCAATCACTGGCTAGCTCAGGTCTAGAAACATATACCGATATTAATATCCCAGTTACCATGTTAGGTGCATAGTACAAAATACACAAAAATGATTAAGATAGGGTCCCCACTCTAGAGAGGTTATGGTCAAAATTTGAAACAGAGACACAAACAGCAATTTCCTAAAAGGGAGCTGTCTACAGGCTACTATGGGGGCAAACAGGAAGGGCACTGGGCCTTGGAGGAAGTGATACCCGAACTGAGTCTTAAAGGGTGTTCAAGAATGAATCAGGCAAAGAAAGGTGAGACAGCACATCAGTCCCAGTGGAGGAATAAAGAAGGCTTCAGAGAGCACGGTGGGAAAGCAACCACAGGTTAAACCACAATGCTCACAGCCACATTTAACTAGCCTGGAACATTTACAGTGTTGGGAGATGGAAACATAAGGCTACATTTCCTTTCCTGATATATAATTAAAACTAGTAAGAGGACTTTCTTCTTTCCCCAGAGCCTAAATGCACAACTAGAACTTGTTGCATCTCCTTGGTGGTTTGTGCTTGTGTGTGACTCTCAATGACCAGGACACAGCATCCACAATCCCTCCTTTAGGAAAGCTTCTAGGCCCATTTTGTTTCTTATAAGTTCAGTAGCAAACAGCTCTGCTACACAAGCATTGGGAAAAGTTGGAACTAATACACACTGAACGATTAACAGTGATTCCACTAGGATGGGAGCTGGTAAGGGACAAAAGGGAGAAGTAAGAATGAAGGGTGGGGAATGTGGATGCCTACTTCACTTTATCTTTAAAGAGAGAAAGGGTAGGATTATGAATTAATTATTCTTTTTGGTATTTTTAGTATGTTTCCAATAAAACACTGAATTATTTATAATAAGCAAATAATGAATTATCATTGGGCACAAAATCAGCTAAGATTTATTAGATGCTTTACATATATCAACTTATTTAATTTTTGAATCAATGTTGTGGTTGGTATCATGAAAACAGGACAGCCCCACTTTTACAAATTAGAAAAAATTGGCCTTGACAAGTTAAGTAACTTGTTCAATGTTACACAGCTCTTAAGTGGCCCTGTAAATTGAAACAAGGCAGGTATATCCAGAGTCTACCCTCTCAAATACTAGAGTTTACTACCAGCTACAGTCACTTCTGATAACCACCAAATAAAATGTGGTTTAATTGTGTATTTTCAAGAAAATTTGAAGAATCTAAAATTTTTGTTTCGTAAAGTGTGTTACTAAGGTTAATTATCTTAGATGGCTACTGAAGTTCTCATTTTACAAATCATGAAATTCTATGGATTTATAAGATAATCCTAAAATGTTAACTAATATTTTGAAACTTCTAACATCAACAACATGGTGATTTTTAAAGGTCAGAAAATAATGTACATTCCTTGATGGCAGACATTGTATCTATTTTTAGTTTAAATCCTCTAAGTCTCTCAGTGCTTACCACATAGCAGGCACTCAGATTTGTTGAATGATTAATAGTCTTATTTTCAAGACAGTTTCATTATGTTAAAACAGATTTTAAAACCTTATAAGTGGCCCCTATTTTAAGGGAAATCTTAAGAAAGTCAGGTTTTCTATAATAGCTTATTCTAACTTAATTGGGGGTATAATAGAGTTTAAATGATTAATTTCTAGACTAGTGTTTGTTATTCCAAATGATACTTTTCTATAGAAAATTAAGCGCCTTGTGAAACACCACCTACTACAAAAAAGAACCAAATTATCTGCTTAGAAATGTTAATATGCTTCTTCCAAAAACTTGCTAAATAGCCCCCATAATTTCACCCTAAATTTGTGGAGAAATAATTTGTAAGTTGATTTCTTTGTATTTCATATACATTTACATTAGCATATTTAAATCAACAAGGCATGGTTTTATATCCCATCTTTATTTCTTTATAACCTTATAATAATTGTTCCAGAAATGATCTGGGGGAAAAACATAAGCACTATTTCTTCTACAATACCAAACAAAAGCAAATTATATTATACACAGATAAAAACACATAAAATTACCTGAGCCTATTAAGAAACACAAACATAAAGGAACATCTTAGAATGGATATTAAATAACTGACTATAATACTGCATTTCATCTTTAAGTTTATATGAAAATCAATCTGGACTATGTCTAAAAGGACACCTGAGAAAAAAGTTATACCAGGTCTTCCACTGGGTAATTTTAATATTTTAAAAATTGTGCAGTGTTTTCAGGAGTTCTCAAATGTTAATGAAATGACTCGATGTGACAAACATAAACTCTAGCAAATAGTCATTATTAACCTATAATAATAATCATAACGGCTTTTACCTAGCACTTGGAAAAGACTAGGTGCTATGAAGTAAGTTTTATTATTACATTCATAATACAGGAAACTGGGTGTTTAGCTGCTTTTTGTAAATTGCCCAAGGTTGCACAGCTAACTGAGAGAATCAGATTAAATGTTGTAGAACAACCTAGAAAAGCAAATAAACACACACTATCAACTCCAAATTGCAATTAAGATCTGTAATTATTTCATTCATTTGAGACAGGGTCTCTCTCTTTTGCCCGGATTGGAGTGTAGTGGCCAAATGTTGGCTCACTGCAACCTCCACCTCCCGGGCTCAGGCGATCCTCCCACCTCAGCCTCCCAATATCTGGGACTACACGCACACCCCACCATGCCTGGCTAATTTTTTGTTGTTTTTTGGTAGAGACAGGATTTTGCCATGTTGCCCAGGCTGGTCTCAAACTCCTGAACTCATGCAATCCAGCCACCTCAGCCTCCCAAAGTGGTGGGATTACACGTGTGAGCCACTGCACCTGGCCTGAAATTATTTATATATTTGCATTTGTATTCAAAAATATATATAATAAGCATTCTTTCCATTTGCTAAATTTGACATTCACTGGGTAATCTTAAAACTGGCCAAATTCTGGACTTTGTTCATCACATAATCATTGTAAAGTATTGTTTCTTATAGCTATTTTTTGAGGCTAGAGACTGTACCGATATTTTAGTTCTCTATCTCTGGTATATAATAAGCATTCAAATGTTACTAAATTATTAATAGAACTGTTTTAGTCAAATGCTCTATGCCTTTAAATGAAAACCAATGACTTATACCATTATTTCATTTTAAAATACAACACATGTGTTTTTCTGGTTTCGTTTAGACTGGACATGAGTATAAGAGAAAAAACAGAACTAATTTCTCATTATCCAAGAAATCTCAAATCATCTTACAAAAGATAAATAAAGTTCTTTTCCTTGTTTTCTTGATAGATCATAAAAACAAACATTGTGAAAGTCACTGAAGAATTCTAATAATGAACAAAATACGAATTCTGCAGCTTTCAGATTAAATATCACTTCTTCAGAGAAGCCTTTCCTAACATTTTCCTCTTTGGATCACATAAGATTGAAGACAAGTTATATTTGTCTATACGGTTTACTAAGTATTAACTTACATCTAAGAATAAAAACCCAGGAGCTGCAAATAATATACACTACAGTTTAAGACTCACCTTCACTGAGTTTATTCTTGGCTACATAGACTCTCTATTTCATAAATACTGAAAATACAAGTCTCCAACACAGCAAATATGCCCCTAAAAAGACCTCCTCCTATGAATGCTCTCTGTTGTTGCTGTGATGGGATGCTCTAGTTTTGTGCACACCAAAAAAGAATATTCTCCTCCTTTTTTTTTTTTTTTGAGATAGAGTCTCACTCTGTCGCCCAGGATGGAATGCAGTGGCTGGAGTGCAGTGGTGCGATCTCGGCTCACTGCAACCTCCCCCTCCTGGGTTCAAGCGATTCTCCTGCCTCAGCCTCCTGAGTAGCTGGGATTACAGGCACCTGCCACCACGTCCGGCTAATTTTTGTATTTTTAGTAGAGACAGGGTTTCATCATGTTGGTCAGGCTGGTCTTGAACTCCTGACCTCAGGCGATCCACCCGCCTCAGCCTCTCAAAGTACTGGGATTACAGGCGTGAGCCACCACGCCCGGCCCTGAAGTTTAATTCTTTTAATTCCACTTATACATGAGTTACAGAAGCTTTTGCTTTGTCGGCTCCTGGGTTGACAATGGCTTATACGTTTTTGTTTTCCTCTGACACTTGAATTAAATTCACCATAGGACTTTACGAAATATTAGTTGAAAACAATAGCAACAACACCAACACCACCACAAAAGGGTCCTGGTCACACCTAAGGAGAAAAAAGTAACATTCTGCATATTTCTCAATGATACATACATAGTCCTTAGCAAAGGTCCCATTACACTTACCTACTATAAACTTTAGTTATTAAATTATTGATCTGTTTGTCAATTTTGTATTTCCGATAATCTTCCAGGCCATCTTTAATTGCGATAATTGTAAGGACCACCACCAGAGGCAACATGGTGATTTCCTTTTGGAAGGCTTCTACCAAAGGTACCCAGTTCAGGACAACTAGGAACAGGAAATATAAATTGGCAGCTCTGCAACCCAAACACACAAAGGGAGGTGTTAAGAAGTTACTTCAAGGACTGATGTCAGAGGCAAAGTACTATATTGTTTTTCTGTAAGTTTCTATTAGTAGATTTTGTATGTTACAGAATATAGAACTAGCAGAATACAATGAATCTTAATGAACTATTTATTACCCTGCTAGACATCTGGCTTGTGTCATTCTTTAATAAATGTGAGATATCAGGGCTGGGTGTGGTGGCTCACGGCTATAATCTTAGCACTTTGGGAGGCCGAGGCGGGCAGATCACTTGAGGTCAGGAGTTCGAGACTAGCCTGGGCAACACGGTAAAACCCCGTCTCTACTAAAAATACAAAAATTAGCTGGGTGTAGTGGCCTACGCTTGTGGTCCCAGCTACTCAGGAGGCTGAGGCACGAGAATCACTTGAACCCAGAAGTCGGAGGCTGCAGTGAGCCGGGATCACACTACTGCACTCCAGCCTGGGTAGAGTAATCAATCAATAAATAAATAATGTGAGATATTATTTATTAAATATAAAATAGTAAATATTTGAGTGGGACGGTCTTGAGCACAATAAAAAAATAGAAAAAAGCACAAGAGAAAATACTATTTTCTTTTTAAAAGTTCATAAAAATTTAGAAGAAATTCAGAGTTCATGTGGTATAAAAATTAATTAACAAAATAAAGATCAACCCTCTAGCCTTTTGTACATCCAAACATTAGATTTAAACAAGCCTCAAAATTGAGTAGAAAAGCCTATTTCTTTTCTCTTGTGACTAACTCTTCTATTTCTTCTTTTATGCTATTCAGAACCACCTTCTTCAGGAACTTCTTCCATTCTTCTACTTTATATATTCAAATACTTCTCCATGGGTCCCTAATTTTGGGCCATATGGTAAGTTCAAGACACCCTTTTCCTTAAAGGAGAAACAAAATCTTAATCCTGCCATTACATTTTGATAACATATTTTTCCATTGACCATGAAACTTCTCAAAAGAATAATCTATATATACTTCTTTTTTGTCACCTCCAAATCTTTTTACTCTGAAAATTTCTTTCTTAACCCTTTCTGCTACTCTGTGGCTTCAATTCTTTCCAGGTGGACCACATCTAAACCTATAGCTCTAACCTTGAACTCTGTTTCAGGTTTTTATTCCATTGGGTACACTAGATTCCAAACTCCATAAAAGAATGAAACACACATAGGGCTACATAGCCATTAATTCAACAAATTCAAATCTGTCCTTTAAACATAGCCACTATTTAATAAATGCATATGGAACATATATAGAATGAATGATGAGAATGAATGTATGTGGAATGACTAAAGAATATGGAGAATCTCTTTACTTGCATTGGCGTCTTGAATACATTTACAAAAACAAAATACTCTTCCAGCCAAGGTTCTTTTTACTCTTGTTTTTCATTTTTCTGTTAGTACTTCTGGTCATCACAGCTCAACATGTTCACATCATCTTTTTTACTCCTTTCACTGAATGTCTTACACTAAATCCACAGTATCTGTAAGAGATCACCCTTCTTTTCATTCCCACATTGTTCCAAGGTCAGGTCTCCATTACAATTCACTGGGATATATACAATGTCTTCCTAAATGTTTTCTCTGCCATCATCTCTAAGTCTTTTCATCTACCCACCACACTGCTTCCATAGTGAAATACTGACGTAAGCATGGTAATTGTGCCTGCAGACTTGGCCCTCAACTCTTTATCCTGATAGCAAGACCTCTTTCCTGGGTCACATCTATCTTTCTGACTTTACTTCCTGTTGCTCCTCAGCACAGATGTTACATGTAAGTCAGAGAACACTATTTCCCAGGCTTCAAGCAAGCCTTTTATGCTACTGCCTTTATGCCATTATTCATACTCCTTCCTCCATCTGAAATATGCTTTGCTCACACCTCTGCTTTGAATATCTCACCCACCCTCTGTTATTAAGTCAAATGTCACTTCCCCTTCTATTGCTCCAGTTACCATTATTATTTCTCTTTTTGAGGCTTTCATTCTATTTGACAGCCCTTTATAACACTCATTGCATTCCCTATGTCTTTTTGTTTTATATATGTATATATTGTGTTTCCCTAGCACAACTGCAAACTCCACAAGGAGAGGAGTGGCACTCACACTTCCATTTCCTTCAGTGCCTAAACTCACAGGAGATTGTCCATGAATGAGATATTAAGTTGAATTAGGTCACTGTTTCACCTAAACATCTGACATCTGCACTGGCTTCAGAGCTCTATTTCCTCCTATTATCAGTAAGAAAAATTTGAAATTAAAATGCGCGTGGTTTCATGGAAAGAACACTAAAGCAAGAGTAAGAAGACCCCCAGAGGCAGCCCCTGGTCTGCTACTTGACATTGGCATGACATTGGCTAAACCACAGTCAAGTCATTTCCTAACCTATAATATGTGAATTACAATATCTTTTCTGGTAAAGAGAAAACACCTTTCCAATTGGAAAGTGCTACGTGAATGGGAGGAGTCATCATTCCACAACAGATTTGTATCAAAATTGTCAAGGATGATGTCACATGTCTTAGGTTTAAGTAATATACAGGGTTATGAAAATGAAAAATATGTTATATATCAACTAGAATGATATTCTAAGGTTTTCTTCAAAAATAAAACAGTACCTGTGAAATTGTTCAAATAAATTTCTTGGCACAAAATTCAGAAGTGTGTACTTTGTTGTTCGTATTCGATTGTTCACATAGGCTCCGGAGAACTTCTCATACTCATCCTTGAAGGGCTGGATGTGGGGAACAACAATCCGGTGCCTTCCTGACAGTTTAGGGGTCTGAGAGGACTTGCGCCCACAGGCGAGCAACGAGGAATAGTTGTATGGCCCTGAATCATCATCCCTGGTTGCACCTCTGATCAGCCGTCGCCAGTGATATCTGGCCCATTGGAGAGCCTCAGTCATATCCAAACTGTGGTAAGATCCAGGTTGTGTAGCTGACCTGGCAAACAAACAAAAACCACACTTCCATGAGCTTCTGAAACGTCTCAAAGATAGTGAAATTTTAATATTTTTTCTATACCAAATAAATATATGACCCAATGGTTCAACATGTAAGGGAGAAAGTAAAAGTAGTCTTTAGAACTCCATTTTAACCAAATAAAGCATACATCTTCTGCCTCATGGGCTAAGCATCTGATCATGTTGCTTAACAAGAGACAGCACCTAAAAGGCCATTCCATAACTTGAAGCAAACAATTTGGGCTTAATTTGTGCAAGTCTCTTAACTTCTCTGATCATCAGTTTTATCATCTTTGCAATGGGCATAATGCCAGGCATGTCAGGAAATTGTTTTGAGGACTAAATGAATAACAGGTAAGTCACATAGCATAAAGTCTGATAAATCATAGGACATCAAAAAAACCCATTCTATGTGGATTACAAAAATGCCCACAAATTCTTCCTATCTCTGCAAGCATAACTCTCTGCCAATCAAGAGGTAGAGTCTTTCTCTACCTGTGGTGTCTGGGCTTGGCCATGTGCCTTGCTTCAGCTAATGTAACACTAGTAAACAAGACAGCAAATAGAGGCTTGAAAAGTGCTTGTTCACTGGAGCTTATTCTCTCTCACTGTTCTAGGAACCACTGTAGCCCACACCACATGCCTCAGTTGCCCCATTTACCACCATAGCCTCTATAAATACATAAATAACACCACTGACTGCCAACTGACCACTAACAAGCGAGTGTGCCCAGAAGGCACAAATTAGAATAAAGATGTCTCAGCTGAGCTCAGCCCGACTTGCCCACCCATCAAATTATGAATCAATAAATGTTATGTCATTAAGTTTTGGGGTGCTTTGCTACAAAACAAAATCAAACTGATAACATATTCCCTTATTTTCCTTATTTCTAAGGTTTCCTTATTTTCCAAGAAATGCAGCCCTACCTGGAGTTTGTTAATCAAAACAAAATGTGAGTTTGTTAATCAAAACAAAAATAGGAAAGAAAGGGGTTCAAGCAATTCTCATGCCTCAGCCTCCTGAATAGCTGGGATTACAGGCAGACAATCACTTTTGATGGGAAGAACAACAGCCTCTGAGTATATGTAGTTGTGCCTGGATATTGGACCCACAATAGATAGCCCGTCTTATCATGAGAGAAAATATTCATGTCAGCCTCATCGGTTTTATACTAATAATAGGAACAAGAAAAAAAAACAGTTCTTTTGGATTTTGGCCTCTAAAATATTTATTTATAGATAACTAAATCAATGAAGATTGACTGGCCAAAATAACATTTACTATCTCTTCAATATAATTTTTTAAAAGTCTGCCTCCGAAGTATATTTGAAAAGCTGGTTTTTACTTCACCAAGCATACAAAAGTGGCTTGGTTCTTTTAACTGGCTGCTCACAATGGCAGCTTGAGTTATTAATGTAGTTCATAACATATCTAGAACTCTCCCCCAGAATAAGAACATAAGATAGTGCTTTATAAGTGAATCAATAGATAACAGAAAATACTGAACATAAATACTAAGTGCTTTTCATTAGTTTCACATAATGCACATTAGGTTACCATTATGACAAATGTGACTTTTTTTAAAAGGTTGAAATCAGCACAATTTGATTTATTTCTGGAAACTTTAAAAGGAAGCATTCACTTGCCATTAAATTCTTACTAAGACATAAGAATGTTTATCCCTCTAGTGTCCACAATCTCATACAACAATCTAAATCTCACTTCCCTTTTTAAATTCTGAAATACAATTTCTTGAGAGTCCAAACAGGACTAACTAAACAAACATGAAACAAATACAGGAGGTGTTAACTTCTGCTAATTTGTGGTGTGTCTGACTAATAACCTCACGCTAGCAAACATACTTACTGGTTCACAGAAACAATCAGCTTTTTATTCCACAACCCAGACAAGAACTACATCTTTCCCCAAGTCACTCAGTTCCTAAGAAACAAGCCCATAACGACTGCAAAACATTTCATTGCAAAAGTATTTCTAGGTCTCCTTCTCTTTAGGACTTTTCAATATCTTTAAATGTACATGAGATTCTCTATTTACTCCCACATTGCCTTTCTCCTTTATTCCTTCTTTTCATTTTCAAGGAATTTTGGTGAAGATAGAATTAGGGCTGGCTCACTGCCCTCCATGGCCCCCTTCTAGAGCCTACAAGAGTCTCTCTCCTACTCTCCAAGGCTGGGCAGCTCATCATTTTGTAAGAACTCTCTCTTCAGCACTGTCATTCTCCTGAAAAGTGACCCTTGGATCAGAGGACAGATTTAAGCTAGACAGAGAAGTGCTTTGAAATGACTGAGGAGAAAAGCCTAGGCTTGGAGGTAATTAACATATGATGAAAATCCTTTCAAATTGCTAGTTTAAAATTTAAACTCTTATACTAGGCAGGAATGACCAAGGATCTATTTAGTCATCCTAGATCAGAGGCTTTTGAAATGCGTTAACTGCTCTCCCAGTAAGAAATACATTCTATGATGCAAAGTAGAATTTACACACACACACACACACACACACACACACACACACACACCCCTGAAACAAAAGTTCTATGAAATATTTCTTACCCTTACCACCTGCAATGCATACAGGGATCTTCTTTCTTCTCTCTCTCATATTAGTACTAGTTAGGATGCATTGAATTAGTTTCAAGATCCACTAATGTTAGTGTACATGTTGGTAAAAAGATACTGATAGTGTGTGGCTTCACACAAAGCTGAAATTATACATGGAAATGGATAGATCCATGTTCCTAAATAGATCCACAACCCCAAATGCAGAAAACAGACTATTACAGAATACAAAATTTCAGCTACAAAGGAGTAATAAGTTGAAGAGATCTATTGTATATTACGATGACTATGGTTAATACAGTAACAATATGTTGTACACTTGAAAATTGTTAAGAGAGTAGACCTAAAGTGTTCTCACCACAATAAAAAGTATGTGAGGTAATACATATGTTAATTACCTTGAGCTAGCCATTCCACAATACATCCACATATCAAAACATCACATTCTTCACCATAAATACATACAATTTGTATTTGTCAATTCAAAAGTTTTTAAAACAAAATTTTCCCCTTACAACCCTTTCTCCCTCAGTCAATAATGTTATACACAGAAAGCTTTTCCTATAGAAATAGGTATTTGTTCTACAGAGAGCTAAAGATAAAATATTTATAAAGATCTTTTAAATTATTTTATTTCAGTGGATGTTTTTGTAAACGAATAAAAAGAAATAATATTTTCAATGTTTGAAAATATCAGATTTAAAAAAGAAGAAGAAAACAGAATCTTATGGTAGAAAATTACTGAAAGACAGCAGTTGGACAAGAAGGCTCAGGGGAGGGCAGCACTGTGCCCACAGTAGTCAGGAAAGAGCCTTTCACTCTTTCTCTGTCACTTCCAACAAAGTTAAAAGTATGTTAGTACTTGGAGAAGCCTCTGTTATTAATAAAGCTCCACATAAATATTGAGGAAAATTTCTTTAAGATATGATAGGAAAGCAAATCAGTAAGTCATACCTCATCAAGCGTTATCACAAATCATAATATCTTAAGGCTTAGACTTCAGAGATGATTTAACACAGTGGTCACAAACCATTAGTCCTACAGCAAAATTCTACCCAATGACTTATTTTGTATCAGAGTGTCGGCAAGCACATGGTTTTGTTTTATAAACATAAATACATGTATACACACACACATATAAAAGCAAGATTTTAAAATAGAGATAAATTCACATAAAATATTGATAATTGGTTTTTCTTAAAAGAATCAAGGGAATGGTGGGCACACATCTTCATATGGTAACAGAGGTTACTATGGACCTTGACTCCAACCCTGCATTTTGCAGTTCACCCGTTTTAAATGAAGGAATGAGCACTTTGCTCACCACTTTTTGACAAATCACATTTCTTCTACTCTGTAAGTCCAGGCTCAAATATTAGCTGTACTACTTAGTAGCTACTCAGTCTTCTAACAAATAAAATGAAACACGATTAATAGTCAAGGGACATGCTATAAATAAACAATGCTCATCCTCTTCCCCACTCTCCTGTTTAAGTGTTTCTCAAGCCACAGATAAGTCAAGGGTGGGAATCTTATACATTGGGCTTAGGTCCAAAGCTTTCAATTTAAAGTTGTCCAAGTAAATGCTCAGTTCAATGTACCTATTAATGCCTGAGAAGTAGCAGCATTAGGTAGGATACAAACAGAAAACCGAACAATCAAAAAGACAGGCATGACATAAAGTGACCTTCATACTACCTAATCTCATTCTTCACCATTCTCTCCAAAACTCATCCCAACAATGTTCATGAACGAACTGTATTCCACTTGTCCTCTGTTGCCCAAGACCCCCTGATAAGAATCACTTGGGGCCCCTGTTAGTCACAGTCTCCAAAGCCTCTCCCCTGGAGATTCTGATTTAGAGGATCTGGAATGGGGTCTATGAATATGTAATTTAGTTAGTACTCCCAATGAGTTAAGGAGGTTGCAAAGCATAGTGTACACTTTGCACCTCTCCAAATGCTGCCCTCTCTTTCTGGAGGGCTGGTTAACCATATCACCCACTCACCACACCAGCCTCTATTCATCCTTGAGACTGTTTTAGCTTGACCACGGAATGAGGGAGATTGGGAGGGATCCACACAACAGACACCATAAGGTGTTCTCTGCTCTGCTCCCATTAGAACCCTGAGCATGGCTCATATGCACTTGCCATAGTGTGTTACAGATGGCTTTATTCTTCAAAGTCGGGAACATACCTAATTCCTCTCTATGCATCTGTCCAGTGCTTGGCCAAAGTTAGATGATATATAAATGTCTGTTGATCACTGAATTTTATAGAAAAGAACATAAAGACATCCCATTTCCTTTTGCATGGCTCAATCTGGCTTTTCTGCCATTAGAAGTAGGAGTGTAAGATCTAATTTTGAGAAAACAGAAGCATTCACTTTTAGCTTGTGATTGTATCATTCACCTTTATTAAGAGCAGGAATCTGCTTCTCCAGGCCTGAAAGACTCTTTCAAGAGGGCATTATTTTCTCTTCTAGTGTATTTCTAAAACCTGTAAGCAGCATAGAGTGATAAAGAGCACAGGTTCTGGAGCCAGAGGCCAATGTCAATTTCTGGCACCCCAATTTGCCAGCTTTACTTGCTCAAAGGGTTGCTATGAGGATTCAATGAGTTAATATATAAAAAGCACTTAGCACTTGTTTGACCCATAGTAAGTCCTAAGTAAGGGTTAACTACCATTGTGACTTTTTACAAAGTGTTCTCTCTATAATATTTATTCATAAATATTAGCTGAGAATTTGTGTGCACAGTATTGATACTAACAACTGTATCAATTATTCATCTATGTTTAATTTCTTAAACTGCACCTCATACTGCACCACCTGGTCACACTCTGCTTTAGTAAGTCTGCTCTTCATTTAATGGGGGAGGCTTCTAGGCAACTAACTAACTGAGGATAGCAATATTCTCTTCTCAACTGTTACTAAGAGAAAGTCCAGCAATCTAGTAGACAAAAGCTCTAATAAAGAACATGATGGGCAGCATTTTTAGAAACATCATTCATAATTCTAAGATTTAGCTCATTCCTCAAAGAGATAATTTTTCAGAGTTTTCTGCTAATAAACCAACTGGTCTCATGTTTTTTTGACCTGATGCTCTGCCAACCATAGGAACCCTGTCTTGAGAATTAACAAAAACAAACTTTGTAAAACCACATAGACAACCAGGTGCTTGAAGTTCAATGATGATCACATAACCCAAGAAAGAATGTTTTAGATCTAGATACTCTACTATCCTCAGTAATCTGCTGTCCTTAGAGGTATTGATTTACAATCTTAAAAAATTAAGTTAAAGTTTTGGAAGGAAAATGTATTACTTTTATGTAATACTCTGGAATACTCTAGTGCTTCTGTAAAGCAGGCCTGCATGATGCTAGATATTAATTTTCCCATCCAATATTTCATTTACTCACAGATTATAAAACCTGTAATTAAAGTTCTAAAATCTACAAGCTTTCAATTTTAGGTATGAAATCAGCTAAGATCAGAATTGAAGAAACATAAATCAAGCATTGCTTGGTAAGTACTAACACTTTAATAATAATTACTGTTTACAAAATACTTCCACATGCCATTTAATTTAGTTTTCACTTGATGTGGAATTTCATTTCATTTTTCAGAGAAAAAAGTAAAGTTCAAAGAATGTTTTAAAATTTTCTCAACATGTCCAATCATTGGCTCCAACTATATAATGCGATTAATATATAAAATTTTAAATAATCAAATATTCTCATGTAAAATTACATTATTTCTAATTATAGTATTTTTTCTAGAAGATATTAAAAACTACACTCCATCACTAACAGAATGTATCTAAAAGATACTAAGTTCCTTACTATACACAAATGTGCTTGAAGGCAGATTTAGTTCTCAAAAGTCCTATTTCCCTTAATGAATGCTTAATGAAAAGTTTGCAGTAGGGCAGATTACCAAAGGTAAATACAGGATAATGAATTCTCTTGGGCTCAGTTAGCATTTTTAAATTCCTGAGGTCATCACCAGCCAACAGTTTGAAAAATACACAAGTTCACTGGTCTAAAAGAAAAAAAAATCTATAATCATTTCAAGATGCCCTATGTTTGTTTTGCATCAGAATCTCCTGAATCTCACCCCCTAGGTTTCTTTTTTTTTTCTTTTTTTCTTTTTCTTTTGGAGACGGAGTCTTGCTCTGTCGCCCATGCTGGAGTGTAGTGGTGGGGTGGCTCGATCTCAGCTCACTGCAATCTCTGCCTCCCTGGTTCAAGCGATCCTTCCACCACAGCTTCACAAGTAGCTGGGACTATAGGCATGCATCGCCATGCCCAGCTAATTTTTTTGTTGTTTCCTGTATTTTTAGTAGAGATGGGGTTTCACCATGTTGGCCAGGCAGTTCTCGAACTCTTGACCTCAGGTGATCCACCTGCCTCGGCCTCCCAAAGTGCTAGGATTATAGGTGTGAGCCACCACACTTGGCCATGAACCTCACCCTGCTAGGTTTCTGATCTAGCAGGTCTGGGATGGGGCTCAGGAGTCTGCATGTCTAACACACTTGCAGATAGTACTGATGCTGCTGGTCCTGGGGACCACACCCTGAGAATCACTACTCTATGCTAAGTAACTTTATTGCAAAATGCACAGTTGGAATTAAGACTGAGCAATTTATTAGCTATCACTCATGTTATTGGGAAGCCCATCTTCTTTGAATGTGTAACCTCAGCTATGCACTAATGGCTTGACAGCGGATACAAGAAGATCCTCATGTCTAAGGCTAGAATTAACTAAAAGAGAGAAGTCTAGTTTATACAAAAGATTGTTGATGAGGTCTTAAGGATTAATTCTTTCTGCAGATTTAATACAGTTAGAATTAGTTTCAACCAACATTTCCAAAAGTTGACCAAGAAAGAACAATGAATCCTGGCCTTGATAGACTTATAACCTTCTTCTCAACCAAGATGAGAAAACACAAACAAAACGTCAAAGTTCTTATATGTTGTAAACCATGGAAGACACAAGAGTTCTCTATCATAGTCAATAAAAGGCACAGAGAAATTTCGTATCTATGGATTTCTAAGAATAAGATAGGAATTGTTTCACAATAGACTTATGATATGAAAGTCTCCTTGACCTAGATCGAGACCATTTTGGCTAACACGGTGAAACCCCGTCTCTACTAAAAATGCAAAAAAATTAGCCAGGCGTGGTGGCGGGCGCCTGTAGTCCCAGCTACTTGGGAGGCTGAGGCAGCAGAATGGCGTGAACCCGGGAGGCGGAGCTTGCAGTGAGCCGAGATCACGCCACTGCACTCCAGCCTGGGCCACAGAGTGAGACTCCATCTCAAAAAGAAAAAAAAAAGTCTCCTTGACCTACACATCAGAGGTAGCCAGCCCTGCCTGAAGCACAGTGAGCCCTGATAAAACTTGGTCTTGCTCCAATCTGTGTCATCTGTGACCCACTTGTTCAACACTCTCTATAGAAGCTTATTACTGCAGGGAGACTGATTCCTTACCTCATAGGTCATGACAAAAGCATCAAGATGGTTTGATATCTTTGGTGGTTTCTTTGCTGCCCCAGGTGCCAATGTGACATGTTGGTATTGCTCCCTTGGTAACTACTATCCTCTATCTACAAAAAAAAGGTTTTTCTTCACCTCACATAATCTTTGGAAAAGAAGGTAAGTATGAACCGTCTATGGATATATCTAATATGGGCTTTTGTGATGACAAGGGTCAATTTATTTTGTGGGAAAACTGTGGATCTTGAATAATGAAGTTACATAATCCTTTATATTCTCCATTGGGTGGAATGAATCAGATTTGCTGAATAAAATCACCTTGGAGTTCTTAGTGCCATTCAATATTTTCTGTTAAGTGACCTTGAACTAAATCCCCAGTAGGAGTACATATTCCATATTTTAGATATATACAAAAAGTCAGGCAAGGGTAATATGTCACCCATAACATTGAATTAAAGTACTTAATTTTATTTTATTTTATTTTATTTTTTATTTATTATTTTTTTTTAGACAGGTCTTGCTCTGATGCCCAGGCTGGAGTGCAGTGGTGCAATCACTGCTCACTGCAGCCATGACTTTCTGGGCTCAAGCTATCCTCCTGCCTCAGCTTCACAAGTAGCTGGGATGACAGGCATGAGCCACCACATCTAGCTAATTTTTTATTTTCTTTTGTAGAGACAGGGTCTTTCTATACTGCCCAGGTTGGTCTCAAACTTCTGGGCTCAAGCAATCCTCCCACCTTGGCCTCCCAAAGCACTGGGATTACAGGGGAGAGCCACTGCCCTCGGCCCTATAAGAAATTACTTTTGATAACTAGTGATTATTATCATGGGAGGAAGCGCTATATAAGTTCATAAAAAGCTAAGTCATACTACTTTTCACTTTTACCACTAATAAAGAAATATTTGTAATAGTTTTGTCATTTTTAAGGACCCTAAATGGAAAAAGGTCAACTGTACTGAAGCACATAGCCCTTACATATCTTTAGAAAAGAGTGCTTAAATTAAGTTCATTCATTTTCAATTTACTCAGCAAACATGACCTGAAAACCTACCATATGCCAGACACTGTGGTTGACGTTGGGGAAACAGAAGATGCTGTTCTACATCACAGAAGCAGCCTCTCACTCAGACTGAGGGAAGGAATATCCACAGCAATAAGTGATATGTTTTATTTTATTTTATTTTTATTTATTTATTTTTTAAGATGGAGTCTCACTCTGTCACCCAGGCTGGAGTGCAGTGGTCCGGTCTCGGCTCACTGCAAACTCTGCCTCCCAGGTTCAAGTGATCCTCCTGCCTCAGCCTCCTGAGTAGCTGGGATTACAGGCATGCGCCAGCATGCCCAGCTAAGTTTTGTCTTTTTAGTAGAGATGGGTTTTCATCATGATGGCCAGGCTGGTCTCAAACTCCTGACCTCAAGTGATCTGCCTGCCTCAGCCTCCCAAAGTACTGGGATTACAGGCGTAAGCCACTGCACCTGAGTGACATGTTTTATATAATGGCTGATGGAGAGTCAAATTAGAATTTTCACATATGACATGTTTATTTTGAAAGACATATAAAAGTAGAATGTGGTATCTAGATGCATTGTTTCATACTAGAACTAGTTACCCATTCTTACTGTTTCCAAGCACGCACTCAGTAAGAATTTCTTCAGTTCTCTCGTGAGAATAAAGCTTTTATATATTTATATATAATATCACATACATATATGTATATTTAATATATATTTATATGTGTAATATTACATACATACATATATTATATACATACGTATATGTATATCGTATATAAAAGAAAAACATGTATAATTAAAAACATATAATCATATATATATTATCAAATATATATATATTTTATGGATGGTCCATTCAGACATTGAAAGCGATAATGCTTCTCTTCTTCAATACACTTCAGATTTTTTTTTTTTTATGAGACGTAGTCTCACTCTAACGCCCAGGCTGGAGTGCAGTGGCGCTATCTCGGCTCACTGCAAGCTCTGCCTCCTGGGTTCACGCCATTCTCCTGCCTCAGCCCCCGAGTAGCTGGAACTACAGGCGCCCGCCACCACGCCCAGCTAATTTCTTGCATTTTTAGTAGAGACGGGGTTTCACCGTGTTAGCCAGGATGGTCTCGATCTGACCTCGTGATCCGCCCGCCTCGGCCTCCCAAAGTGTTGGGATTACAGGCACAAACCACCGCGCCCAGTCCAGATTTCTTTTTGAAGGGATCACATGTCCAATTATTCACTGTTTATGAATAATTAGGCTCAAAGCTGGTTTAGGCTAGCAAAAGGCAGGTAAAATGTTGCAGTTGTATATGTGTTTCTCTATGTTATTGGGAACTAAAAGAAATCTTACTCATTTATGGTGAGTTCCTAATATGTCTTAATCTCTTTTTAAAGCTGAAAAAAGCATAAACATATATGAAAATATTGATGGCAGCAATACTGTGTTTTGACCTTAGTGATCCTACATGCTTCTAAAATAATACGTTATTGAAATGACAAGATAGCATTTTTTGAGATTTGGTTATTCAACATTAACAAATATTATTAATTTAATAGACCTAAGATCATAACAATATCTACCATTTATAGACATATAACAGGTTATATGCAAAGGATAAAAATGCATTCATAAACTTTAATCCTTACAATAAAGTACATATTATTATCTCCACTTAGTAATGAGGAAACAGAGTGAGAAACTCACCCAAGTGGCACAGCTTAGTAAGTAGTTACTTAAGCTTAATCCAGATATCTCATATGGAATGAGAGCCTTGGTGGCTATCAGAGGGCTCTGATACAGGGCAGTAACACTTGAATAAGAGCTGGCAGAAGGCATATAGCTCTGGCAACCCATCAAGGAATGTGAGGGTTGGGAGAGAGAATAGGAGAAGAGTGGTATTAAAAAATTAAAGTTAAGTTATTCAGAGAAAAACGCTAAAGGCATGCTTCATTTGAAAAAATAAAGTTAAATAAATTTAAATATTTGCATTTATTTACTTTTAAAACATTCATTTTGTACTAGGTGAGGTTACCCATTTTTACTGCTTACTGTGCCTTATAGAGGACTTTATATGTGTTTGAACTATAATTCAATACATGCAAATAAAATTTACTTTCAAATAAATGACTCACTTTTAACCCAACTCCAATATCACTGATCCTACCCATAAACAACCACCAACCATCTTTTCACTGCCCCATATTCTCAAGTGGTCTTATTTCCTTACTTACTTCAAATTTTATGGTTAATACTGTAATCACTTCCTTGTATATTCTCTCAACCAGTGAACTCCTCTCTCACTTCTTGGCAAAACCCTCACCCTGCTTACATTCACATGTAAAGCTCTATGTACTCTGTTCCAGTACCTACAGGTTGAAAGTGGCTGGAAAGAAATGCACAACACCTTGTCAGAGTCACTTTAACGTCCTGACCGCAAACTCTTAAGTTGGCCATTCACACTGCCTGCAATCATACTGCATTTCCACGCCATGTATTCTCCCACTCTCATACACAACTGTTTCATACCCTTTCCTTTCTCCTCTTTACATCCAATATCTCCCTCCTGACTTTCTTCCTGGTGATGACCTTGTTTCTATTTTTCTGAGAATACCAAAGCTATCCAAAGAGAACTTCCACAAGTTCCCCTAGCATAGACCTCTTTCCAAAACTCCAGACTGATGCCCAAAAGGCAGCCCATCTCCAGACAGTAACAAGTGCAAATGGAGGTCCAAGCACTCTCCCCTAAACTGCTTCTCCCCTATATTAGCCCTGTCAGCTAATGGCAGCTCCCTTCTTCTAGATGCTCAGCCCAAAAACTTTTGAGTCATCCTTGGTTTCTTTCACTTACAACTCACATCATGTCAGTCCGCAAATTCTGTTGACTCTTCCCTTAAACTATATCCAGAATCTTACCACTTCTCATCACCTTTATTACAATCAACCTGATCCACCATTATCAGTCTAGTCCTGGTATAACCTAATTTAGATCCTGACAATTTCACAACTTAAAACTCTCTAAAGGCTCCCATATAATTACAGTAGCCACCTCCAGTGCTCCATATGATCTGCCTCTTGTTATTCTCCTTTTCTGCTTTACTTTTCATAAAACCTTTATGTCACTTTCTAACAATGCATAATTTACTTTGGTATTTTAGCTTTTGTCTGTCTCCCTCCTCCATCAGCGTAGAAATTTCTGTCTTTTTGGTTCACTGATATGGCCTAGGCCTAGAAGAGTATAATATCAGGCAATGAGTAGATTTTCAATGAATATTTGTGGAATGAACCCAAGAATGAATGAGTAAAATAACACCCCTCTTATATGCAGCAAAGACTAGAATATCTTTAACAATCTTATACACACTGCCTCTAAATGTGATATAATAACAGGCATTTCATGGTATGTAGCTCACTACAGCTCTTATTATGCATGCTGAAGTTATTACAGTTCACATTAAGATCTAGAGCATGTAGTCCTAAAATGGACACTAACGAAACTCTGCAACAGGAAGACATAAAAAAGGAAATAAAACAAATAGGACTTATTTTTAGAAACAGCTGAAGTATTTAAATTTTATCGTTCTAAAACTCTCCAAGAGGAAGTTATTCTGAGTAACCTTTTTAAAGACAGTTTAAGGTTTATCCTTTAAAGTATCAAAACAATTTCATCCAGGATAGAAATCATTATACAATGTGTACCCAATTTTCCTATATTTGACACAGCATTTTAAATAAATTTTCTTCTCTGAGAATTCAGCACCAATGCTCTGAGCACAAGCGTATTCTTTATAGTGATGCCTTCAGGGTCTTCAAAGCATTTCCATAAGGTTTTCTTCCAGTACTTGAAAATCTCCTTGTTTTGAATAATTTTACAGGCTTTTTTCCCCATCAGCTGTCCAAATCTGTCTTTATGAAGATTTAAGTTTTACTTCCAACTACCTTACAATAATTAAGAAATGTAAATAAATGACCCCAGTGGTCTTCAGGAAGTAGAAGATAAAAATTCAGCAAGATTTATTTAGTGAAATCTATTTTCACTATTTAGAGATTTCTTTTCCTTATATTTGTTAGAAAATAGGTACTGAAAGGCTACCATTGCCAACCAGGTACTTTTCCAGGCATTGAAACCAACGTGATGGGAATTCCTATGTGAACTCCATGGTTTCTGTCCTCCAGAAGTACAGAGTCTAGTAAACGGATCAGGCACGAACCTCATGAGATTCCCTCATTACCTGAAATACTTCAGAGATTAATTCCCATAAGACAAACTTTGATATGTATGTGGCCAAGCTTCAGACCACAAAATGGTAAGAGCGTTAAAAGACTAACCGAGAGATAAACAGTTAAGTTTCAAAATGAAGCTAGCACACAGATACGTGCTCATTTAAAAACCAGAGCCAAAATATATATTTGAACTGGCAGAAGAACACAAATTTCCCAGTGTGTGATCTTTACTCATTCACACTAAGGAAGGCAAACTCCAGCTTCATGTGATAAGTTGTGTATGTATGTAAAACATGATAAACACACTGGATTGTGGTTCTAAACAGAATCTTTACAAGATTATTAGGAAGATAAAGGAGAATGAGCTAAAATGATTTAATACCTGTTTCTCCTACAAGGCCATCTTGTTTACTGTTTTAACCAATAACTGGACAATGCCTGGCATATAACATGCCCTCAACGAATACTTTTCAGTGAATTAACAAACATTAATCAGGTTCTTGTTGCTATACCATGCATCCCAACAAATGCTCTTCAAATGGGATGCATCTTAAGAGAATAAGGGACAATCAATGTATAATAAGTATTATTGCATGAAGAAGTAGGTAGGTTCCTTTGCTGGAGATATACTTGGTTAATTCCATCTTGACCCTTAAAATGGCCTAAAGATTTTGCTGGAGAAAGTAACTATGTTTGTCCTCATACTACTGATGACTTAAGTTGTATTAGAGCAGTGGTCCTCAAATGGGGCCAATTGTACCTCCCCTTCCAGCCCCCTAGGACATTTGCTAATATCTGGAGATATTTTTGGTTGTGGAAAGAAGCCAGAGATACTGTTAAATATGCAGCAATACACAGGACAATCCTTCACAACAAATAATTATCTAGTCCCAAATGTCAAGAAATGCTGCTGCTGAGAAACTCTGGGTTAAAAGAAGCCATCACATTTGTCCAAGAGAGAGGTAAGTAGCACAGTGGAAAGAACAGAGTATTTCCGAGTCATGGGTTCAAATTCTGGCTCTCCCACTCAGCCCTAGTGGGACTTCTTATGACCCTCAGTTTTCCAATGAGGAAAATGGCAATGATATCATCTGCTCTGTAGGGTTGTTGTGAGGAGTTAATGGGAATGTACGTAAGACATCTGACATATAATAGATTAACAAATGGTAGCTATTCTTGCTTTTATAAGAATACATATGAATTGTTTGATGCCAACATTTCTTCAAAGTAGGAAAAGCATTTTAAAGATGCTTAACAGCTTAAACAAAAAACTCAGAATGTTAAAGCCAGAAAGAATGTTAATATCCAACTAAATACTTCATTTTACACAGAAGAAAACAGAGGTTTGGAAAGAATGACTTACCCAAGATTACACAGCAAGTTAGTGGCAATTCACATACAATAATCCTGCTGTTTGCTCCACTACCATTTTCTTATTCATGCATATATAGATAGGCTTTTATTAATTCCTAAACTATGTCATTATTTATGAATGTCATAAATTATTTAAGTCAATTTGAATACAATATTATTATGTTTGCCAGAATTTTATATACTAGTATGATTCAACTATAAAGTAAGCTAAGACTTCTACAGATAGGTACTTATCCTAATATTTTCATGGCCTATTTGAGCTAATCTGTGGACTCTGCCCCATTGTTTCAGTATCACCCTAACAAGTTCCATTATTACAATGATCTATTTTTTTTTTTATTTGAGACGGAGTTTCGCTCTTGTTGTCCAGGCTGGAGTGCAACGGCGCAATCTCAGCTCACTGCAACATCGGTCTCCCCGGTTCAAGCGATTCTCCTGCCTCAGCCTCCTGAGTAGCTGGGATTACAGGCACATGCCACCACGCCCGGCTAATTCTGTATTTTTAGTAGAGACGGGATTTCTCCACGTTGGTCAGGCTGGTCTCGAACTCCTGACTTCAGGCAATCTGCCCACCTCAGCCTCCTAAAGTGCTGGGATTACAGGCATGAGCCACCATGCCCGGCTACAATGGTCTATTTTTTAAATTAATATCTTATAGGCCAGGTGCGGTGGCTCACGCCTGTAATCCCAGCAATTCGGGAGGCCGAGGTGGGAGGATCGCCTGAGGTCAGAAGTTTGAGACAAGCCTGGCCAATGTGGTGAAACCCGTTTCTACTAAAAATACAAAAATTAGCCAGTTGTGGTAGCGGGCAACTGTAATCACAGCTACTCAGGAGGCTGAGGCATGAGAATCACTCGAACCCAGGAGGCAGAGGTTACAGTGAGCCGAGATCACACCACTGCACTCCAGCCTGGGCAGTAGAGTGAAACTCAGTCTCAAAAATTAATTAATTAATTAATATCTTATAAGATAAATATTAAAAATTATTCATTTCTGGTTTAATAGTCACATGAATAGCACAGTTGGAAAAAAAGCCTGAACAAACACAGAAGCCATATACTATAAATATATAGGAAAAAAATATTTTCAACTTCAGTAGTAACCTAAAAAAAAGAATTTAAGACAGAGTTAGCATTTTTTTGACTCTGAATGTAGAATGTAGCAAAGAGTTTCTTTATTCATAATGCTCAATGAAGGCATACATTCATATAGTTTTGGGGGACTTTAACCTGCTCTTACTTGTCTTACTTCTCTAGACCCATAGGATAATATGCTCTAAAAATGTCCTCTCTGGCCCTCAGTAGAAATATACTGAACTCAGCCTTAGAAAGTCACTACACAGCCGGGCGCGGTGGCTCACGCCTGTAATCCCAGCACTTTGGGAGGCTGAGGCAGGCAGATCACCTGAGGTCAGGAGTTCAAGACCAGCCTGACCAACATGGAGAAACACCATCTCTACTAAAAATACAAAATTAGCCGGGCGTGGTGGCCCATGCCTGTAATCCCAGCTACTCCGGAGGCTGAGGCAGGAGAATGGCTTGAACCCGGGAGGCGGAGGTTTCTGTGAGCTGAGATCATGCCATTGCACTCCAGCCTGGGCCACAAGAGTGAAACTCCGTCTCAAAAAAAAAAAAAAAAAAGAAAAAGGAAAGTCACTACACAAATGTTGAGAAATAGAGAAATTGTTGACTGCATTATATCTAATTGTGTTAAATCTATTTCTAATGGAAATATAAGACAGCTGTTAAAAATGATGTTTAGGCTGGGCATGGTGGCTCACACCTGTAATTCTAACACTTTAGGAGGCCGAGGTGGGCAGATCACCTCAGGTCAGGAGTTCGCGACCAGCCTGACCAACATGGAGAAACCCCATCTCTACTAAAAATACAAAATTAGCCAGGCGCGGTGGCGCATGCCGGTAATCCCAGCTGCTGGGGAGGCTGAGGCAGAAGAATTGCTTGAAAACGGGAGATGGAGGTTGCAGTGAGCCGAGATTGCACCATTGCACTCCAGCCTGAGCAACAAGAGCGAAACTGCATTTCAAAAAAAAAAAAAAAAAGTTGCTTAAAAGAATTGTTAATGACTCATAAAATGCTTAAAGTTTATAAAGTTTTAAAGCATGATTTAGACCTGTATACAAGTATAATCTCAACTATGAATATATACAATATATAAACATGGAAGAATTTCAAATAAAATATTTTTAAAAACATTAACAGTGGTTATTTTGGGATAGTCTATTAATAGCAGATTTTAATTTTTTCAGTGTTTTTATACTCTCCATGTTTTTTTTACCATTAACACATATACTTATTTTGGAATTAGAAAACAGAACTTCATTTTAATCAAAAAGTTAAATTTTGATGAAACTTCATATAATCATGAAGCCTATACACAGAACTTAATGTATTGCTTTTACATTTAAGATGTGGAAAAGAGGTGCATTCCTTTAACTCTTTTTTTTCTTTCCTTTTTTTTTAAAGCACAACTTCATAAAATGCAAGCCAAGCGTGCTGCTTCAATACTGAAAATGAATGGTCACACATAAGGCCATGGGTAAGATGCGTACATACTAATAATGCTATACTCAATATTAAACCAGAAATTACATTTAACTTAGTATATAAGTTTCTTGACATGTAAGTTCAACATAGTTTAGTGTATAAGCTTCTTGATAAAGGCAAATATGTGTGTTCCTGCAAAGAAGCATTACATGTAATTATAAATGTTGCAAAGCTAATTAATTAAAGCATTCAGTTTTGGGGTTTTTGTTTCTTGTTTTTACCAAAAGATAATTACTAAAAGTTACCTTATAAATGTCTGGCTAAATTTCAATAAATAGCATACTTAAATGTCAATATAGTTTTGGGAGACTCTTCTTTCTGAAAATTAGTTGTGAAAATAGAATTTAAATGGTAGTCTGCGAAAGAAAGCTCAGATAATTGTTTCAATAAAACATTTTTATGCCTATACTTATGTAGGGCATATAGAGTTTTTGATGTGAAAGTAATACAAAAATCTCAAAAATAAGTCAGTTATACTTTTCAAATATCACCTTCATTGCTCTTTAGAAAATTAAAGTCAGTGGGAAAATAAAAGTTTGTAGGTAAGAAAATTTTCAATTCCTAATTAAGAGCCTATTTCAAAATTCTTTCTGATTATTTCTAATATCTTCATAACATGACCAATCTACAACATTCCAAAATGACCACATTCAACATCATATGGGCCCATTAAGATAAAGTGAGCTGGGATATAGAATTTCCAGCAATAAATGAGGTACTTAATCTAACTTTATTATATCCAAAGTATATTAAAAGAATACAGCCTATGTTGTTTACAGATGCACTATGAAAATATTTTTATGCTTGGATTTTAATTTTACAGAGTTAATTAGTTACAACTTTAATGGTCACAGTAGGCGTATCGTTCCTTACCACTTCAAAAGCATGCAGGATCGCTAAGAAAACTTGATTCCCTAGGCACAAACTCTCTACTGAAAGTCATAAGATTCACATTTGCTTCTTTCAATCATTATCCCCAAATACAGCCAAGATCAAAGAACCGGGGGGAAAAAGTCTTACTCTTTTTCCCTTATGAAACATTTGCACAAAAGTTTAGTTTAATTCTGTTTTTTTAAAGGGAATCTGTTGCCAAGAAGCAAATAATAACATAAAACCTATCCAACACAAACTTTTAAGTGTTGAACATTGTGTTTCTGACTGTTGTTTTCAGTTTCATGTATTAAATTAATGACTTTTGCAGCCAGCTTAGTAATAACACAGAGGTATCTGAAACAGCATACAGGAAAGTAAATGAAATCCCCTTTCCCAGAGACCTTTTAAGTCAGATACCTACCTGTCAAACCCAGTGAATATACTGGCCTGCTCACCTGAGGATCTTACTCCAAGCCTGTGGTCTCCAGCTTTATCACAGATCAGAATCACAAAGAGAGCTTGTTAAAACACAGATTCTGCCCTCCCTGCCGCCCCCTCCCCAACCCAAGCACACAATCACACCAGTTTCTCTGATTCAGTAGCTCTGCAGTGGCCTGATAATTTGCATTCTAACAAGCTCAAGTGATACTGATGGGGCCTACTCTGGGGGCCACACTTTGAAAATCATAGACCTAGGCAGCTCAAATCTACTCTGGACTTATTTTTAATTAATGAATGCAGATGCTCATTCATAAACCCATGGTAAATGAAAATATCATAAGTCAAAAGTGCATGTCATACACTAACCTACTGAACATCACAGCTTAGCTGAGCTTACTTTAAATGTGCTCAGAACACTTATATTAGCATACAGTTGGACAAAGTCATCTAACACAAAGCCTACTTTATAATCAAGTGTTAAATATCTCATGTACTTTATCGAACACTATACTGGAAGCGAAAGACAGAATGGTTGTATGGGAATTGAAGTATGGTTTCTACTAAATGTGTATCTCTTTTGCATCATCATAAACTGGAAAAATCATAAGTTGAACCATCATAAGTCAGGGATTGTGTATTTTCCCCATGAAGTCATTACCATTAAATATGATTTTTATGCAGCTAATCTTTCCCATACCAATGATGTATATATTATTGTTTAAATAATCAGTGAAACTACTTTTCTTATATACAAGAAATAGGGCAATTATTTTCTGTTTGGGTAACTACAGAAGTTTTTAAAAAGCAAAGGAAAATAACATGCTTAAAAGAAAGATTAATGGTAAGAGATAAAAAGAATAATGAATAGGAAAGTAGAGTTATTTGTAGCTGAAATGGAAAGAATTTAGCCCCTGAAAAATTGTAAGATCAAAAGATTATATCAATAGACTACATCAAAGGTTTTCTAAAGGTCTCCCACAGATTATTAGCTCAAGCTATACAGATGAGGCAAATAAGCACATTAGAGACTAAAATTCTGAATTATATTCTGTTATTTTCTTTAAAGAATATAGCATATTACTGGATATGTGATGAAGATAGATAGGTGGTAACATTAGTTATTTTGTTTAAACTATAAAAAGGAAAATTCAGTCTGATAGATGAAAGATTTAATTAATTTCGAAAATGTATTAAAGATTTTCTTTTGGAAGCTAGTGGATGAATTAATATTAATATAATTATTACATAGAGAAGCATTATTTCACAGTGGCTAAAAATTACTTCAGCACATGACTTAACGCAATAAAAGCATGGATTACACATGTCAATTACTTAAACTGTCTCAACACATATATTTAAACTGTACCTGAGGCCTATAAGTATTACTAAGAATAGTATATAAACACAAATAAGAGGCAGATCAAAACTACAAATGGTATGAAAAACAAGTTGGTCTTCATTGGAATTATAAAATAGATTCATGATAAATACCCGATCCCAATAATTTACTCAATGGTACCTACACATCACACTACATTTAATTTGAATAAGTACTGATAATATAATTAGCTATTTTCAAAACTGCAACAAATTGCTAATAGCAATTAGCAGAATGAACACAAGTTTGACAAACAGATTCACAGTTGTCCCTTTACCACAAGCTTTTAGCCTTTCTGAGCATCAGTTTCCAAATCTGTAAAATGGAAATAATATCACCACCTCACACAATTTTGTAAAGAGATTTATTAAACAATGCACTGTGCCTAACACACTGAAGGTGCTCAGTAATTTCAATCTTTCAACTAATATTTTTGGCACTCCTACTATATGCCAGGCATTGTTATCGATACTGGAAATAAACCAGGGAACAAAACGGACAAAATTATCTGCCTTCTAGGAGTTTATTTTCTAAGGTACATTTATTTTACCTTGTCCTAGGCACGGTGCTGAGTGCTTTGGGAATGAATAAACTAGCCCCAGAACAGGTCAAGTATTTAGTTCAATAAAAAAGATAAAATTAGGATAATCATGCAGTATATGAATTTAGGGAAACCAGAAAGTCTTATGAGAAAGCATGGTACGAGGTCAGAGGATAGAAAGGAAGAAGAGGAAAGGCTTCCCAGAAAAGAAGGTATTATAAGTGAGCCTGGTTTAGAATCCTGACAGAAGAGATTTATAGATTTTAGAAAAGGCAAGGAGGCAAGGAGGGTGGAGACTGTTTATTTAAGTAACAATGAGTAGTTCAATATGGCAGCAGTTTCAAGTACAAATTAAGAAGTGATGCGAAATTAAATGAAAATCTAGGTTGGGACCAAACTGAAGCCCTGACTTGCTAAGATGAAGAATATGGGAAATTGCCAAAGATATCTGAGAAGACTGTGATATGATACAGACATTTATAAGATTTATTTGCACTTCCTTTTGGCCAGAACCACCATCTTCCAGTAATTCGCCAAAATGACAAACACAAAGGGAAAGAGGAGCGGCACCCCATACATGTTCTCTAGGCCTTTTAGAAAACATGGAGTTGTTCCTTTGGCCACATACCTGTGAATCTATAAGAGACGTGATATTGGAGATTTCAAGGGAATGGGTACTGTTCAAAAAGGAATGCCCCACCAGTGTTACCATGGCAAAACTGGAAGAGTCTACAAAGTTCCCCAGCGTGCTGTTGGCATTGTTGTAAACAAGTTAAGGGCAAGATTCTTGCCAAGAGAATTAATGTGCATATTGAGCACATTAAGCACTCTAATAGGCGAGATACCTTCCTGAAACGCATGAAGGAAAATGATCAGAAAAAGAAAAAAGCCAAAGAGAAAAGTACCTGGGTTCAACTGAAGCACCAGCCTGCTCCACCCAGAGAAGCACACTTTGTGAGAGCCAATGGGAAGGAACCTGAGCTGCTGGAACCTCTTCCCTATGAACACATGGCATCAGAGGTGTTAACAAAATAAATAAAATAAAAGACTTCTGACTGAAAAAAAAAAAGATGTATTTGCAAGAAGTGTGAACAATACATTGAAAGGGAGAAAAGGAAGGACGACTCATCTGGAAAACCTGAATAATGTGCTTCACAAGACAGTTTGCCAATTACCTAACAAGGAGTAGGATCATTAGAGACTTCCTAAGGCATCTCTGAGCACACATCTGTGACAACAGCAATCCTACTGGCTGACAAGGGCAACACAACAATCTGGCATGAGCCACACTCTCGTGTTCTTCACTTGCCCTATACCACCCGTGCTGGCTCCACTCCTGTCCTCTGCCCGTTACCAATCCTACATCCTAATACTACATATCCACATATTCCTATCATCAACCCATCCATCCTGACCATGACCCAAATCAAGCAGGCAAAGAAGATGTGACAAATTAGGCATTTGGGACCACCATACTTCTTCTCATGCACTAGCCTGATTCAAATGAAGTAAGACAATCTGGGAGCAGAAAGCCAGTCTGGGACTCAAAGTAAAAATTACCTTTCAGAGTTTCCATATCCCATTGAAAGCATTTCACTTTTTTCTTAGTCCTTGGCTTAGGGATCTTAAAAGTATAATAATGCTTCAGATTCAGGCAATTATTTTTCGACCTTGGCAAGGCAGAAATGTTGATTTCTAGCTAAAGGACATCACAGATAAATAGAATATTTGTGAAGAAAATATCTGAGGACATCTCTCTAGGAAAGAATTTAGTAAAGAAGAAGAGATGTTATAATTTAAAATGTTAACTAAAACCTTCTAACTATATTATTATAGTCTAATTAAGGGGAAATGAAAGTTTAAAAACACAGGCTAAGTAGTTATGAATCCTATAAATCAAAGAAAAAGATTTCACAACATTTTGAGACAGGTCAAAATTGATTTTCACTTTCCTTCTCATAACCAAGAAAATTATGATTTGTATTACCTAGCCTACCTAAAGAGTTAAAACCTTGTAAGTTTTACTAAGAGGAATGTAGTAGTACCCATCTTCCTCATTCAAAAAGGCCTTAAGCTGAATAAGCAGACTTTAGAAAAAGAAATTAAGGAGTATTTAATTAAAACCTATCAGCCGTAGGCCCTGGCAAATGAAATCAACAGGAAATTAAAGGGAAGTAAAGCTCAAATCTGTTCAACAATGCTTATTATTTTAGAAAATAGGTGGAGGCGAAACAGTGAATGTGAGCAGAATAGCTTTGTTTTGTGATTTCCCTTATAATCCAAATGTTCTCATCAGAGAAATAATTCAGAAATAATGATACCTAACATAAAAGTACACACAATAAGGGAGATGGGGGACTTTGTGAAAGAGGGGATATATAATATCATATATGTGCTCTTTATACTAGGACTAATTGCTTCATTAGGATAGTGACTTGTTTTCTCTGATAACTAAAATATAAGTCACTGCAGAAACTTTAGAACTATATATTAACACCATGAGAAAAATACAAATCAACTATAATCCTACCACCCAAATATAAATACTATTAATCTTTGGTTTATTCCCCACCAATAAATTGGGTTCTGTGCATAGGTTGATTTTTTTTTCAAAACTAGGATATCATTTTGTAACTTGCTTTTATCCACTTCTCATACCATAAACATTTTTCCATATCATGAATATTTTCTCATATTACTGAATAATTTTCCCAACAAAATGATACATTTTGATTTGTTGTCCACGTTTGTTAATGTGATGTGTGAAAATGTGGTAATTTATCGCTCTGCTGGGATTCTTTGATTATTGGGAGGTTAACATCCCCTCTACCCTAACCTTAGACAATTAAAATTTTTTGTCTTTTGCGAATTGCTCATTTATATCTATTTCTCATTGGGGATCATTTGTATAGCAGTATTCATCTGTCTCCGTCTTAGTCCATTTGGGCTGCTATAACAAATTACCATAAACTAGGTGATTTGTAAACAATCAAAAGTTATTTCCTAAAGTTCTAGAGGCTGGGAAGTCCAAAATCAAGGCGCCAGCAGATACTGTGTCTGGTGAGAGCTCACTTTCTGATTCATAGGTGGCACCTTCTCACTGCATCCTCCCATGGTGGAAGGGGCAAGGCAGCTCTTTGTGGCCTCTTTTATGAGGGCACTAATCCCATTCATGAGGAATCCTTTCTCATAATCTAATCATATTCCAAAGCCTGTACCTCCTACTACCCTCACACTGGGGATTGGGAATCAACATACGAATTCAGAAAGGGAGGGAACAAACATTTAGACCATAGCAATCTCGCACTGCTTTTTATAGTATCTTTTTAAAGGGAGCATGTAAAATACAGAGCTTACCATTTATCTTTTTTTTTTTTTTTTTTTTTTGCTTATTATATTTCTTGGTGATATTTCTGAAAGTGGTATTTTGTCATTATAAAAATAACAGTTGCTTTAAAAGATTTTGGAATATTAGGAAAAATATAAAAAAGAAAATCAAGCTGTAACTTTACCACCTAGGAATACATTTTCTAGGGGGTGGGGGAAATATGATATTTTAATGGATATGCCTATTGATGCAAAAGAAACTTGTATGCAAACAGGAACTGCATTAATCTTTTTCAATCCTTATTAATTTAGGACATTGTCTTAGAGTAACAGCTTAATAAATACTTTTGATTAAATGAATTTTATATATTTATTTCAAAATTATATTTTACACATAAGATAATATATTAAATTTCACTTTTTTACAGAATACATTGCAAGTATATTTCCAAGTCATTAAATTTTTAAAAAACTTTTGTAACTGAGTTTTATCAATATAGATACATAAACTACACTAATTTATTTAAATATTTTGTTATTGGGGCTTTGTTTCCATTTTTTGTATTACAGATAAGATGGTAATAAACATTTATAAATCTTCATATGCGATTCATATTATTTCCTTAGGCTATATTTTTAGACCCAAGATCACTTAGTCAAAGGCTATGAACATTCACAGGTTTTGTTTTGTTTTTGTAGAGATGGGAGCAAAATGGGACCATGCAGATACTTGAACCCTTGAGCTTAAGGGATCTTTCTGCCTCAGCCTCCCAAAGTGCTAGGATTACAAGCATGAGCCACTGTGCCTGGCCCAACATTCACAGGTTTTAATACATAATACCACGTAATTGCCTCAAATAGTTGTATTGATATACCTTTTATTGAGTAGCATTAAAAAAATTCCATTAAGGCCACAACTCTTTTACAAAACTAGCATCACTGTTAGTCCTTATTCTGCAAAGCGATAAAAAAGTATTGTTTCTATGGCTAAAATGATTTCTGAAATGAAATAAATTTATCTAAGAAAATATCGAAGGAATAACTGACGAGGAATAGTGATAGCATCCAGCACACATATATTTATTCCTAGAGTTGATAAATCAATTCTCCTTTTCTTCAAGCACTATTAAATTTATATTTATCAGTGCATTGTTCTGTGAGAATTCTCAGACAATCTTACTTGTAGCATTTTCTTTGATTCTTCTTCATTAGAAGAACTACTTCCAACTATATCAGACAATAAAGAAAACATGTAATGAAGGCTTGAATATGTGTACATTTTTTTAACCCTTAATTTAAAAAGTCAATTATAGGAAGTACATTTGTCTGACAGGTGAGTCACCTCTGTTCTATTATAAATTATAATCATATTTGAGCATTTCCCTTCGTTTTACTGACAATAGCAAAATAAATGAGATTCTATTTTTTTTTTTTTTTTTTTGGGGGACGGAGTTTTGCTCTTGTTGCCCAGGCTGGAGTGCAATGGCCCGATCTCGACTCACAGCAACCTCCGCCTCCCGGGCTCAAGCGATTCTCCTGCCTCAGCCTCCCGAGTAGCTGGGATTACAGGCATGCACCACCACGCCCAGCCAATTTTGTATTTTTAGTAGAGACGGGTTTCGCCATGTTGGTCAGGCTGGTCTCGAACTCCTGACCTCAGGTGATCCGCCTGCCTCGGCCTCCCAAAGTGTTGGGATTACAGGCATGAGCCACTGCGCCCGGCCCTATTCAATTCTATTTAGTCACTAAGTATGAAAAGTATTCAGGTTTTGCTAAGCCAGGGTCAAACACTCCCCACATCCTAGTTTAGAGTGCTTAGATTTTCCCTCTTTTTCATGCAATTTAATGAATGTTAAATTAGCATGAAAATTAAATGTTATTTTTAAACTCCCTAAAACTTTAAAATGTTGCTAAGTTATTTTTCCAAATGTATAAAATGACCTCATTTTAATAAAAATAAACTATCTCAATGTAGGTATATGATACGTATTTGTAGTGAGAATAGAAAACAGTCCAGAAGAAGCAGTTATTACTTTTTGAGGTGGATCGGAGTGGGAGGTTCTTGCTGCGGGCACTGAACAAACTACTCCGTTGCAATGATTTTTGCTCTTCACAAGTCAGCAAGGGTTTTCGATGATGCTATTCTTCACAGAAATGTGACCTACATGATTTAAAGGCTGATACAAGTAAATATTGGTGGATGAGGAGCCCCTGTCCTTGTTGATGCATCTCTCAAGGTTGATTTTGAGTTAGAGGTTTGCTCTGTCCATACAGACTTGTTTTTCTCCCTGCTTAGAACCAGCATGAAAAGAACGCAAGAAGAAACTTTGGTCTTATTCAGATCACATTTTAAAAACCTGAGCTAGCATGATAAGAGCAGTTAAAACATATTCTTTCTAAAGGCACAGGGTCCCAGACACCAAAATAACCATCCATTCCCTAACCAACTGATGTCTCTCTGCTGTACGTGGTAAATTAAAACTACATGTTTTACAACGTAAAATAAAGGGTGCCCCGAATAACAACTAGGTTCTTTAAAGTTAGTGTTTTGGGGGAAGCATGGGGGCTTCTTTGTAGCACTCCTTTGAAAACTATTTCCGAGAAAGCTCCAATACAAACACCTTTTTCTTCCTAAGGAATCAACCTTAGGGAATCAACCTTAAGGAATCAATCTGCTGGGCTAAATCTTCAACACCTTCCCTTTTCATCACCTTTGAGGCAGATAACCAAAATTTCTTTAAACTGCTTATTTCACAACGGGATGACAAAGGAGTGTGTGTGTGTGTGAATGCGTGTGTGTGCGTGCCCGTGTATGCCCGCGTGTACAAAGGTGTGTGAGAATGCGTGTATGTACGTGCCCGTGTGCGCCCGCGTGTGCAGTTTACCTTTTTACAAAATCCAGCATTTAAAATAGATTTTTAAATTCCCCTTTAACAAATGATTGAAAATGGTGTAATCATTTTATCTTTTGTTGTTTTTTTTTTTTAGTTCAGTAACAGCCCAGAACTGTAGTTTTGAGCCATGTCATCAAATCTAAACACGACTAGGGAAGTGGAGCGGGGAGAAACAGGAGAGAGAAACAGAAAGGAAAAGCGGGTGGGCGGTGAAGCAGAAGGCTGGGACAGTCAGAGGGATTCGCCGTCTCACTCTTACCAATTCCTCCCTCGGCACACATCACAGCATGTTGGTCACGAGTCGCAAGGTACAAGAAAAGAGCTAAGCACAAATTCGAAGAGTGAAAGCGGGTTGTGCTTCCACGCCAGCCATTTGCCTTCCGGGAAAAAAAAAAAATCACTTAGACATCTCCCAAACTCAGCTGCGGGAGCCAGCGCCGGAGCCTGTGCTGAGCTCGCAACCTACTTCTCCCTCCGCTCCTCCTCCCGTCTCCGCCAGGCTGCAGAGCAGCCCGAGCTGCAGTGCACCGCCAATCGCCCACCGCCCCGCCCTCCGTGACGTAGCAGCGGCAGGGCCTGGCAACTGACCGGCTCCCAGCTCCAGCTGTTTGACCGAGCTGCCCTTCTGCCCAGCGCAGATGCCCCAGTGACCCAGAGCCCTTACAATCTCACCTCTGACTTTCACCTCCCAAGTACAGGTTGCTCGCGGTTGACGGTTTGGTTCATTGTTTTGCTGCAATTCTAACAATTCACTGTTTTAGCTAAACGTGGAACACTGGACAATTATTTTTTGGAGGGTAAAAGAGATCAAATCTAAAAATGTCGCGCCACTGCATTCCAGCCTGGGCGACAGAGTGAGACCCTACCACAAAATAAATAAATAATATGTAATGTTACTGTTTTTATGACTAGAAAAGAAATGAGGAAAAATATTACAATTCTGATTTGGTCGTTTTCCTCACACCTTGCCCTTCCGTTCCCTTACTCAGGATAATGTGGCTTTGTCCATACACCTGCCAAGGTCCGTTTGCTTAAAATTCACAACTTTTTTTAAAACTTCTAAATAAGTTTCAACAACCTGTCTGGTTTCTCAAAATGTCTAATTTGGAAAGAGGAAAAGCCATTTAGTGAAGGCCGAACCAATAACTCAGAACAAAACCTAATAATCTTGGCTGCCTGTTTTATCCCATTGAAACAAATATAAAAAGTGGGGCCAAACTCTCCACAGCTCTCCTATATTGTGCCTCTCTCTTCCATTCTCTCAAGTGTTTCTCAGATGTGCAACAAGAGTGAAGAAAACTAAATGAGCATGCAAATGTTTGACTATTAGTAAAGAGCTCACCAGTACAGACACAGGGAGCTGGTTGGTCGGCTTGAAAATTCTCTCAGACCAAGAGAAGCCAAACAAGTTTCTGCACCCACTGAGAACGTGCTTCTGCCAGACGAGGAGAAACAAGTTCTGGGTGTGGCTTCCTATGATGCTCCATTAGGGAAGCCTCCATCTGCAGGTAAGGACAAATCTCTAGAACTTAGTCAAACTTAATCCCCAGAATTAACCCAGCCTAGTAGAATACACTGTCATTTACATGGCCTCTGAAATTCCTGGCCCTAGTAGCACTTTTTGCAGTCATATGACTGTCTCTAACATCCTTTAAGATGAAACACATTTCCTATCTGAGAGTCAACCTTATAGAGGAGACTTAAAACTGTAGCTGGGCCCCCCTGAGCTCTCCCAATCAAACACTGGTGTTGTTACCTCAGCAGAGGGCCTTCCTGGGAACGTACATACCAGGACAATTCAGGCATGTAGCCTGTTTGGATTGCTTAAATCAGTGGTTCTAACTAGCTACACATCAGAGTGAACCGGGGAGCTTGATGCCAAGGCCCCACCCAGGCCAATTAAACCAGAATCTCTGGGGGTGGCGCTATGGCAATGTCTTTTTTTCAAGCTCCTCTAGAAATTCTAATGTGCACAAGGGTTGAGAATCACTGACTAAGATTTGAATTATTGTCTTAGAAGAAAATCTATTATATTTAAGTCTAAAGAGCATAGTAGTAGAATAATGGAAAACATTATGTAATACAACTTAGCCTTATACATATTCTTTATATATTGGTTTATTTTAATATAAATATAAAAACGTGAAGATACACCTCAAAATTGTTTACTCAGGGAAGGATAGTGAGGGGAGATTACTAGCTTTCTATTTGTGTCTGTCATTTGAATGAAATTTGTATCATTTTGATAATTTAAATATTTCTAATCAAATTTTTAAAAATCAATACTCATAAATACCATGAAGGTCATTGGAATAACCACTATTAAGGTGGGTTTCTATCAATTTATTAGGTTTTGTTGTGTTTGGTGTTTTCTTTTTGCAATGCTTCTGTAATATCCAATTTTCTCCTCAGAGTGATTCCTATTTTGAAAAAGACAAAATACGATTCTTAATTTAAGACATTAGCTACTTTAAATCTATATAGTAATTTTTAATTTAAAAGATACTTACTTTCTTGTAATTTCAGAAAGGTTTTCTTTTTTGCACTTCTCAGGAAGTTTTTTAAAAAACCAATATTTCAACTGTATAATATAGAAGTGAGGGAACTTCATCTTTTCCAGCTAGAAAATTATTTGGACTCTCAACACTAATAACTCTCAATACTTCATAATTAATTGTCAATGCGAAATATATGGCACAGTAGTCAAATGCCTAGGTTTGACCTGGTTTTAAATCTTGGCTCTGCAAATTTTTAGATATGTGATCTTGGGTACCAACACTAAGCTCTGTAGGTAAAATGGATCTAATAATATCTTCCTCTGTGTTATTAAGACTATATGAAGTTAGGTAGCTGAAGTGCTTATCACTGTGTAAAACACTTAATAGGTGCTTAATAAATGATAATTATCAATTTCCTAACTTCTCTTTTTCCTTTCTTAAACATACTCAAGGATTATTAGTATGGCAGCAGAAGACAGAGTTATCAGAAAACATTTTTCTAAAACAGTAAACAGGGTTCTTCCTAGAACCTATTATATTTGTTATACAGTTATATGTAAAAGAGAGACATATTCATTATTTCGGGCTACTGCTTTAACATGTAACGTGTAAAGCAGCGTGGTTTACTTTTGTTTACCTCAAAATATTTCACATTTCCTAAAGTGGCACACAGGCTGATTTCTTATGATTCATAATCAACCACTGCTTTTTCTTTGTACTTGTTATGAGTCAAGCACAGATTAGGACATTTCCCACGATCAGTTTTCTGACTGACTTTTGGAGAAGGAGAAGGAGGAGGAGGAGGAGAAGAAGAAGAAGAAGAAGAGGAAGAGGAAGAGGAAGAGGAAGAAGAAGAAGATCAATGCTGCAGGCAATTAAACTTGTCCCTTGTAGATGAGCCCTGATTTTAACAACATAATCACAGGATTTTATGTCTCTTTTTTTCTTTCCTCAATATTCATTGAGTGCTAGTGAACCATTTCTGTTAGACACTGTACTAAGAAGTTTACAGCTATGACTTCGTGTATTCCTCTTATCATCCCTATGAGGTCATTCTTCATTTAGAGATGAGACATCTGAGGCACAAAGAGTTAGAGCAACTTATCCAAGATGGCAAGACAGCAGGTGAAAGAGCTGGCTTGAGAACACACATTCTTAATGGAGCTCTCTACTGTGGGCTAAGCAGCACAGCTTTCAATAAATTAGGGAAGTGAATAGTAAATGATTTTTGTTGGGATAGGGTAAAACCATGCTATGACTATAACTGCCTTGTTGACAGTAGAAATTCTTTATTTCTAGAAACAACAAGGATATCTACATTATTATTACTAGTTGTAAACATAGATCTTAATTTTATGTGTGCGTTTTTTTTTTAAAGAGGAAATACATTTCCTTCCCTTTGTATCAGGTGAGTCCCTTTCGTCCATAGGAGAACAAATTGGCTTTTAACCTTGTAAAAACCTTTAACATGCAATGATTACACAGGATATCAGAAAGGGAAAATCCAGATTAGCAGAGATCCAGGCTGGCCCCAGAGTTCTGGATAAGTCCGTCAACTATTTATTGATTCTGTTTATAATATCAAGAACACTGGTAATAGGACAGTAGCACAATTCCTTGTATGAAATGATGGCCCTTTAGTCTAGGAAAGATGATTAGTTTCTTATTTAGACAAAGATAGGTACCAGAGCTTTTTCTGAATAAATGTAGTTAAGAAAAAGAAGTATACATTTCTCTGGATAATGTGTATTTCCCCTAGTGACCAGAGAAGGCAGGAGTTTGGAAACTTTGGAGAGGTGAAAGGATGGGAGATAGTTCTACCTAGAGAGAAGATGGAATTCAGCTTCTAAGGAATGATATGTAATCTTGCATCAAATGTGGAATAAGACCCATGACCAATTCCCTGAATAGGTATTGGCTGAGTGACTTTCAGAAAGTAATATCTTAAAAGTTTCACTTTTAAGCTATTTTCTCTTTCTATGGTGCTGTATTCCTCACAAATCAGAGCTCAGGCAACAGGCTATGGGTACAGTGCAAGATAACACTATCAGCCTCTGCAACAGCTGCATGGGACCTGGGGTGTCTGGAGCCCACCATGGATAAGAAACTCATGGATCTGATGAAGAAGCCTGTGTTCCAGGCTCTCGAAGAGCACAACAAGTGGCCGAGAGAATGTTCAGTGGGGTTGGCGAGGAGACTGGGCCAGCACAGCTCTAGACACCCCAGGTCCCATGCAGCTGTCTTAATTTTCACATATCTTTATTCTTTATTTTCACAGTATGTTCTGCAAATAAAAGCTTGGCATAAAAAACTGAACTGGATTCAAAATCCATTCACATTATCACAAGGAATTCCAGTATTACATTACCCAGTAAAATATTAGTTGGAATATTGTGACTGCCAATATTCAACCAGTTTTGACATAAAAATGATAGCTTTATGTGGTTCAACTAATAAAAAAAAGGACTATTAGCATCTTTAGGTATAATGTCAATTATTGCACAGTCTGGTATGGTTGTAAAAGTCATTCATAAGCTTTTGTCACATATTTGAGTGAACAGAATTTCTCATTGAGAGTAATTATCAAGAATTTGAATGAATCATTATAAAGTATCAAAAATTGTAACTAGACATTTTAAGCATAAAACCTCATATGAAAATGCACCCAAAAAGAAGCTAGACACAAAAGTCTACATATTGTTTGATTCCATTTCTATGAAATTCCCAGAATAGATAAAGCCATAGAGATCGAAAGTAGAGTAGTAGTTGCCAGGAGCTGGGGGAAGAGAGGAATGGAGCATGACTGTGAAGGGGTACAGGGTTTCTATTTGGTGTGATGAAAATGTTCTGAAATTAAACCACTTAAAAGGGGTGATTTTTATGGTATGTAAGTTATATCTCA